>NC_000009.12:64315162-64656643 GCF_000001405.40 Homo sapiens | reverse complement strand
TGTTTGTATCCTCTTTTATTTCCTTGAGCAGTGGTTTGCAGTTCTGCTTGAAGAGGTCCTTCACATCCCTTGTAAGTTGGATTCCTAGGTATTTTATTCTCTTTGAAGCAATTGTGAATGGGAATTCACTCATGATTTGGCTCTCTGTTTGTTTGTTGTTGGTGTATAAGAATGCTTGTGATTTTTGTACATTGATTTTGTATCCTGAGACTTTGCTGAAGTTGCTCATCAGCTTAAGGAGATTTTGGGCTGAGACAATGGGATTTTCTAGATATACAATCATGTCTTCTGCAAACAGGGACAATTTGACTTCCTCTTTTCCTAATTGAATACCCTTTATTTCCTTCTCCTGCCTGATTGCCCTGGCCAGAACTTCCATTACTGTGTTGAATAAGAGTGGTAAGAGAGGACATCCCTGTCTTGTGCCAGTTTTCAAAGGGAATGCTTCCAGTTTTTGCCCATTCAGTATGATATTGGCTGTGGGTTTGTCATAGATAGCTCTTATTATTTTGAAATATGTCCCATCAATACCTAACTTATTGAGAGTTTTTAGCATGAAGGGTTGTTGAATTTTGTCAAAGGCCTTTTCTGCATCCATTGAGATAATCATGTGGTTTTTGTCTTTGGTTCTGTTTATATGCTGGATTACATTTATTGATTTGCATATATTGAACCAGCCTTGCATCCCAGGGATGAAGCCCACTTGATCATGGTGGATAAGCTTTTTGATGTGCTGCTGGATTCGTTTTGCCAGTATTTTATTGAGGATTTTTGCATCAATGTTCATCAATGAAAATCAATATATATCATAACAGCTCTGTAAATGTTTCTCTGAGTTCTGTGAGCCATCCTAGGAACTTAATTGAACCCAGGGAGGGGGCTCATGCGAACCCTTTTTTTTTTTTTTTTTTTGAGATGGGGTCTCATTCTGTCTCCCAGGCTGGAGTGCAGTTGCAGGATCTCAACTCACTGCAACCTCTGCCTCCCGGGTTCAAGCGATTCTCCTGCCTTAGCCTCCCTGGTAGCTGGGCTTATAGGAGCCCGCCACCACACCCAGCTAATTTTTGTATTTTATTTCATTTATTTATTTTTTTGAGATGGAGCATCGCTCTCTCACCCAGGCTGGAGTGCAGTGACATGATCTCTGCTCACTGCAAGCTCCACCTCATGGGTTCAGGCCGTTCTCCTGCCTCAGCCTTCCAAGTAGCTGGGACTACAGGCGTCCGCCACCATGCCTGGCTCATTTTTATTTGTATTTTTAGTAGAGATGGGGTTTCACCGTGTTAGCCAGGATGGTCTTGATCTGACCTCGTGATCCGCCTGCCCCGGCCTCCCAAAGTGCTGGGATTACTGGTGTGAGCCACCGTGCCCAGTTTAATTTTTGTATTTTTAATAGAGACGGGGTTTCACCATGTTGGCCAGGCTGGTCTCAAACCCCTGATCTCAAGTGATCCACCCGCCTTGGTCTCCCAAAGTGCTGGGATTACAGGCGTGAACCACCATGACCGGCCGTGGATGTAGTTTTTAGCCAGGCAGTCAGAAGTATGCGTTGCCTGGACTTGGAATTAGTGCCTGAAGTGGGGCTGGTCTCATGGGATCGAGCCGTCAATCTGTGGGATTGGACACTATCTGCAGGTAGACAGTGTCAGGATTGAATTGAATAAGAGGACACCCAGTTGGTCTCTGTGAGAAATGTTTGGTGTGTAAGGAAAAGCCCCCACACAGCCAGCCACAGAAGTGTGCTATTGTTGAGTGTGAGAGTACAAGGGAAAAACAGTTTGCTTTTTTGCTTTACAGTGGGATATTTGATCCATAGGTCTATATCTAAGCACATGAATAGAATGTGTTTGGGCCTGGTTTTTTAGTCTTGCTGGTCAGTAACTAGTTTGACAAGAGAGACTAGCACACTGATCCCAAAAGAACTAGGCCAAGAGCAGATAGGATTTGTGGAAACTTGAACCTCTTATTAGCTCCTTAAAAGACGTACTTTTCTAGACTTCTTTGGAGCCTGGGATTCTAGTACTGGTGAGTTTCCACCGGCAGCAGACTCCCTGAAGATTTGCTAGCCCTCTGCAGGGTTGGCAGGCCACTACCACATTTAGTTGGCTCCTAGGGTATGTTCCACACCAGACTTCCCATTGTGGGAAGGCCAAGAGAACTGAAGAGACAGTCTCTACTCTGGAGGTGGGGAAGTGGGGGAGGTGGTAATTTAATTAACAGTAGGTGGTGGGTGAGGCGACTTGGTAAGGTAAGAGGACACACAAAGGAAGTAACTGCAGTAAACCTTAGCTGGCAGCACAAGTGAGGAGGTGTGCTTGAAAGAGAAATGGAGTGTCTGGAAGTGGGTGAGTATATTCTGGTAGGTGTGACAAAGGCACTGTTCCTCCAACACCAGTCCTGGGAAAGGCATATGATATGGTTTGGCGCTGTGTCCCCAGCCAAATCTCATGATGAATTATGAGCTTCAGTGTTGGAGGAGGGGCCTGGTGGGAGGTGACTGGATCATGGGGGTGAATTTCCCCCTTGTTGTTCTCGTGCTAGTGAGTTCTGAGATCTGGTTGTTTAAAAGTGTGTGGCACTGCCCCTTCACTCTCTCTCCTGCCGCCATGTGACTATGTACTTGCTTCCCCTTTGCCTTCCCCATGATTGTAAGTTTCCTGAGGCCTCCCCAGCCATGCCTCTTGTATAGCCTGCAAAACTGAGTCAATTAAACCTTGTTTCTTTATAAACTATCCACTCTCAAGTAGTTCTTTACAGCAGTGTGAGAACAGACTAATACAACATGGGATCCCAAGTAACTATGCATTCAGAGAAGAAACACAGGTATGTTTGGGAACTGGATGATGGAAGGTACAGGGAAGCACTGTAGGTAACTTTCATGGGTCCTACACTCTACAACATATTCTTGGGGTTGGAATGAGTCAAACAGGAGACTGATGTCCAGGATGGAATTGGCTGTTTATGTTCCCAGGTGTAGGTCTCTTCCTTAACAGATCACGGTAGCTTCATTACAAATGGCCTGGGAAGCGTACATAATGCAGAAACCCCAGCAAATTCTTACAGGGGTTAGTCATGCAGTTATACATTTTCATTCTGGGATTTCTAGGGGCTTAATAAAATTCCTTCATTGGATCATTTAATCCAACATAAATTATTTCCCTACACCTACTTTATACTTGCTCCCTGATTTCATACCAGTGAGTATAGCCTGATGTAACTAAACATTCTGAATTTTCAGTGATACCCAGAGAAGAGTGTGATAACCAATTCTCTCAAAAGCGATTTACTGCAAATATTTTCATTTACAGTAAGTCCTTACTTAACATTGTGGATATGTTCTTGGAAACAGTGACTTTAAGCCAAACGAGGTACTGTGTGGCTTCATAACTCAACTCTTTTTCCTATCAATTAGACTATGGGAAAACTGGTTTCGTATGCATTATGTCCTTTTGCTTAAAGTGGTAGTTTCCAAGAACCTATCAATGACATTAAGTGAGGACTTATTGTAATCTGATATCTGCGGGTGGATAATTTAAGGAACACATACATAGTTAAGCCTGTAAACTGCTGCAAGTTCCAGATATTATCAGTTCTATTTCTCCACAATTACAATTCCAGTTTTGGGGTTTCTTTTTGCTCATTAAATTTGAAAAGCCAATTCCAGTTTTAAAGCTTGACCCTTTTCTTATAACTTTTTTTATAACTGATAATATATCAGTTATATCAGTTATATTTCTTAGGCTTCCCACGAAACCCTCAAACTGACTCTGAGGGTGGCCTTGCTATCTAATTTACAAAACCGGTTATCTTGGTTTGTGTTCATTTTATTTCCCTTGCATACATTGCTTAGCTGCTTCTGATTATATGCCTCTTAGCCACGGCTGGATAGAAAAGTGTAATAAGAGAAAAGTGTAACTAAGAGACACAGAAGAAAGAGAAATTCCATGAGCACCAGATACTTTTATGGGTGCCTTTTGGAAGCTCTAAATTGAGATGTATCTTTGTTGTCAATTTATGCTATGAATCCAAACGAAAAATGGGGGGAGAAAAACAAATAGGCTGTAGATGAAAGTGGAAGAAGAAAAATGAGTCTATATATATATATATATTAGCAGTTGTATGAAAGTATATGAGTCAATATTCCATCAATACCTAGAAAAATAGTAGATCAATATGCTGATTTTAGGGGTGGACACAAAAGTGTTATAAGTGTCTTTTAACTTTTCTTTTTTCCCTCCTTGACTCTGAAGAGAAACACCATTTTTTCTACGTATGCAAAGAGTAAAAATTCAGAACTAACATGCAGGGATTAATAGCAGTGAATTGCAAACTCAACTCAGTGGTATAGTACCTGGCAACATTATTACTCAGCATATTTCCCTGGCTGAGGCTGACTTCATTTAAAGTAGTTTTATACTTGTGCTAAAAATAAGTGTACATCCCATTAAGGGAGAAAAGATCTTCTACACAATGGATTGGACCTACATAACCTTATGTACCAGAGAGGAAAACATCATTCTCATGAGTCGCAAAGCTTTCTTCTTCTTGTCAATATGATAAACAGTTTCCGGAAATTGAGAATGACGCTGGTTACTTTCCTTCCTCCTGAACATGCCACACTGAAGAGACAGGGATGACTCCTTCCCTATGGGACAGACACACATGTAGCTTTCCCTGGGTTGTGGAGGAAGGCATGGCCACAACACCATTGGCAGTCTGCTGCAGGGACCTCACGATGAGAGGAAGCAATGGATGCCTGGGCCAGGGAAATGCATATTTGGGAGAAAGCAGGAAATTCTGATGTAGAGATAGGGAAGAACCCTGGGGAAAAGGACCCAAGCTGGGCGGGGAGGAGGAAACCACCAGGATCCCAGGATCAGAGACAAAGGACCCAGGGACACAAACAAAGTGAGGCCAGATGGAGAGGGCAGGCTCACGGGGAGAGCAAGCTCACAGGGAGAGCATGAGCCAAACCTGGCTTATTTCACACTCATCAGAGAGACTGCACAGATGGGGCCAAACCAGGGCCCAGGAGCATCGGAGAGAGGAGGGCCATTTCAAAGACTTTTGTAAAATAAGCTCAAAGTTTCTTTGTTTATTTGTGGGTGTGGGAGTGGAAACGTAGGGAAAGTGAAGAAAGTGGGGGAAAAGGGATGGGTGATTTTGTAGGCAAGATGCTCCCTGAGGAGGTCCTGGTGGACCTGCTGTGGGGAGTGGCATTCTGCACACTCTCATATCATGGGGAGCGCATGACTACATTACTGCTTACACATCTCCAAGTGCAGCTTGGGGGGTGAATGTTTAATTGTCTCACTGTAACTGTCTAAATCTCTGGAAAATGTGAAGGGTCATGCATTTGATTTAAACCTATGAGGTCTGAATGAATTCTCCTCCATGCCTAACCGAGTGAAGCAAGTATATAACCAACCATGCATCCCTAAGCAGGGCCGGTATGAAAGGGAGGAAACGCCTCCCCACTGAGCTCGCAAAGAACTTCATCACTGACCTGAATCAGATCCAGCAGGAAATGAAACAATGAGTACATACTTTTACAGTAGAGGGAGGGGGACGGAAAACAAAGTGAGCTGAACTGAAACGTGAGAAAGAACAGAATGGCAGTGAGTCCACGGGGCAGGGCCGCAGCTTTCTTTTTTCATGGCCCTCAGTCCAGTAACCCCACCCGGCATTCGTAGCGGGTGACATCATTGATGCCCAAACATGCTCCAGCAATTTCCTGCTTTCCAGAGTCCAGCCGAGCCATGATGTCAGTGGTGCACCTGGGTAAAGATATGGCAGGGCCGGGTCACAGGGAGTGGGGACAAAGGCCAACCCAGTTAAATAAACTGCTGGTCTTCTAGGGCCTGGTCCCTAGGCAGGCTTCCACCATGAGATAGGTATAGCCCAGGCCAATCCCAACAAGAGGAAAAAAAGCATGTACTTGGCCGGGGGCGGTGGCTCACACCTGTAATCCCAGCACGTTGGGAGGTTGAGGCGGGTGAATCACGAGGTCAGGAGTTTGAGACCAGCCTGAACAATGTGGTGAAACCCTGTCTCTACTAAAATTGGAAAAAATTAGCTGGGCGTAGTGGTGGCCACCTGTAATCCCAGCTACTCGGGAAGCTGAGGCAGGAGAATCGCTTGAACCTGGGAGATGGAGGTTGCAGTGAGCCGAGATCACACCACTGCACTCCAGCCCAGGCAACAGAGTAAGACTCTGTCTCAAAAAAAAAAAAAAAAAAAAAAGAATGCACCCATGCAGTGCCTCCTGTCACCCTCTGCCCAGAAAGGGCACAGGGGCCAGGGTGAAAGAGTTACAGGAAGACAGAGGGAAGGAAACCATGCAGACATAACCACATGGGGGCAGGCCCTAAGCTGCTGGGACCTCCACAGTGTATCCCTTTCCTCCAACTGGGAGACGGAAGCACCGATGGTCTTTCTCTACAGTGCCAGGAGCCACCCTGCCCCCAGAGATGCCCTACAATCAATGACTACCATCTAAATGCTTCTGGATAGTTTCATTCCTTGTAGATGATATTCCAAATATTATAATTTGTACTTCTCCACAATTACAATTCCAGTTTTGGGGTTTCTTTTTACTCATTAAACTTGAAAAGCCAATTCCAGTTTTAAAGCTTGACCCTTTTCTTAAAAGTTTAACTTCTCTTTTTATTCAGGCTTCCCACTAAACCCTCAAACTGACTCTGAGGGTGGCCTGACTAATTTACAAAACCGGCCAGGCTGCCTAACCCCTAGATTCCAGCCCAGAGTGTTGCCATAAATTGCTGTCAAGACATGCCTCTATGTCCCATGTTTGCCAGTGAGAAAAGGGTTCATATTCTAAGTTCTTCAAGTCTCTCTCACTGCCTCAATGTGAAGTCAATGGAAAACAGTCAAATACACCAAAAATTAACTTCAAATGGATATCTGCTATGAATTCCAACTTGGTTGGACACCTCTCCAGGCCAACTGTTGTGAAAATGCATTGTTGTTTTAAAAAACACTGTGAGAGATGGCTGGGCGTGGTGGCTTACTTGAGGTCAGGAGTTTGAGAACAGCCCGGCCAATATGGTGAGACCCCAGTCTCTATGAAAAATATAAAAATTGAGCCAGATGTGGTGGCATGCACTTGTAGTCCACGCTACTTGGGAGGCTGAGGTAGGAGTATCACTTGAACCTGGAAGGCGGAGGTTGCAGTGAGCCGAGATCATGCTACTGCACTCCAGCCTGGGTGACAGAGCAATACTCTGTCTCAAAAAAAAAAAAAAAAAAAAAAAAAAAAGAGAGCGAGAGAAAACACTGTGAGAAGAAAGAAGTCAATCACCCCCTCTCCAATGCCCAACACAGTAAGCAAGAAGGGCCCAGGAAAAAATTAACAGGGAAAAACAATCTTGCATTTGCTTAGTGGAATCTGGGGTTTGCACACATTAGTCAGAGCTAGACAAATCATACTGAATACACTTCTTATAGAAACATTCTAGCTCTTATGGCCTTTCCTTGCTGTCCCAACTTTTGAGGTGCGAAAACACAGCAACACAGCCAGGACCGGCCAGGTGATGGCACGGAGCCCGCTCCCACAGGCTGCGTGTGTGTTCTCACTCTCTTGCAACTGGCCTGAGTTAAGCCTTCTCCCCAAGCACTTGCAGTTTATCATCGCCCTATTTACTGTATTTTCATGTTATAAAAGTGATATACACCCAACGTAGTAATTTGATCTATACAAAAAAGAGAAGAAAAAAAGCTACTCATAATATCACTGTCTAATTTAAGGTTTTGGTGTAGTCTTTCTAGTCTTTTTCTATATGGAATGTAATTTACTTCTCAAAAATATCATTTCATATACTTTGCTTACATATTAGCATTTTTGTCATGAAATTTATGCCAACTGATTAAACAGCCCTTGTAAATTACAGAAACTTAAAGACAATATCAAAACAATGTGACCACAAGACAAAGACCACCTACTACTAAATTATTTTTGGCATGAGATTATTTTTTGAGAAGTTTTATAAACTATTAGGTTTATTGAACACTATAAACTGTAATCCTTGAAAGAATTTTGGAAGCATACGATAACAGGGTAATTTGTAGTAGAATATAGGGTTGGAAAACCTTAAAAAACACTTGCTCATTTCTTCCTATATCAAAGATTTGTATTAGAAAATCTATTTCTTACAAAAAGATGTACTAAGTGGTATTATGTCAGTCAAGCATCTTGTATTATTTTCTAGCTTTCAATAATATGTATAATGTCATAAAAAAGAGGGAAGAATACACAAAATACATATGAAGCTTACTAGGAATGAAGAAAGTTATTTTAGGAAGGAAAAATTGGTTACCATCAAGGAATATGGAAAACACTAGCAATGCATGTAAGAATGACCTCAAAGGTCTTAGACGTCCACGAGCTGGGAATGCTTGTGCTGGGTGCTTCAGTTACAACAGCATGGGGAAGTTAAATAGACTAGTGAAGCTGTTACATCAGTTAATAGTATTTATTATTATTTGTCGTCACCAATGCCAATTAAGACAATAATTAAATAGAACATGATGAAATAATTCAATGGTAGGAAAAAAAAATCTGGCCTACAAGTGAACATGGAAAGTAAAAGTAAATATTTAGAAAGTGAAATCAGGAGCGGAAAAAAGCTCCAGCATCTCACCATGGGGTCTTCCAAAGCCAGCAGTACTGGAGATGTTTATTGTTCAAAGATGGACTTGCTTGGGTTGGGATTCTCCAACTAGAGCCAGAGGGGAGATTCTCTGCTTCCCTTGAGGACACAACAAGAGAGGCTTTCTTATAAAGCCTGCCACATTCTGTGCCTGTATTGTTTTATTTACTGGAGTCTATCATAAGGCCTGTGAGGAAAGGACTGAATCTCTTTCTCATAGCCGTTGGGCTGATGGCCCTGCGTGCTGTAGGCATTTAATAATTCACTGAGTAAATGAATGAACCCTGCAGGAGATTGGGAGCCTTTCTGATCTTGAGGTCTCAGTTTGGACTATCTTTCTGGAGTGGATAGACGAATATGTTTTTCAGCAGCACTCTAATAAGCGCACATTGGGTGACTAAGCAGAAGAGTGATTCGTTTTGCTAGAATTTTCCAACCTGCAGGAGCCAGTCCCCCTGGTGTCCCCATTCCCTGTCCCCTCAGTCATCTCAGCAGGAAATTACTATCCTTTCTCCCACATGGGTGATGAATGTTCAAGGCATTTCAGCACACTGTGGTAAGGCCCAGAATGGGTTCAAGTAAAAGTAAATACCAGTCCTTATTAGGAGATCCTGGCCCCTCTGCTGCATGTGTCCCAGTACACATGCAGCTTCCTGCTCTGTCATAGAAAGCAGCCCTCTAGGGCCACTGCCTCCAGTGAGAGTTTCCTGACCTCCAGGAACTTCTGTAGTCAGGCACCACTCCCTTCCCTCACACCCAACACCCTATTGTTCCAGATTTTATCACTGTGCACTGATGCTCACTGCGACCCCACATGTGGCCACAGGAGGAACTCGGCTGAGGGCTGAGAAGACCAGATAATGACACAGAGGGCTCACTTCAGGAAACCCAGAGAGCTGCAGCGGCTCCTCCAGGGCCATTCCACGCATTCATTTTCTAACAAGTCATAAGTCAAAGAGTGACATCAGGAGCGGACAGCCTGGTGTCCAGGCATGAGCCATGGCAACAGATTCTGATTTCCCAGAACGGCTTTGGTCTTTACCTGGTGTTGGATATGGTAGTGTTAGCTGGAGTGGGAGGAGATTCACATTGTATATTTGTTTAGTGACTCCAAAGATTTTAAATTATATTGTGTTTTTTATTATTTTATTCCATTTTTTTAGAGACAGAGGTCTCACTCTATCTCCCAGGCTGGAGTGCAATGATATGATCATAGGTCAGTGTAGCCTCAAATTCCTGGGCTCAAGTAATCCTCCCATTTCAGCCTCTTGAGTAGCTGGGACTCCAGGTGTGTACCATGACTCCTGGCTAATTTTGGTTTAAGTAGAGATACAGTCTGGCTATGTTGCCCAGGCTGGTCTTGAACTCCTGGCCTGAAGCAATCCTTCTACCTTGGCTTCCAAAAGTGCTTGGATTGTAAGTGTGAACCACTGTGTGGGCCCTGGTTTTTGTTTAATGGCTATTAAATGCTCAGAAGTGAATTAAGGTTGCAGTTAAATGCACAATTTTTATATCAAACTATTTTCTTTGCTAATTCACTTCTATCTGCTTCTACCAGCTGTAAACTACCTGAAGCAGAGAAAGTTTCTTTAGGTTGGGGCTTCCTGTAGCCCCGAGCTGAGTGCCTTATGCAGCATTGGCCGAGTGCATGAATTTGTTGGGTGAACTGCTGCGGGGTTTAGAGTCCGCAGAGGGTAGGACAGGACAGATCGTGATCGAGGCTAACCTTCTCATCTACTCTACCATTTCATGCTCTGTTTGGGCACCTCCATCACCCCTCACTTCCCCTGATGGTCCAGTCTCTCTGGGCCTGCACTGTCCAGCCACCCTCTTATCCCTAAGCCAAGGCCTTTGCCAACTAAAGCTCAGGAGTAAAGTGGCCATCACTGAGGCCATTCTATGTATGTATGTATGTATGTATTTAGAGATGGAGTCTTGCTCTGTCACCCGGGCTGAAGCACAATGGTGCAGTCTTGGCTTACTGCAACCTCTGCCTCCCAGGTTCAAGCAATTCTCCTGCCTCAGCCTCCCAAGTAGCTGGGATTATAGGTGCCCGCCACCATGCCCAGCAAATTTTTGTATTTTTAGTAGAGATGGGGTTTCACCCTTTTGGCCAGGCAGGTCTCAAACTCCTGACCTTGTGATCCCCCCACCTTGGCCTCCCAAAGTGCTGGGATTACAGGCATGAGCCACTGCACCCGGCTGACTGAGGCCATTCTAAGGAATATACAGCAAGCTCTTCACTACCCATTTTTGTTAACTGAGGTATAACTAAATGATACACAGGCCCAGCACAGTGGCACGAACCTATAGTCACAGCAACTTGGGAAGCTGAGGTGGGAGGATTGCTTGAGATCAGGAGTTTGAGTCCAGCCTGGGCAACACACGTGTATAGGTCTATGAGTCTGGAAGAATGTATATAGCCATGGAATCACTACCATGTCAAAACATAGGATATTTCCATTATCCCAAAAAGTTCCCTCCTGCCCCTCTGCAGTCAAACACTTCCCTCCCCCAGCTCCTGGCAACTGCTGATCTGAACTGTAGACCTGAAAATGTCATTCAGAACCCATTTCATCTGGACCCTTCTCTCTGTGTCAACATTGCTGTGAGCGGTGTCTGTGGGATTTTTCTGGACGTTCTCTGCCATGCCCCTGCTCCTTCCTTCCTGCCTTCTGGAAGGCACCCCTGCCAGGAGTCGGCTGCATTAAAGTGGGTGTTTCAGGGGTGTCTTCCTTTACTCTCTTCTCACTGATTTCCAGCTATCCCTGTGTCTCTTGTTTAATGAGTGCCTTCACCCATATCCTTAAACCCACCAGGGCGACCTTCCTGCCCCTTTCTTTGGAGAGCTGTATCTGTATTTCCAGTGGAGACACAGACTGTTCCTTAGATCCTATTAACCCTCTGAGCTCTCTCTCTTCAAGCCAGGCTCATTTCTGGCTTGGCCAATCTGCCTCCTCCCATGTCCTTTCCATGACACGGTGATGGCATCACCAGCCAGTCACCAAGCTAGAACAGTCCCTTCACCCGGCCCCTACTGTAGGAGGATACTTTTAGAGTATGTCTGCAATTCACCCCCCACTCTCTGTATCTACTTCTGTGGCCAAAGTGCGGACCTTGATTTCCTCTGGCCCCAGCTGAATTAACCCACCTCTCTGGGCCTGGTTCTCTTTTCACTAAACATTCTCCACATTGCTGCCAGAGCTATTTTTCTAAAATACACATCAGACCACATTCTTCTCCTCCTTCTTTAAAAACAAAAAATCAAAAAAATAAAAAACCAAGAAACAAACAAAAAACCCACCCTACCGTGGCTCCTCAGTGTGTAGAGATCAGATTCAAGTTCCGTGAGATGGTCTTCAAGATCCTTGGCCATGTGACCCCGTCCTGCTATCCCAATCCCATTCCCATTCCCATCCCCAGCCTCCCCACCTCATCCAACTCCAGCCACATTGGATCACCCCAGGAGAGGATGTCATGTATTAGTACTCTGGTGCCTTTGAGTCAAAACTCACTGTTTTGCCAGTTCAGAGGTTGAGCCCTTTTTGAAGAATCCCCTCTTCTTCCACAGCCCAGGTAAGTTCTACCCCAGGCATAATGAGCTGTTATCCCCCTGGGATCTGAGGGTATTCAGAATACCAACACAATGCTCTCCAGATACCTCTATGCTATTCAAATCCATGCATCTCACACCTGCTCATCTTAAAATCTCTGTGCCTCACATGCAGGAAGAATTCAAATGATGCTGATTGAAAAAACATTGTGTCCAATATTAGATGAAGCATGTAAATATCAAGGCAAGAATCTGCACTTTTTGTCTGTCTATTGCTTGTTTGCACAATAGAGCCACATGGTTTATTATAAAAAATTATTATAATGTATGCTGTTTAAGCTCAGATCACTTTGCACTAATGATGATGATAATGATGGGTTAGAATTTTTTTTCTTTTCTTGCCATGGGATCTGCCAGGTTTTAAGAATTCTTTTTTATTCTAAACCAAATTCAGGAGCACTCCCAAAGACAAGAAATCAAATTTAGGCCACTGATGGTACCAACGGAAGGCTATCACTGTGTAGCTATACCAAATGAAGCCAATCTTCATGGATTTTAAGCACTTTGATAAGCTTTTATATCTCTGCTCATCTCCTTTACCTCCATAGATAACACAAAATAACAGAATAATCAACCAATAGCAACGTAATCCCATCACAACAACATCAAAAATGAGAATTCATATGATTCAGTAATTTCCTAAGCCAGAACTTCCCACCTGATGTGCTGGGGAAGTGAGAGGGTGAGGACTGCTTTCCCCAGCCCTTAGGGTGACTGGGCAGATCCTGTCTGGTGTGAGCATTCAACCCTACTGATTACATCATTTTGGGTGCTATGTGTGACAAAGGTTGACAACCACTGTCCTAAGCCATTCTACCATTTAAATAGACTGAATTCTCCCAAGTTATGTTCTTACTTGCCTTAGGAAGGAAATTAGTATTATGACTCTAAGGATCCTGAACACATGATCTAAAAAAAGAAAAACCCAAAGCACAATGGCAAAGGTAGGTGAGACAGAGTGTTTAGAAAAATAGCGAATACTGTACTATTAATTACTCCCAATTCTCCCTAATCCATGATTTTTAAAGAGCGGGTGGAGCATAACGATTTGAGGCACTGCGACAATGCAGAATGGGGAGGGATTTTGGAAAATGTGACTCACTCACCGTTCCGACCAAAGGGTAAATGAACCCAGCACCTATGCTGGCCCGGACATCACTGATAGGTAAGATGAAGTCCCTTGGCACACCTTTTTTGTCAGGTTGGTGAGACAGAGAAAGATCGGTCTTTGCCATGCAGATGGGCAAATTTCCAAAACCCTGTAAGAAAGGAAAGAAAATGTGTTCACTGATATAGACGTGAGTCTCCTGTGTTTTTCAATTTGCACTTTATACAGTCTCGGCAGCAATGGTATGCCAGCTCAGATCGAGGCACACGCAGGAGCTGCTTGTTACTACTTGTTCACTGAAGAAGCAAGAAGGTGAGGATAAAAACTCATCTCCATGTGATGACTGTTTAGTAGGTCAGGGGTGACTATTGTTTATTTTGGAGGTTCTCGTTAAGAGAAGGCAGTGTTATGTGCATGTTTGGGAAAAGCATTGCTATTTGCAGGCAAAGCAGCAGCTGTAGAAACCGCTTTCCAAGACTATTAATATCCGGGACCCAGCAAGGTAGTCTGGAGAAAGGCTCTGCGACTAGGCTCTTAGTCATGTTGTTCACTCATTCTGGAGTCAGTCAAGAAGCAAAGGGTTCCTTTGTGTTGGTTTATGAATCATGGTTATTTGATCTGCAACTACATTACAAGAGCTAAGATGAGGTCACTATTTAAGCTTCTTGTTTTTAAGGACAAAAGTCTATGTCTGACCCAGAGTTCCAAAGGTGAAAGAGCAGGAAGTCACATGTGGTGTCTCACAAAAAGCACAGTGTCCTATAAGCCTGTTTCTGATTAAATGGCACACAGTGTTCCTTTAGAGGCTTTGCTAATTCATTGCAACCACATACTTGGCACTAACTTTAAAAAAAATAAAAATAGAGATGGAGGTTTTGCTATGTTGCTCAGAGTGGTCTCAACTCCTGGCTTCAACTGATCCTCTGCCTTGCCCCCACAAAGTGCTGGGATTACAGGTGTGAGCACCGTGCCTGGTTGACACGACTTTTAAGGAGTATTTCCTTGATAGAGATAAAGGGAATGAAATCTTTAGTCAAATTTTCATAAGACTTAGCCTAAAACTATTTGGAAGATCTTAGAGTCTTATCAACTTAGGGAGGACTTGGGCTTGGGGCCATTTTCTTTTTGAAATCTCCACTCTTCTATACTGATAAGAATTTTGCTGAGTGAGAATCACAACTGCCTTTCAGAATGGTGCCAGAATTTTGAATTTCAGACATGGTTAAATATTAAAGTAATTTCTATAGGTTTGCTAATGTAAAAATTTTGTTAGTAGGCATATTAAAAAGAAACAGAAACCAACCAGTATGCTATATACTGTCACCAGATTACTTCATAAAAGAAATAACATTTTAACACTGAAAGGAGAAAAGACTTAATATTACAATAAATGATAGTCTTAAATATCATTATTAAAAACTCGGGGAATAAAAAACAAAGCAACCTCATGAGAATGACCTTATTTTACTTGGTTCATTGCACATGAATGAAAACTTCACCACAATGCCTAGGCACAGAGCAGTGCTTGGGAATCCTTTTTGTAAAGGGTAAGCCAAGAACATCAGGGAAAATTCTAAGAATTTAGAACTTTCTGAGTTCCTATTTTACCAAACCTAGGAGAACAAATACCCTGGCTGGCAATGGTAGCATTTAACAAAATTTCAAATGGGTTTACAGAAAAGAATAAGGAGTTGGAGATTGTTTTTAAAGATAAGGTCAACACTACCAATCATGAAGCTCTTTAGCCAACAGGCTCTTAAAATGTTCTGACTTCTATCTATCTGATTACACCAAAGTAGGAGGGACACTGGAGGCACATGATCCTTTTGGTAAAAGGTGGCTGAGCCTCCTATAATGGAGTTGATTCATCATGAATGTCACTGGACTAGGTGATGACACATGCTGTCAGATCGTAGCCACCTTCCCAGCTGTTTGCCTACTTGCCTTTCTCAGTGGCTAGAGGTAGAAGATGATGGAGCCTTCAACCTCAGTGGACCAGCTCAGTAAAAAGCCAATGAACCGTTTGCATAAGAACAGCAAACATTCCCATCTTTATAGGCTGCACTCCTATCTGCCTACCCTGGCACCTTGCTAGCATTTTTAAGGTAGTAAGAGGCCTGTAAGGAAGAGGAAGCATTGCAATTCATGCAAATCTGACTCCGCAGCTCTACTCCAAAGGATAGTTTCAACGTTCTGGGCTGAGTGGGAGGGATGAAAGATCACACATCACCTACAAACAGGGATACCACCCATATCAGACACATTTATAGTCACAGAAGTAAATGATGCATGGATCAGAGGATACATGCCTCACCATAAAGTTCTAAATATAGTTTACACTCTACCCGAGGATATTGCTTTCATCTTTGTTAACCAGAAAATAGATTAAGCAAAGGTTAGCTGGTGAGACATGTACAAATCCTCAAGTCAAGCTGAGTATTCTGAGAGCCTAAGGTGAATTTTTTCTTTTCCCCTAAAAGTACAACTTTTACCTGCTGAGTGTAACGATCTATTTTGACTTGTGCCTCAGGACAGAGTTCGATATCTTTGGCTCCATAGACAGCCTGGGCAATGGTCCTTATCTTGTCCACAATTGGAAGCTGCAGAAACACAAATTATAACAAAATTGTGTAAGTTTAATCTGGTTAAAGATTTTTTAAAAAGTTTAGTGACACTTACTGTAATTGCTTAAAATTCCCTTATCAGGGTACCCCCTCAGCAACTGCAGGATTCCTTGCAAACCCTCTTTTTTCCTTTTAGCACCCTAAAGCACTGAAATTTTCAGTGTCAGAATAGATCAGATGTCAACTAGCAAATAAGCCTTAGGTGTTCAGGCAATTTAGAGGCTGCTTAGAGCCCATGTAGAATCTGCAGAGGGAGGCCGGGCACAGTGGCTCACACCTATAATCCCAGTACTTTGGGAGGCCGAGGCGGGTGGATTACCTGAGGTCAGGAGTTCGAAACCAGCCTGATCAATATGGTGACACCCCGTCTTTACTAAAAATCCAAAAAAACTAGCTGGGCTTGGTGGTGCATGCCTGTAATCCGAGCTACTTGGGAGGCTGAGGCAGGAGAATCACTTGAACTGGGAGGCAGAGACTGTGGTGAGACAAGATTGTGCCACTGCACTCCAGCCTGGGTGGAGTAGGACTCCGTCTCAAAAAAAAAAAAAAATCTGCAGAGGGAAGAGGGAAGTTAGTGCCTTACAGAGGGCTTCTGACTAGGAAGCCCCAGAACTGCGGCCGACCCCTTCCTCTCCCTGCCTCACCCCTGCAGAAAGATCTGCAGAAAAAGCTGGAAGGGGTGGGATGGTGTGTGTGGGGGTGGGGACTGGGGCTATGCAGTTTCCAGACCTGGTCTTTGGCACCCTCTACAGGACAGTTCCATTCCCACACCTGAGCTTTGGACAACTGAATCCTATGCCCCTTCCCACCCAGGGAACCTGGTGCCAGAAATTCCCAGGACTTACCCACCATCCACCACGCCACATAGCAAGTGTCCTCAGTGTCTGCAGACCAGAAACAACTCCCTTGTGTCTCAGCACCGGGCCACCTGCTGAAACCCCAAACTGCCTGCCCCATTGTTTGAGACCCAGTCAGGCCTTGGCTCCAAAAGTCCTCTTGGACTGCCACTGGCCCCCAGGGTCTCTCCTGACTGCACCTCGGTCCCGGAGCTCCCACGCCGCTGGGCCCCGAGCCCCATGCCCCGATCCAGCTGTGGCTCCTTTACGGGGGCCTTGCTGGCCTTTCCTAAGGGAGGTGTTTTCCCGAGGGCAGGTGGACTGCTCCTCAGACTAGGGGCCCTCGGAGGGCCAGGCCTGGGCTTCTACCTCCTCTCGCAGGCTGGTGTTTCTCTGCAAATATGGCTCGTGTGTCCTCCTTCCTCTCAGACTGGGGGCCCCTGAGGACTGGGCCTGAGTTTCCCTCTCCCCCTTCAGAATGGGGGTTCCCTGAGGACTGACCCAGGGCCTCCCCCCGTCCCCTCCATCTGGCTGTTAATCTCCAACACTTTCACCTCCAGTCCTATTCTGCACAGCGCTCCCCAGCGCTGGGAGCTCAGAGGCCTCTTCAGCCTTCCCCAGGGCTGGGGCTCAGGGAGGGCTTCCTCAGGCGCTGGCCCCAGAGTCAGGCTGCACATTGGCTTGGAGGACAGGCCTTTCCTCTGGGACTGTGAGGCCCAGAGTGCCCACCCAGAACTCCACCTCTGACCTCACAAAGGCCTGCTTCAGAACTCGGTCTCCACTGCACTGCTGGCCAGACGAGGGATGTTATTTTGGGCAGTGCATCTGGACTTGGTTCAAGTGGCACCAGCCAAATCCCTGCCTTACTGACCTCTCCCCTGGAGGAGCAGGAGCAGCGCTCAAGGCCGCCCTGGGAGGGCTGAGAGGCAGGCTCTGGACTGGGGACACAGGGATAGCTGAGCCCCAGCTGGGGGTGGAAGCTGAGCCAGGGACAGTCACAGAGGGACAAGATCAAGATGCGCTTTAACTGAGAAGCCCCCAAGGCAGAGGCTGAGAATCAGAAGACATTTCAGCAGAGTGAGTGGGGCTCCAGGCAGGGTGGGGATGGGGCAGCCTCCTCAGTGCCCAGATCTGGAAGGGCCATTCCCTGGGTACCATACAGCGAGGAGGTGACTGAGGGATTGTTTGGGGAAGGAGCCCCGGCTGGGAGTGGAAGTCCCGGCTTTCTTGTTATGGTGCAGTCCTGTGTTGCTGTGTGACACAGGCACATACACCTTCTCTCTGGGCCTCAGTTTCCTTACCTGTAAGTTGGTTGTTGGGAGGACCAGCGGTAGAGCAGAGATGGCAGGGATGCACTGGGCTGGGCTGTCAGCAGACCATGGGGGTGGGACGAGGAGAGAGCTGAAGACCACCGGCAGTGGACCACAGGGGGAGGCATGCAGGCCAGAGACGGGTCAGCTGCCGGCTTGCTGGAGTCATTCCTCCCACGCAGTCCCCTCCTGAGGGGCTGGAGCTGGGGCTGGAGGGTTTCAGCAGTCAGGGCTGGAGATAAGAGTCTGTGCTGGAGCTAGAGGGAACTGGGCTAGAGAATCAGGAGGACAGACAGGGTGAGGGGACTTCGGGCTACCTTCATGCTGTCAGTTAGAGATAAAGATAGGAGTACAAAGGGGAATTTTTGGGTGAGGTACACGGGTGAAATGAGTTTTCAGGGCCTCATCCTGTGTGTTCACCTTCTGTGTGTGTGTGTGTGTGTGTGTGTGTGTGTGTGTGCATGCGTGCATGTATGTGTGTGTGCAGGTCCTGGACAGTCACAGCTTAAGTTAGCAGCAAGAGAACTTGAGGTTAAAGGTATAGCACGCAAATATGAGGCTGGAGCCACTGAGTAGAGGCTGAGGGCATCTCCACAGTCCAAAGCTGGGCTGCAGACAGGGAAGGTCAGCAGGAGCACTGGAGGGTCTGGCCTGGGGTTGGGGTCCTGGGGCCAGCATGGGTGGGGTGGGGCTCCAGGGCGTCGCCTCATTGGCTGAGCACCGCTCCTCCCTCCCTGTTCCTTGGCTGGGTTAAGGGAGTGGCACTAGCAGGAGCTGCCCCAGGGCTTCTCCCCTGGGGACAAAGATCTGATGGAAGTGTGGGGCCAAGTTCTGTGTCCTCCAGCCCTAGTGACCTCTCTTTGGCTCCTCAGCATCTACAAATCTGAAGGACAAAACATGGTTCAAGCATCTGGGCACAGGCGGTAAGTACCCCACCCTCTTCTCACCCTCCAGCCCCCTGTCCTCCACCCAGCCCACTTCAGTGCCCTCCCTGCTCCATCCTCAGCCTCTCCCTTGGGGCAGCTGTCCCCCCTCGACCTCCTCCTCCCCACCCACCCACTCGCCTCTGAGGTCCCAGAAGAAAAGCATCTTCCACCTGTTGCCTGGGCTGGGTCCTGGGGTGAGGGGAGGCTCAGAAATACTTGGATGAGGGTCAAGGCATGCAGGTGGCCTTCAACTCAACTGCACTCAGCACCTCTCACCCTCTCAGGCTCAGCTGTCTTTGGGGTGAAAAAGAGCCAGTCCTTGCAATGGCCAAGGCCCTGCCTATGTAGTCCTTGTTAGCTTTCTGGCCTCCCCACTCCAGCCCCCTGCTCTCCCTCCTCCAGCCACACTGAGTTTCTTTTCTGGTTTTTTTTTTCTTTTCTTTTCTTTTTTTTTGAGATGGAATCCAGTTCTGTTGCCCAGGCTGGAGTGCAATGGCAAGATCTTGGTTCACTGCAACCTCCTTCTCCCGGGTTCAAGCGATTCTCTTGCTTCAGCCTCCTGAGTAGCTGGGATTACAGGATTACAGGCACACACTACCATGCCCAGCTAATTAGTTGTTTGTTTGTTTGTTTGTTTTTTTTGTATTTTTAGTAGAAATGGGGTTTCGCCATGTTCGCCAGGCTGTTCTTGAGCTCCTGACCTCAGGTGATCCACCCACCTCGGCCTCCCAAAAGGTTGGGATTACAGGTGTGAGCCACTGCACCTGGCCTCACACTGACTTTCTTTGCTTTCTTCAAACATGCTGAGAGTCCTCTGGTGACTATTCCCTCCATCTGAGAGGCTTTCTGCAGTTAACATACAGCCCACTCTCATCTCCTTCATGGCTTTGCTCCAAGGCCACCTTCTCAACAAGGATTACTCTGACTGCCCTATTTGAAATCACACCCCATCTCCAGCCCCTGCACTCCCAATTCCCCTCTCCTTGCTCTGTTTTTTCCCATAGGAGCTGGTACCTTCGCTTATACAAATGTACTTACTTATTACATTTCATTGCTGTCAGCTCCACGCAAGCAGGGATATTTGCCTGTTGTACACTTGGACGGAGAGAATGAATAGTGCCCCTCTGTTGACATCATTGCCTCTAGCCTACGTCTCTTTCCAGGGCTTTAGATCCTGTTTCTAGAGACCCACTGGTGTCTCACAGGCAACTCAGCTCCTAGATGGAAACAGCCTCCTCCGCCCCCCACAAGTCCACTCCTCCTGTGCTCTTGGCTCAGTCAGGGGTCCCCTTCTCTTCAGTTGCTCAAGCCAGAAGTCAAGGTCATGTCCTTGATACTTCCCTCTTCCCCATGCCTCACATCCAGTCACCAATCTCCTAAAATATCTAGAATGTGCACAGCTTCCACCATTCTTTCTACCACCACCCTACTCCTCCATGGCCATGTCAGGCCACCACCCGCCCATTCTTCAAAACTCCCTTCAGGCCTCACCTCCCATGCCTCCCCTGAGTTCCCCCAGTCCCAGGCTGCTTCTCTCTGGTGGTGTTGCCATTACCCATCTCTTCTATTAAACAGAGTGACCCAAGAGTGGAGAGTGGGTTTTGACTTTGTATCCCTGGTGCTTGACTCATAAGTAGGTGCTCAACAAAAATTTTTTCTTTTTTTGAGATGGAGTCTTGTTCTGTTGCCCATGCTGGAGTGCAGTGGCATGATCTCGGCTCACTGCAACTTCTGCTTCTTGGGCTCAAGCGATTCTCACATCTCAGCCCCCACCCCAGCTGGGATTACAGGTGCCTGCCACCACGCCCAGCTAATTTTTTTTTTATTTTTAGTGGAAATGGGGTTCTGCCATGTTGGCCAGGCTGGTCTTGAACTTCTGACCTCAAGTGATCCACCTGCCTCGGCCTCCTGAAGTGTTGGGATTACAGGCATGAGTCACCATGCCTGGCCAACAAATGTTTGTTGAATGAAGAAATGTTGGTTAGCAGGTTGAATTGTTGGCTCGTGGTTAGTTGGATAGTTTATGGTTGACTGGTTGATTAGATAATTCAATGAGTTAATAGCTGGTTAACAGGAGAATCAGTTAGTTGGTTTTTGATAGGTTAGTCAAAGGGTTAATAAGCCACCGGGCATGTTGGCTCATGCCTGAAATCCCTGCACCTTGGGAGGCTGAGGCTGGAGGATTGCTTGAGTCCAGGAGTTTGGGACCAGCTTGGGTAACATGGCAAAACCCCATCTCTACAAAAAATAGGAAAAAATAGCCGGTCATGGTGGCATGCTCCTGTAGTCCCAACTACTTGGGAGGCTGAGGTGGGAGGATCACTTGAACCCTGGGAAGTCTAGGCTTCAGTGAGCTGTGACTGTGCCACTGCACTTCAGCCTGGGCGACAGAGTGAGACCCTGTCTCAAAAAAAAAAAAAGAAAAAGAAAAAGAAAAGAAACAGGCGTTAGTGAGTTGTTAGCTATTTAGTTCCTTGGTTAACAGATTACTTAGGGGATCTAGTTGGCTGTCAGTTTCTTGCTTTGTAGGCTGGCTTTCTTGGGCCCCTCTTCTTAGTCTGTACCCTCTCCTTGAGCTCTCTCATCTATGCCCATGGCTCAGATGACCATCTGTGATTTGCTGTCCTCCAAATGTGTCTGTAAGTGAGACCACATGACCAGCTGCCTCCTCACTGGCCATCCCACCCAAGTGTCTAGCAGGCTCCTCACACTCAACATGTCCAGAAAGGGCCTCCTTGTCCATTCTTCCACAGCTTCTCTGCTGTGCCCCACGCTAGTCATTCCGCTGCCCTAGCCAGGACCTGAGGGCATCGCTGAGCTGCCCCGCTCCCTTCCCTCTCTAACCGAACACCAAGCCTGTCAGCTTGACTGTGTTCTTGTGGCCATTGGCACTGCCATCCTTGTGGCTCAGACTGCCACCACTTCTCCACCCATCTGTGGAGAAGCTGATGCTCACCCTGCCTCCACTCCACTTCCTCCATCCTGGCCTCCACAGGGGAGGCAGCTCTCCTGCTGAAACCCTCCACTTGGCCCATGGCCCTCTGGTAGAGTTCAGACTCCCTAATGTGGGCCATGAGGCCTTCTGCCACCTGGCCCTGGCCCCTCTCTGCCCATCTCATGCCACCTCCACTCCTCCGTGGCCAGCCCATTCCTGCACATTGGATACTGCCTTAGCTGCAGGCCTTTGCACATGCCGGTCCTACGCCCAGAGTGATCCCTGCCTCCCTGGAGGCTCCTTTACCCTCCAGCCTTCTTTTCTTGACCTGAATTTCCCTTTCTCTGGGAGCCTCCTACCCCCTCCTCTAGGCCATTCACTTCCTCCACATGCCCCACAGTGCCCACTCTTTCAGCTGGGGCAATGCTCATCACACTGCATAGTAATTGCTCAATTGATTGCTTTTCTTCCCACAGGCTGGATTGTACCAGTGTCCTTTACTGCAGTGACTGAACATTCTAGGCACAGTAGATTCAAGAAATCTTGAGTTCATTGGCTGGTTGGTGGTTATCTGTTGCTTACTGTGTCTTGCCTGCTGTGTGGTGATGAGGAAGGAGCCAGGCTTCCAGGATTCTCTTGGTGTTCTTGTCTTTCCGCTCTGTCCACTTCTCTCTCCTCTTCTGTGGTTACCTCCAGCATGGGAGGTGGGGTTGGATGGGAGCCAGTGGAGGGTCACCTCGCCCTGCTAGGGAGAGCAGCAGCATTCCTCAGGGCTCCTAAATTCCCCTGACCTCACAGCAGCAAAAAGTAAGCAGAGGGAATGAGAGACGTCCAGGCATGGAATAAAACATCTTCCACTTTTCAGCTGAGACCCTCTGTTCATGGCTCACCCATCCCAGTCCTTGCTCTATTCCTTACTCCAGAGAAACAAAACCAGGGATGAGTAGATGGAGGGGGATGCAGAGTTGCGCGGATATTCCACTGGCCCCCATCCAACTCCAGCTCCCATGCAGCATCGTATAGGGGTCTCATTATCCCATGACCAGCCTCCTCAGCCCTGAAGAAGAGACCCTATCAATGCAAGCAGCAGCCCAAAGACAGTCCTGGGAAGGTACCATAGAGGCAGGGGAGAGGTAGACAGAGCAGGGAGCCAAGAACACCAAGGGAATCCTGGAAGCCTGGCTCCTTTCTCATCAGCACAGAGCAGGCAACAACCAGCCAAGGAACCAAAGATTTATTGAATCTACTATGCCTACTATGTTCAGGCACTGCAGTGAAGCAAACTGGTATGATCCCAGCCCTTAGGAAGAAAAACCGTTAATTAATTAAGCTTTTTTTTTTTTTCTTTTTTGAGACAGGGTGTCGCTCTGTCACCCACGCTGGAGTGCAGTGGTGTGATCTCAGCTCACTGCAACCTCTGCCTTCTGGGCTCAGGCAATCCTCTCACATCAGCCTCCCCATTAGCTGGGACCACAGGCGTACACCACAACACCTGACTAATTTTTGTATTTTTTTTTTTTTGTAGAGATGAGGTTTTGTCATACTGCCCAGGCTGGTCTTGAACTCCTGGGCTCAAGCGATCAGCTCGCCTCAGCAAGTGCTGGGATTACAGGCGTGAGACACTGTGCCTGGCCTAACTGAGCAATTACTATGCAGTGTGATGAGCATTGCCCCAGCTGAAAGAGTGGGCACCGTGGGGCATGTGGAAGAAGTGAATGGCCTAGAGGAGAGGGTAGGAGGCTCTCCCAGAGAAAGGGAAATTTAGGTCAAGAAAAGAAGGCTGGCGGGTAAAGGAGCCTCTGGGGAGGCAGGGGACCATTCTCGGTGTAGGACTGGCATGTGCAAAGGCCTGCAGCTAAGGCAGTACGTGATATGCAAGGATGGGCTGGCCAGAGGAGTTGAGGGGCTGGTGTCAGCTTCCGGGCATGCAGACAGTGAGATAGCAGAGTGACTAAGGCCACACTTAGAGGTATCTGTATCCCTCTTCTTCCTCTTTTTTTTTTTTTTTTTTTTTTTTGAGATGGAGTCTCGCACTTGTTGCCCAGGCTGGAGTGCAGTGGCAAGATCTCGGCTCACCACAACCTCCATCTCCCATGTTCAAGTGATTCTCCTGCCTCAGCCTCCGAAGTAGCTGGGATTACAGGCATGCGCCACCATGCCTGGCTAATTTTGTATTTTTTAGTAGAGATAGGGTTTCTCTATGTTGGTCAGGCTGGTCTCGAACTCCTGACCTCAGGTGATCTGCCCACCTTGGCCTCCCAAAGTGCTGGGATTATAGGTGTGAGCTACCGGGCCCAGCCCCTCTTCTTCCTCTTTATCCTCCAGTCCCACCCCGCCACCTTCCCCAAACTCCAGTCCTATACCTCTCCCTATACGCAGATTTGGAACCTGTTACTCACCTGTTTCATCTACCTTTCCATCTAACCGTGCACTTAACTAAATACAAATCAAGTGCCAGGCCCTTTGGCAAGCTCTGAGGATCTAGTTGGGAGTAAGACAGATTCCCCAGTTTTCACCCATTCAACAAATACTTATTGCACATCTACTATGTGCCTGGCATGGTGCTGGGCACTGAAGATACACCAGGAAGTAGATCCAGTCCTTCCTTTTCTCCCTCCCGCTCTCTTGGTCATTCATTCATTCATTCACTCACTCTCTCACAAACCTCTGTTTGTACTGACCTGGTTGCACAGCCTGGTGCATTTTGCTGACCCCTTCATTTTTGACAGAACCTGGCACATGTTTCAGTGCTCAGTGCTGTTTACAGAGCTCGGCAGCAGACTTTGTCACACTTCATGCTGTTTGTAGAGTGCCTCACTGTTGCCAGGCCCTGGCCTGTGACCCCAAAGTTCTGGCTCTAGCAGATAGGCAGACAGACAGATGGACAGACATAGACTACTGAGCTCTACTTTCCAGCCTGCTCTCTCCCACCCTACTTTTTCCCAGAGGCTTGTTGGCACCGTGGATTGCACTTTCAGCTCCCCACCTGTCCGTCTGCAAAGTGGCCTCATTGGTGTGCCATTTTTACTGGTCCAGTCCCAACTACAAGGGGCATGGCTTGGCCATCTACCCCAGTTCCTCTCCATGTCCCCATGGCTCTCAAGTGTCTCCAATTCCAGCTGTCCCAGCTGCCCCGGGCAAGAGGAGGTGTGTGTGGCAAGTCTGCTGGGTTACCTATTAACTCAGCTGTGAGTTGAAGAGCCGATGGGCAGCAGGCAGACTTGAGTCTCCTTTCTGTCCATGAGCTCGGGCCACTGTATCAGGTCCACCCGTGGCTCCAAAATGGTCTCCTGGTCCGTGATAGCAAAGATCCAGGAAATATGATGCGAGGAAGATGAGAGGAAGATGGCGCGAGAGTTCCTGGCCGAGTTCATGAGCACATATGTCATGATGGTGAGTGGGCGGGCAGCACGAAGTGGGTGGGCTCTGCCAGGGCCTTCCATGACCCCCTCCCCATTCTGACCCCATGGGTCACATTGTCCATTCCTTGCCTCTGAGCTGGGAGCCTGGGGAAGCAGCGAGGAAAGTAAGGGGGGGGGGGCTTTCTCATCAAGTCTTTTTGGACAGAAAGGGCTCATAATATGTGGGGGTCAAATGAAACCATGCACTGGGGTATCCGGGGCAAGGCTGGAAATGGGGAGAAGGGAAACCCAGAGTAAAGAGATTGAAGAGGCCCAGGTGCAGTGGCTCATGCCTGTAATTCCAGCACTTTGGGAGGCTTAGGCAAGTGGATCACCTGAGGTCAGGAGTTCGAAACCAGCCTGGCCAACATGGTGAAACCCCGTCTCTACTAAAAATACAAAAATTAGCTGGGCATGGTGGCGGACACCTGTAACCTCAGTTATTCAGGAGGCTGAGGCAGGAGAATCGCTTGAGCCCAGGAGGTGGAGGTTGCAGTGAGCTGAGATCACACCATTGCACTCCAGCCTGGGTGACAGGAGCAAAACTCTGTCTCAAAAAAAAAAAAAAAAAAGAAAAAAGAGAGAGAGATTGAAGAGAAACTTGATGATCAGGCTCTGATAATGAATCCAGAGGGCAATGGGCGATGTTGAAGGCTGGCAAGCAGGGGAGTGACATGATCAGATTTGGATTTTAAAGGTAATTTTGGGTGCAGTGTGGAGCATAAGCAGGACAGGCAAGGCTGGCAAGAAGGAACCAGTTAAGAGGCTGTTTTTGATCTGGGACAGAGAGAGGGTGATGACTGATCTGGGGTTGGAGAAGAAAGCACATGTTTGAGAGGGCTGTGGAAGATGGAATCGGGGAGACTCTGCCAGAAGAACATGTGGGCAAAGCGCCGATGAGCTGTTCTGGAGCACGGGGCCCAGCACAGGGTGAGAGGCAAGATGCCTGTAGGGAAATCCAGGAGATAGTTAAACACAGGCAAGGGGCTGGAGCTCAGGAGAGGCTTGGTCTGGAAGGAAAAAGTTGAAGTTCATCACAACACAGGTGGTGGTTGTCAACACTGTCTAGAAGGAGTGTACAGAAAGAGAAAAGGATGGTTTGAGGACAGAGCCCTGAGGAATGAAGAGGGGCACGCAAAGGAGCCTGAGAAGGAATGGTCAGAGAGGTGGGAGGAGAACCAGAGCCGACTGCATGACAGAGGGGGGCAGTGGTTCCACCAGGAAGAAGCCATCAGCGGCATGGGCAGCGGCAGATGGGCCACGCAAGGTGAGCACTGGCAAGGGGCCTTAGGGTTTGCCAATGTGGAGGTTGCTGGTAACCTTGACAAGGGCTCTTCTTTAGTGTGTGATTGGGACAGAATCCAGACTGCAGGTGGGATGTGAGGTTGCTCCCTCTCCACCTGCTTCAGCCCTGCCACTTACCCCAGTGAGCCTCTGCCCTTAACATGACTGTAGCCATGTTTATTGCATCTTATGCAGGGTCCAGGGTCTAGAGAAAGAAGGGGCAGCCTCTGGGAAGGGAGGCAAAGGCAGCCAGGTGCATGCTAGAGGAAGGTGGGGTGACAGAGGCTGTTCGTGTGTGTGGTGGGGCCCATGGAGCTCAAGGGAGAGAGGAAATTGGAACACCAGGTTTCTTAGCCTGACCCTGCCACTGAGTGACCAGTTGCCTTGGGCAGGTCTCTCCCTGGCTTAAAGCCTGACTTCTCACTTATATCGTGTAGAATTAGGCCTTCGTGGGCTTTGGAGCTGTGTTTGAATCCTAGCTCTGTTATCTTCTAGCTGTGCGACTATCCACAAGTATCTTAACTGTTCACAAATTTAGCTTTCTTGTTTTTGAGACAGGGTCTCACTCTGTCTCCTAGGATGGAGTGCAGTGGTACGATCTCAGCTCACTGCAGCCCCCACCTCCCATACTCAAGTGACTCTCTTGCCTCAGCCTCTTGAGTAGCTGGGACTACAGGCATGTGCCACTGTGCTCAGCTAATTTTTCTATTTTTAGTAGAGATGGGGTTTCACCATGTTGGCCAGACTGGTCTCGAACTCCCGAATTCAGGTGACCTTCCTGCCTCGGCCTCCCAAAGTGCTGGGATTGCTGGCGTGAGTCACCTCTCCCGGCCCACAACTTTAGCTTCCTTATTGGTTAACAGGAGGACTTGTGTGAAGAAGGCCAAGTCTCAGCACCCAGTGTGGTACCCATGTATTGGTCCCTTGTTATTAGGACGGGTGCTCTAGCTGCTGTCTCCTCTCTGTCTCTGGCCCTCCCCTACTCCTCTCTTACCTCTCCACCTGCTTTGGCTCCTGAGCTGTGAGGACAGCAGTTGGATCCTGTCCCTCCTTAATCCAGGGCAAAGTAATTCACTTACCACAAGACATTCCAGCCCCATGAGGGCTGTTAACCCTTGGAGCCTCGGAGGCAGGAGGGTGCATCCTCTGAGAGCTGTTAGGGAAATAGGCACCGCCCACATGCTTGATACCTGCCCACATCTGTGTTCCTCTTCCTTTTGTTGAGATTTTCATTGAGCACCTAATGCATCCCGGGCTCTGTGATGCTAAGCCCCTTACGTGCAGCATCTTCCCAAATCCTCGCAATAGCCCTGTGAAGTAGGTACTATTATTATCCCAGTTTCACAGATGGGAAAACTGAGGCTCCTTGAGACTAAGCCTTTTGCCCAAGGTCACACTTTAAGTCAAGATTAAATCCAGTGCAGTCTAATATCACAGTCTTTTTTGTTTTTGTTTTTGTTTTTTTGAGATACAGTCTTGCTTTGTCACAGTGGTGCAATCTCGGCTCACTGCAACCTCTACCTCCTGGGTTCAAGCGATTCTTGCATCTCAGCCTCTGGAGTAGCTGGAATTACAGGTGCATGCCACCATGCCCAGCCAATTTTTGTATTTTTAGGAAAGACAAGGTTTCACCAAGTTGTCAAGGCTGGTCTTGAACTCCTGACTTCAAGTGATCCTCCCACCTCGGCCTCCCAAAGTGCTGGGATTACAGGCATGAGTCACCGTGCCCAGCCCAATATCACAGTCTTGACCCTTAACCTCTATGCTCTGTACCTTAGCTTAAATATTGCCAGCTTTTAAAGACTGGCTTGTTAATGCTCCCCCAGCCAGGGTAAAGTCCTCACTTTCAGGTAGTTCAAGATGCCTCTCTCGGCCTCAGTTTCCCCATTTATAGAGTGGGAGAAAAATTCTTGCTGTGCAGATTTGTTGTGAGGATTGAAGACAGTAGCACTTGTAAAAGAACTTTGTGAGGCGTAAGCCTATATCGGATATTGTGGTGTTGTTATTTTTAGTTGCCAGGCTGTGCCAAGAAGTGAGGGCTTTTTTTTTTTTTTTGTAAATATATATATAGGAATCTCAGTGAGTCACCAGGGTGAAGTTTTGCCAAAAAAGCTAGTGTGACCTTGGCCCCATTTATTGCAGCCAGGACAAGGGAAGTGGACTGATCCGTGTTGCAGCTTCCAGGTGTGTTGCCCTTGGAGCTGGCCTCCTGGCTGTGGGGGAGAGTTGGATGGGCTGGGCCACATTCACTGATCAGGGAGAGGAGGGGCTGGAGCCATCCGGGCCCTGGAAAACCAGCCATACACATGAGACACGGGGCAAGGGTTGTAGATCACATGCTACGGGGGCCAAGAGAGCGGCAACTCAGGGCGGTGGGGACTTTGGCTGGCTGCAGAGTGCCAATCTGTGCAAGGCTGTAGAGCTGCTGCCACTCCAGCTGACTGTTGCCATGGAGGGTGGAATGCAGGCCAGTGTTGCTTGAGCTGCTCATTTTTCAAGAGAGACGAAAACTTCTGTTCTTCAAAACCAAGTTATCTAAACAAAATCTGTGCGCTGGATGAATTAGGTGCATGAGTTGCCAGTTGGCAACCCTGACACAAGGAATCATGTGGGGTTCATTCACTCACCCAGTATTTTATTTTATTTATTTTATTTTTTTGAGACAGAGTCTCACCCTGTTGCCCAGGCTGGAGTGCAGTGGTGTGATCTCAGCTCACTGCTCTGCCTCCCGGGTTCAAGTGATTCTCCTGCCTCAGCCTGCCGAGTAGCTGGGATTACAGGCATGTGCCACCACACCTGGCTAATTTTTTGTATCTTTAGTAGAGACGGGGTTTCACCATGTTGGCTAAGCAGGTCTCAAACTCCTGACCTCATGATCGGCCTGCCTCGGTCTCCCAAAGTGCTGGGATTACAGGCGTGAGCCACCACACCCGGCCTATGCTCATCCAGTATTTTTAGCACATGGTATTGGAATGCGGGAAAGGCCATGGGGGCCCCTCTGTTTTCAGACCCTCCATGCCTCCTCCAGTCCCTCTACCTCTTGACCCTGCCAGCCTGTCAACCTGTCCTGACCTCACTCCCCCCTGCACCCCCATCTGTTCCTGTCCTCTCCTGCTGTATCTTATCCTGGATCTGAAGCCAGCCTAGCTCTGGGCTCCCCTGCTCCTGTCCTGGGGCTTCTGAGGGACCCAGTGGGCCCTGCTCAGCTGCCTCTCCCCCACCATATCTGGGCTATTTCACATTTTCTCAGACTTCCCCAAAGCTGCTCTGTACTCTTTTTTTTTTTTAAATCAGCAAATGGCTTGATCTGCTGCTTGATAGGTAAAATAATCAACACTTCCTATGTTCAGCTCACCCTCTTGTCCCTCTTACCACCAGACCCATTAACCACCCGTGTATCCACATATCACCCCTTGGCTGGGGTGGGGTCCTCTCCTTCCTGGAGGACACCTCCACTTCTGCACCAATCCAGCTGTCCAGCCTATTCAGGTACTTTACTCTGTCCTTTTTCTCTGTCCTTTATCTTCAGCCCATCCCTCTCTCAGCCTATAAACATACTGAAGTTTCTCCACTGAAAACAACACAAAATGAAACATCCCTCCCTTCACCCTGTCAGCCCCTTCACGGGATCATGTTCTCTCTTCCCCGCTCCTCAGGCGAATTCTCAAAGAGGAGTCTACACTGGTGCCTTTCAACTCTTTTTTTTTTCTTTTTTTGAGATGGAGTCTTGCTCTGTCGCCCAGGCTGGAGTGCAGTGGTGTGATCTCAGATCACTGCAAGCTCCACCTCCTGGGTTCAAGCAATTCTCCTGTCTCAGCCTCCTGAGTAGCCGGGATTACAGGCAAGCACCACCACGCCTGGCTAATTTTTGTATTATTAGTAGAGACGGGGTTTTGTCATGCTGGTCTTGAACTCCTGACCTAAAGTGATCCATCCACCTCGGCCTTCCAAAGTGCTGGGATTACAGGCATGAGCCACCGCACCTGGCCTGGTCTGCCTTCTTACCTTGTACCCTCTCCTGGGGCCTTCTCCTCTGTCGGCTTTGACTTTGGCCCTTATGTCTACAATTCTTCAGGTTTTCTCCTTTATCAACTCTAGAACAGAGTTCTCCAGGGGAAATACAATACAAGCCATCTGTATAATTTAATTTTTTCTAGTATCCACATTAAAAAGGTAAAAAGCAACAGGTGAAATTAATTTTAATAATTAACCCATATAGCCAAAATCCTATTTCAAGATGCAATCAATGTAAAATTATTAGGATATTCTGGCCAGGCATGGTGGCTCACACCTGTAATCCCAGCACTCTGGGAGGCTGAGGTGAGAGGATTGCTTAAGGCCAGGAGCTCGAGACCAGCCCGGGCAACATAGTGAAACCTCATCTCTACACAAAATAAATTGAAAAACTTAGCTGGGATAGGGCTCAATGGCTCATGCCTGTAATCCCAGCACTTTGGGAGGCCAAGGCAGGCTGATCATCTGAGGTCAGGTGTTTGAGACCAGTCTGGCCAACATCGTGAAACCCTGTCTCTACTAAAAATACAAAAAAATAGTTGGGCATGGTGGCATGCACCTATAATCTCAACTACTCGGGAGGCTAAGGCAGGAGAATCACTTGAACCCGGGAGTTGGAGGTTGCAGTGAGCCGAGATTGCGCCATTGCACTCCGGCTTGGGCGACAGAGCAAGACTGTCTCAAAAAAAAAAAAAAAAAAATTGGCTGCGTGTCGAGGCACATGCCCATAGTCCCAACTACTTGAGAGGCTGAGGTGGGAGTATCACTTGAGCCCAGGAGATGGAGGCTGCAATGAGCCCTGATCATGGCACTGCACTCCAGCCTGGGTGATAGAGCAAAACCCTATCTCAAGCATCAAACAAACAAACAAATAAAACAGAGGCACAAGAAAGCAAGGCATGCATGGAGCAGCGCAGTTGTTTGGTTTGAGGCCATCTGGCACAGGTAACTGCCTGGATTTAATCCTGGCTCACCATGTACAGGCTGTGTGACCTTGGACAAGCCATTCAAGTTCTCTAAGCTTCAGATTACCCATCTGTCAAGTGGGGGAGAATAATAGTGCTTAACTATCATTTGCAACATCTGAGTTTCTGGCTCGGCCAACGGGGATGGGGAACATAGAGTGAGGAGCAGGTGTGCTGTGAGATGGCGAACCTTCAACAGAGCCTGAGACGTCCGTGGAACACCAGGAGAGTTGCAGTGGGGATTTGCAAATAGGCATCTGGCTCCCCCACGGAGATGACGGGAATTTCAGCGCATCAGGCATAGCTGAGACTGTCTACGTGGTAAAACCATGCCTGAAAAGACCTTTGGAAAATCAGGAGGTTGCTGGAGCCCTTGGAGAGAGCTTTGGTGTCTGTGACATGTGGAAATGGAAGCCAGATTGAGGAGGGGGTGCGAGGGAAGGGGTGAAGCAGCTGGCCAGTGTGTTCTCTCCTGCAGCCTGACTGAAACAGGGAGGGGGCAACCAGGAACCCACAGCTGGAGAAGGACACTGGGCAGGGGTGGGACAGTTTGCTGGGAAGGATGAGACTCCAGTGTGTGGGAACCGATCAATGGGAGGATGGAAGGTATGGGGGAGACGGAGGCCTCTGCAGAGGGAGAGGATAGCACAGGAGCCAGGGCTGAAGGGAACAGTGGCTCTAGACTGAGGGTAATGGGCCTGAAGGTAGGCCCCTTCCCCTGTGAAGGCAGCATTATCTGAGGAGCCGTGAGGGATGGGCAAGAAGCAGCAGCTTGGGAATGCCGCCTGAGGTCAGTGGAAATGAAGCTGAGGGCAAGACAGTTAGGGCCCCACTGTTCCAGCATTGTGGGAATTGCGGTGGAGTGTGTGTGTGTAGGGAGGGGTTCCTGGCAGAGTCAGGCATGGATGGATTTGGAGGTCCCTTGAAGAAACTTCCTTCAGGTCAGCCTGAAGTGTGAGGGACTCTGAGGGGGTGCAATGCATGCCAGCCATCCCCTCCTCGCAGCCCTGCCTCACCCCAAAACTTCAGGTGGGCCTGGGGCTGAGGTGCTTGGATGTTTGTAGTAAGAGCTTCTAACTCTGCCGCTCCACCCGGCTCTCAGTGGCTCAGGTCTGAGAGGCCTCAGCAGGGGCAAGGAGAGGAGGCAGTGAGGAGGGAAGGCTCTGGAGGAAGAGGGCATGGCAGAGGGTCTTCGAGGCAACGCCAGGGAGGCCCAGGGCATGGGGGTGAGGAGCTAGAACTGAGCTCTGAGCCCTCCTCTGAGGTTGGGGTTTCTGGGCAGGCAGCCCCCTTAGAGGCCCTCCCTTGTAGGTATTCGGCCTTGGTTCCGTGGCCCATATGCTTCTAAATAAAACATTTGGGAGCTACCTTGGTGTCAACTTGGGTTTTGGCTTCGGAGTCACCATGGGAGTGCACATGGCAGGCCGCACCTCTGGTGAGTGAGCCCAGGCCCTGCCGGACCGGGCAAGACCAGGTGTCCCCAACAGGCTCTTTCCTGCCCGCCTCAGCCAGCTCCTTTGCCAGCACAGCCAGTGCCTCAGCCTGGCCACCGGGCGGGAGGAAGTCTCCTCTGAACCCCGTGCCTATGACGTGTCTGCCCCAGATTCTTCCTGGCCCCCCCGACCTACCATTTTCACTGGCTGGGTGATCTTAGGCAAGCCATCGCCTCTGTGTTCCTCAGTTTCCTTAAGAGTGAAAGGAAGACGGTGGCCCCTGCCTCACGGGGTGGTTGTGAGGGCTCAAGGAGAGAACTCTGTCACGGAGCATGCTGTCATACACACTAGCCATCGTTGTTCTCATACTGTTTGTCACTGTTGTTTGTTCTGCTCTCACTCCCTGACACACTTGCCTGCTGCCCGCAGGAGCCCACATGAACGCAGCTGTGAGCCTCACTAACTGTGCACTGGGCCGTGTGCCCTGGAGGAAGTTTCCAGTCTATGTGCTGGGGCAGTTCCTGGGCTCCTTCCTGGCAGCTGCCACCATCTACAGTCTCTTCTACAGTGAGCGTCCTGCCCGGGTGTCCGCCTCTGGCCTCAGCTGCCTCCTATGAAATATGGGCAGATTGGACCTCAGTGTCCTGATTTGTAAAAAATAGCTGGGAGAAAAAAGCCTTGGAGGTCTCCCACCCTCTAACCTATAACCTAATTTCCGGGACCCTGGTGGGGCTTAGTTGGGGACAGGTTCGCATGATAGTCTGTGTCTCCACAGCGGCCATTCTCCACTTTTCGGGTGGAGAGCTGATGGTGACCGGTCCCGTTGCTACAGCTGGCATTTTTGCCAACTACCTTCCTGATCACATGACATTGTGGCGGGGCTTCCTGAATGAGGTCAGTGGTCCAGGATGAGTACCCCTCCCCCTGCCCTCCACCCCTCAGGACGGAGCCAGCAGGGAGTCCCTCCGGATAGACAGGACAAGAACTCTGGATGGAGACTGTACCAAGATGTGTCTCTGCTGGTGGGCTTGGGTCTGGGGAACTGCCGAGGTCCTGTGGCTTGGGGAGGGGCCCAGGTGAGCTTCCACAGCATCTGCTCCTCAGGAGTGGCTGACCGGGATGCTCCAGCTGTGTCTCTTCGCCATCGTGGACCAGGAGAACAACCCAGCACTGCCAGGAACACACGCACTGGTGATAGGCATCCTCGTGGTCATCATCAGGGTGTACCATGGCATGAACACAGGATATGCCATCAATCCGTCCCGGGACCTGCCCCCCCCGCATCTTCACCTTCATTGCTGGTTGGGGCAAACTGGTCTTCAGGTACTGCCCCTGCCCAGGCCCATTCCTTTGAGATTTTCTGTGGGGCCCCTGTGTGTTGAGGTGTGGGGGGTGATGTGAGGGGCAGCACAGGAGGGTCCTGCAGAGCCCCCAGGTGGCCTGGGGAGCAGGAGTGAGTCCCAACATTTCCCCAGGCCAGTACAGATACAGATCCTGCACCTGCACTGAGTGTCAACCCTGTCCCTGAATCGGGCTGAGGCTGACCAGGGCCCCGGGTTGGGGGTGTTTCCTGGGTTAGCCTGAGGATGACTCCTCTGCTCAACCAGTCTTGGCCCGAGGTGGATGAGGGTGCTGTCCTGGGCATCAGCCCCCTCAGCCGGCCTCTGCCTCTTGCCTGCAGCGATGGGGAGAACTTGTGGTGGGTGCCAGTGGTGGCACCACTTCTGGGTGCCTCTCTAGGTGGCATCATCTACCTGGTCTTCATTGGCTCCACCATCCCACGGGAGCCCCTGAAATTGGAGGACTCTGTGGCATATGAAGACCACGGAATAACCGTATTGCCCAAGATGGGATCTCATGAACCCATGATCTCTCCCCTTACCCTCATCTCCGTGAGCCCTGCCAACAGATCTTCAGTCCACCCTGCCCCACCCTTACATGAATCCATGGCCGTAGAGCACTTCTAAGCAGAGATTATTTGTGATCCCATCCCTTCCCCAATAAAGAGAAGCTTGTCCCACAGCAGTACCCCCACTTCCTGGGGGCCTCCTGTGGTTGGGCTTCCCTCCTGGGTTCTTCCAGGAGCTCTAGGGCTATGTCTTAGCCCAAGGTGTAGAGGTGAGGCACCTCAAGTCTTTCATGCCCTGGGAACTGGGGTGCCCCAGGGGGAGAATGGGGAAGAGCTGACCTGCGCCCTCAGTAGGAACAAGGTAAGATGAAAGAATGACAGAAACAGAATGAGGGATTTTCAGGCAAGGGGGAAGGAAGGGCAGTTTTGGTGAAAGGACTGTAGCTGACTGGTGGGGGGCTGGCTTTGGAAATACTTTGAGGGGATCCTGAGACTGGACTCTAGACTCTCCCCTGGTTGTTCCCTTCCCCGAGTTCTGGCCGGTTCTTGGACCAGACAAGGCATGGCCCAAGAAGGTAGATCAGAATTTTTTAGCCTTTTTTTCATTAGTGCCTTCCCTAGTATTCTTCCAGATTTTTTTTCTTAATCACATGAAATTTTAATACCACAGATATACTATACATCTGTTTATGTTCTGTATATGTTCTGTGCTTTATACGTAAAAAAGAGTAAGATTTTTTTTCACCTCCCCTTTTAAGAATCAGTTTTAATTCCCTTGAGAATGCTTGTTATAGATTGAAGGCTGGTAAGGGGTTGGGCTCCTCTTTCTTCTTCCTGGTGCCAGAGTGCTCCCACATGAAGGAATAGGAAAGGAAGATGCAAAGAGGGAAATCCTTCGAACACATGAAGACACAGGAAGAGGCCTCTTAGGGCTCCAAGGGCTCCAGGGAAGCAGCTGCAGAGGTTGGGTGGGGTGAGGGGCCAGGGTCCACTGACCCTGGGGCCAGGCAGGAATCACTCTGTTGCCTGGGGCTCAGAAGGCAGTATCACCCATGGTTCCTGTCATTGCTCATGTATTTTGCCTTTCAACAATTATTGTGCACCTACTGTGTGCAGGCCCTGCCTGGACACTGGGGATGCGCAGTGGATGCACTGGGCTCTGCCTTTGAGGGTTGCAGTTTAATGGGTGACAGGTAATTATAAGGAAGAAGGTGAGTGCAGAGTGGGAGGCTTGGAGGCTGTGGGGCTTGGGGTGGGGGAGCTCACATCCAGCCTCTGGGCCAAGGCCAGGAGGTTTCCCAGAGGAGGAGACAGAGCAGGGTATTGTGGTGGGGGGTGTCCTTTTTGGGGCTGGGATCTGCACTTTACAGTTTGAGGGGATGGGCAGAGGAGGCTGGGCTTCATTCTGGAGGTGGGGACATGGTGAGGTGAGGTTTAGAAAGCACACCTGAGCCGCAGTGTGTAGGATGCTGGAAATGGTGGAGATGGGCCTGCGAAGAGAGTGCTGGGAAGTGATGACCCAGGAGCAGCAGCCGGGCACCTAACAATGGGTCAGCACCATGGGCGTGGAGACAAGGGCCGGGATTGATCAATACCCGAGAAGTACAATGTACAGGACTTGGGCTCCATTTGGATGGAGTGGGTGAGGGAGGAGTCAGAAATGGCTTCCGGTTTCCAGCTTGGGCCCGGGGATTGGAGATGTCCCCACTGAGAGTAGGGCACAAGTGAGGAAATGGTTTGGAGAGGAAGATGATAAGTTACATCATGGATGTGCTGAGTCTGAGTTGCCTATGGGACTTGGAATGGGGGGTGGCAAAAGGTGTGTGATCTTGAGCAAGATATTCAACTCTTCTGGGCCTTGGTCTTCTCATTTGTAAAACGGTGATAAGAATATTACTTCCCATTTGTGTTGCTGTGAATATTAAATGCGCTACCACATGTAAAATGTTGAGAATCGTTTCTAGCTCAGAGTAAGTGCTCAATAAACACCATTACGCCTTTTATATGGTCTGGAGCTCAGAAGTGGAAGACAGGGTTTTGTGAAGTCATGGCTTTGTGGATGTAGCTAGATTGTGGAGTAATGGCAGGAGGGTCGGGGGCATGGCACAAGGTAGGTGGTCAAGAGACACTGGACACAACCCAAATGTCCATCCACAGGGGAACAGATACATACACTGCTGCGCAATTGCACATAATAGAATCCTCTACAATAGCAAAAATTAAGGCACAACAGACACCTGCAACAACACAGAAAAATTCTGGAAGCATAAAAAGTAATACAGTAGCTGGGTGTGGTGGTTCACACCTGTAATCCCAGCACTTTGGGAGGCCAAGGTGGGTGGATCACGAGGTCAAGAGATCAAGACCATCCTGGCCAACATGGTGAAACCCTGTCTCTACTAAAAATACAAAAATTAGCCGGGTGTTATGGCACACACCTGTAGTCCCAGCTACTCGGGAGGTTGAGGTGGGAGAACTGCTTAAACCTGGGAGGCGGAGGTTGCAGTGAGCCAAGATCACATCACTGCATTCCAGCCTGGCGACAGAGCGAGATTCGGTCTCAAAAAAAAAAAAAGCCTGGTGTAGTTGGGCACCTGTAATCCCAGCTGCTCAAAAGGCTGAGGCAGGAGAGAATCCCTTGAACCCGGGAGGCGGAGGTTGCAGTGAATGGAGATTGTGCCACTGCACTCCAGCCTGGGTGACAGAGTGAGACTGCCTCTCAAAAAAAAAAAAAAAAAGTAATACGGTAGACTATATACAGTGTGACACAATCTTGTAGCTGAAAAATAAGCAAAAACACATTATTTGATATATATATGTATGTAAGAAAACTATTTTAGAAAAAGAAATAATTCCTACAGGCAGATGGGGAAGAACACAGGAGTAGTACAAGCTATTAATAATTTTCTAGTTTTGGAGTTGGACATTTGTGGGTTTATTATATGATTGTGCTTGATAACATATAAATGTGATACATATTGTTTGTATGAGATATATATATATGTGTATATATATATATATATATATATATACACCCACACACAGATAGATGATTGCTGACAAGGAGTTTCTAAAGATCATATATATATTTTTAGGTAAAATAGAATAACATTCTGCTTCTGGTCTTCATAATAAAAGAGAAATCAGGACTAAGAAATCAAGTGTTTATTATATAGAGTTTTAATTTTTATTCTTTTATTTATTGATTTATCTTCTTTAGGCATGTGCAGAGATGAACTCACTAATTGTTCAAAATAAACAATTTGAATTCAAAGCAAAGTATATTTTTGGAATATCAATTATCACTTATTGCAGATAAATGATAATATAAAACACCAACTTTGGAATTTATTTGTTTTACTTCTGTGACTCTCAGCCTTCTTTTTAAAATATAGTGTATGTTTTAGGTAAGTCCAGACAGCAGCCAGCACTGCATTTGGTTTAAAATCCAGCTTTATAATGACTTCATCTTTCAACCAGCCAAAGGGTAGTTACCTTGTGTCTGCCATCGTGCATATGCTCTCAGCTCCTGACTGAGAAAACATGCCTACAAGCACTTCCCTGCCTGAGATTATATTAAAAATCCATACCTGTGCTAGCAGCATGAGTTCAAGTTGATTATTGTTCTAGATCTGTGACTTCCCATTCATCCTCCTAAAGATATAAATGATTGCTTTTCAATAGACCACATACATAGGAATGATTATGAAGGCAAGGTTTAGTAACAATAATATACATAGTACTCTAATGGGATAGAATTGGAACACCCACATTAAACTCTCTTAAAATATATGGAGCAGAACACATGAGAGAAAGCAAAAGAACAAGTGCACACAGCAGAGCTGCGAGTTGCATACTCTGTGCATGCTAATACCATCGCAACAACATCACTAAGGCTTCTGGGTAACGTTTGCCACATCATATTGTGACGTGCATTTGTTTTTATATTTTACCCTAAAAGGCAAAATAACTCTCCATGTGATGACAGAAGGAGCACACACAAAAAAAACCCTCTCAGAAATATTAAAATGGTTGCAGGTAATTCAAATGGTATACTGTTTTAAAAGGTACTTGTCTAAAACTTTAAGTTGGAAAAGCATCTTGGAAGTCATTAGATCCATATATACATTACTTGAATTGTGACCCTAGCTTGACATTTCCATGGTGGGAGACATATTTTATTTAGGAGGCAGCAGTCTATTTAGTTTTTGAGAGCTTAATCGATAGATAGTTCAGATTTTCTACTGAACCAAAATCTAAATGCCTACCCATTGATTTTCGTAGCCAACGTCAATATCCAACTGCTCTTTCACACAACATGGCTTCAAAGGCTATGTAACTAACATCATGCCACTGCACCTATGTCTTTTTAAAGCCAAGTACCTCTAGTGCCCCTCATTATAGCTCATATTTCAAGGTATCTTTCAGCAACAATGAATTGCATTAATCAAACTCACTTTTTTTGCGTGTGCTTCACTTTATAGCTCTTCACAAATAACACATTTTTCACAAATTGAAGGTTTGTGGCAATCTTGCATCAAGCAAGTCTATTCATTCTATTTTTCCAACAACGTGCTCACCTTGTGTCTCTATTTGACATTTTAGTAATTATCACAACATTTCACATTTTTAAATTATTATTATTATTTTAAATATTTTAACTTTTATTTTAGGTTCATGGGAACGTGTGGAGGTTTGTTCTTTAGGTAAATTCGTGACTCAGGGGTTTGATGTACAGATTATTTTGTCACCTGAGTAGTAAGCATAGTACCCAACAATTTTTTTTTCCCTGAACCTCACCCATCTCTCATCCTCCTCCCTCAAGCACACCCTAGTGTCTATTGTGCTGCTCTTTCTGTCAATGTGTTCTCATTATTTAGCTCCCAGTGATAAGTGAAAATAGGGAGTATTGGGTTTTCTGATCCTGTGTTACTTTGCTAAGGATAATGGCCTCCAAGCTCCATCCATGTTGCCGCAAAGGACAGATCTCATTCTTTTTTATGGCTGCATAGTAATTCATGGTGTATATGTACCGTACTTTCTTTTTCCAGTCTACCACTGATGGGAATTTAAGTTGATTCCTGGGTATCTATTACCTAAATTACATATAAAAGCAGAAAAGAAAAATGACAAGTAGAACATGAAAGTTAAACAGTATCTTTTCAGGTTCAATGACATAAATATTCTTATTATCTAAAGGTATAAAGTCTAATGTTTTATTTCCTATAGTGCTTTTATAGCAAAACACTTTTCAGAATTAGATAAACCAGATTGAGGCCCCAGTCTTACTACCTATTAGCTAGGTAAACTTGAGCTTTGGGATTTTCAGATTCAGATCTTGCAGGCAAATAAGATTTATTTGATATTACTTGAGGATGACAATGTCTATCTTGCAGATTATTATGGTAATGAGTTTATTTATGTGGATTGTTTTAGGATATTTTAAAACTATGTACAGACCTAAAAAAATCCTCATAATCTTTGCAGAACTGGGGAGGCATACAGGCATAATACAACTGTAAGAGTTACTGTTTCTCATGCTTTTGTTTTCTAACTGCTCTGGCCACTGTTTTAGAAGGAAGGGTGAATATATGTAAATATTCCTGAAAAAATAAAGTTTTAGAATATTAAATTATTACATATTTCATTCAGAATTTTTTGAAAGGTAAAACCAATGATTGAACGTAGTTCATGGGATGATCTGGTCCATATTCATCTACCATGATTTAACAAATTTTTTTTCTCATCTATTGATGAGGAAAAAATTAAGGGGAAATGTAGAAATGTAAGGTAAATGATCTGCAAAGAAATACACACAGGAGGTATGTGGGAATGTAACAGTGTAGGTCCGCAGGCAAACTAGGTGAAGGAGGAAGGTGAGGAAGAAAGGAATTTAAGACTTACTCTTTCTGTTTTCTTCTCAATTTTAAAGCCTGATGGAATATAATTTTCTCTACAGTAAATGTTGAATGAAAATCAGTTTTGTATGTGTTAATAATGACTTCACCAAGAGCATTTGAAGCTCTGTCTATCATATTTTGATGCTCAAAATAAAACATTGTTTTTATAGCTTAATAGTCTCATACAGTCAATTATTGCCTCCCCTCCAGACTGACACTTTGAACATTATTATTAACACTGCTGTCCTTAAACCATCATCGGCCTGCAGTGCAGACAATTTATTGATAGCTAATAAAACAGTGTTCAGATGCTGCCTGAGGGCAGGATTCAGAATTGTCATACCAATGCATAACCACATTTGATCTTTTGGAACATGTTCCATTACTTAAAAATTATGGTTTCATTTTCTTATTTTTATATCTAGATTTTAACATTATATGCATGCCTATATAAGCATTAAATATGTTATTCAGTTATGTGTGAGTGTAACTCAAATTTCTTGTAAAGTGTATGTACAGTTTAATATAAGACAGATTATTGATTAGGAAATAGTTAACAATTAATAATAGACATTGGCCAACCTCAATTACTAAACCAGAAAATAAGTTTATTTATTTATTGTATTATTTTTTTATTATACTTTAAGTTTTAGAGTACATGTGCACAATGTGCAGTTTATTTAAATGTATTGACTGTTTTTTAGTCACTACACAAATCATCTAAAAGAAAATACCACAGATGAAACCTGCAGATCCACTAACTAGTTATCAGTTTATCAAGACTGATCGTGTCCACTCCCTTCAGAAATCACATGGATTTGTGCATTATGCAGATCTTTTTTGGTCTTCCCCATCTTTTCCCATCCTGAACTAGAAGTAGAAGCCTATTGCATTTTTATCTGGTACTTTCTTTTGCATTTAGTAGAAATACATACACATACTACCCTAGGCTACTCCGCAGTACATTAAAATTTCCTTTTGCTTTCCAGTAATTTCAAATATCTCAACTAAATATCTCAGTTGAAAAATCAAAGTTTTAATTCTTATCCATCTTTCAACATAAAAACTTTTAATATTGATTATAATGTGTTGTCTGCACTTTTGTTTTTTTTTGTTTTGTTTTGAGACGGAGTTTCACTGTGTTGCCCAGGCTGGAATGCAGTGGCTAGATCTCAGCTCATTGAAATGTCCCGAGTTTAAGCAATTCTCCTGCCTTAGCCTCCTCAGTAGCTGGGATTACAGGCAAGCACCACCATGCCCTGCTAATTTTTGTATTTTTAGTAGAGATGGGGTTTCACCATGTTGGCCAGGCTGGTCTCAAACTCCTGACCTCAGGTGATCCTCCCGCCTCGGGCTTCCAAAGTGCTGGGGTTATAGGCGTGAGCCACCCTGTCTGGCCCAGCACTCTTAATAGATATATAAATCTTACTCTATTAATTGAACTAAGAACATCTTTATAATTTTCCAAATATCATTTATAATTATTAAATATTAAAACACATTTATTCTGCTTAACAAACTTTGCATCTCCTCAGAATGCCTAAATATTTTGCCATATGAAGGTTCCAGTGGAAGTTTCAGACAATACATTTTGATGGCAAATGGTGAATTTTCCTATTGAGAAATATGTTGATTACAAGAAATAAGAGAGACAGTAGATTTTCAAAACCTTTTCAAACTATTTCAGATGAATATTCAGAATTATTTTACTTATAGATTGCACTCTTCTAAGGCACTTACATATTCTGACAACTATGTGTTTTTGAAGCAAATTTTGACTGAATTAATAAATGACAGCACAGATCAAAATTTAAAAACTTACAAAATTCTCAATAGATTTCACAATTTTGCAAAGTCCCATGCTTTCTTTTAATATTGTATACTTACTATACTTTTAAGGGGTACTTTTTAACAGTTGATTTATTATCAAATAAACTTTCTATAATTTGACAGAACAACATAAATTCTTGTTTTTCTCCTTTCTACCTAGAACATACATATGATAGTTGAGAAAGACACATATTCTGATCATGAAGAAATAAACACAAGTTAAATATGACTAAGCAGAAAGATGGAAGGACCAGGAACAGTGATGCTAACTTGGAACCACGATGCAGGCTCTAATCTCCTCTACAATCATCCTCCCTTGTGAGAAAAATACGTAAGTCACTTTTAAAATAAATAGAAACCTGAACACACTTCTTAGCTGGTTTAAGTATTTTAAAAACATTGATGAATTAAACACAGAAATATGGGGAAATCTCATTACTTACCTTAAATTTTGAAATTTTCTTTACAGATCATGAGTTACTTAATGCTCTTTCACTCCTGAGTTTACATTGTAAATTAAAGTTATGTCAGCTTTAAAAAATAACCAATTAAAAATAATGATCTAAATTTATACTTTAATTTTAACGAATAGTATTATCTCTTATTATTTACCTCTGATAAAGTCCAAATGTTTGTAGGCCTATAGCTCTGGTTATATACAATGAAATATCTTTCTCATGAGTGTAGACTATCTAGATTATATTTAATGCATTTACTTTTTGAGGAAAAGGAAACCCTTAATAAAATAGCTTCAAATATTTGGTTTTAAAAAATGAGAAAACAAATACATTACAGGACTTTTGGATTTATCACCAACATGTGAAGGGCTCAGAAGTTGTCATTCCTGGCCTTACAATAATAATAATAATAAAAGCTATACAAATTGAAAATCAATGACATTTCCACAGTGGGAGACATATTTTATTTAGGAGGCAGCAGTCTATTTAGTTTTTGAGAGCTTAATCGATAGATAGTTCAGGTTTTCTAGTGAACCAAAATCTAAATGCCTACCCATTGGTTTTGGTAGCCAACGTCAATATCCAACTGCTCTTTCACACAACATGACTTCAAAGGCTATGTAACTAACATCATGTCACTGCACCTATGTCTTTTTAAAGCCAAGTACCTCTAGTGCCCCTCATTATAGCTCATATTTCAAGGTTTTCTGTTCCTGCATTAGTTTGCTGAGGATAATGGCTTTCAGCTCCATCCATGTCCCTGCAAAGGACTTGATCTCATTTCCTTTTATGGCTGCATAGTATTCCATGTTGTATATGTACCACATTTTATTTGCCCAGTCTATCATTGATGGGCATTTGGGTTGATTTCATGTATTAGCTATTGTGAATAGTGCTGCAATGAACACACACATGCATGTATCTTTATAATAAAATGATTTATATTCCTTTGGGTACATACCTAGTAATGGGATTGCTGGGTCAAATGGTATTTCTGGTTCTAGGACTTCGAGGAATTGCCACAGTCTTCCACAATGGTTGAACTAATTTACATTCCTACCAACAGTGTAAAAGCATTCCTATTTCTCTGCAGCCTCAACAGTATCAGTTGTTTCTTGACTTTTTAATAATCACCATTCTGACTAGTGTGAGATGGTATCTCATTGTGGTTTTGATTTGCATTTCTCTAATGATTAGTGATGTTGAACTTTTTTTTTGCATGTTTGTTGGCCACATAAATGTCTTCTTTTGAGAAGTGCCTGTTCGTGTCCTTTGCCCACTGTTTAATAGGATTGTCTGTTTTTTTCTTGTAAATTTGTTTAAGTTCCCTGTAAATTCTGGATATTAGACCTTTGTCGGATGGATAAATAGCAAATTTTTCTCCCATTCTGTAGGTTGTCTGTTCACTGTGATGATAGTTTCTTTTGCTGAGCAGAAGCTCTTTAGTTTAATTAGACCCCATTTGTTAATTTCTGCTTTTGTTGCTATTGTTTTTGGCATTTTTGTCATGAAATCTTTGCCTATGCCTATGTCCTGAATGGTATTGCCTACATTTTCTTCTAGGGTTTTTATAGTTTTGGATTTTACACTTAAGTCTTTAACCTATCTTGAGCTAATTTTTGTATAACGTGTAAGGAAGGGGGTCCAGTTTCAATTTTCTGCATATGGCTAAAGTTCTTCCATAGTTCTTCCAGCACCATTAATTAAATAGAAAATCCTTTCCCCATTACTTGTGTTTGTCAGGTTTGTTGAAGATCAGATGGTTGTAGCTGTGTGGTCTTATTTCTGAGTTCTCAATTCTGTTCTATTGGTCTATGAGTCTGTTTTTGCACCACCACTATGCTGTTTTGTTTACATGCTGGTTTGGTAGCCTTGTAGTGTAGTTTGAAGTAAGGTAGCATGATCCCCCCAGCTTTGCTATTTTTGCTTAATATTATCTTGGCTCTACAGGCTCTTTTTTGTCCATATGAATTTTAAAACAGATTATTCTAATTCTGTGAAAAATGTCAATGTTAGTATAAGGGGAATAGCATTGAATCTATAAATTACTTTGGGTAGTATGGCCATTTTAATCATATTGATTCTTTCTATCACTTCCCTTCTTAGCTGTATTCCTAGGTATTTTATTCTCTGTAACAATTGTGGAATTGGAGTTCTTTCATGATTTGGCTCTCTGCTTGTCTGTTGTTAGTGTGTAGGAATCCTTGTGATTTTCACACATTGATTTTTTTATCCTGAGATTTTGCTGACAATGGGGTTGAGACAATGGGGTTTTCTAGATAAAGGATCATGTCATCTGCAGAGACAATTTGGCTTCCTCTCTTCCTATTTGAAAACCATTTGTTTCTTTCTCTTGCTTAATTGTTCTAGCCAGAACTTCCAATAATATGTTGAATAGGAGTGGTAAGAAAGAGCATCCTTGTCATGTGCCTCTTTTCAATGAAAATGCTCGCAGCTTTTTCCCATTCAGTATGATATGGGTTGTTAGTTTGTCATAAATGGCTCTTAATATTTTGAGGTATGGTCCTTCAATACCTAGTTTATTGAGAGTTTTTAAAATGAAGGGATGTTGAATTTTAACATGAAGTGTTGTTGAAAGGCCTTTTCTGCATCTATTGAGATAATTATGAGGTTTTTATCTTTAGTTCTGTTTATGTAATGGATTACATTTATTGATTTGCATATGTTGAAACAGCCTTGTATCCCGGGGATGAAGCCAACTTGATTGTGGTGGGTAAGCTTTTGGATGTGCTGCTGGATTTGGCTTGCCAGTATTTTATTGAGGATTTTTGCATCAATGTTCATCAGGGATATTGGCCTGAAGTTGTCTTGTTTTGTTGTATCTCTCCCAGGCTTTGGTATCAGGATGATGCTGGCCTCATAACATGAATTAGGGAGGAGTCTCTCCTCTTCAATCATTTGGAATAGTTTCAGAGGAAATAGCACTGGCTCCTCTTTGTACATCTGGTAGAATTCCACCATAATTCCATTTGGTCCTGGTCTTTCATTGGTTGGTAGGCTATATATTACTGCCTTAATTTCAGAACTTGTTATTGGTCTATTCAGGGATTCAACTTCTTCCTGGTTCAATCTTGGGAGTTTATGTGTCCAGGAATTTATCCATTTCTTCTAGATTTTCTAATTTATTTGCATAGAGGTGTTTATAGTATTCTCTGATGGTTGTTTGTATTTCTGTAAACTCAGTGTTCATATCCCCTTTATCATTTTTTATTGTGTCTATTTGATCTTCTCTCTTTTCTTATTAGTGTAGCTAAAAGTCTATTTTGTTAATTTTTTTCAAAAAAACAGTTCCTGGATTTGTTGATTTTTTGAAGGGTTTTTCCTGTCTCAATCTCCTTTAGTTTTGCTCTGATCTTACTTATTTCTTGCCTTCTGCTAGCGTTGGGGTTTGTTTGTTCTTGGTTCTCTAGTTCTTTAAACTGTGATGTTAGGAAGTTGACTTGAGATATTTCTCATGTGGATATTTAGTGCTATACATTTCCCTCAATGCTGTTTTAGCTGTATCCCAGAGATTCTGGGACATTGTCTCTTTGTTCTCATTAGTTTTAAATAACTTCTTGACTTCTGCCTTAATTTCATTTTTTACCCAGTAGTCATTCAGAAGCAGGATGTTACATTTCTATGTAGTTGTGTGGTTTTGAGTGAGTTTCTTAATTTTGAGTTCTAATTTGATTGTACTGTGGTCTGAGAGACTATCAAGATTTTAGTTATTTTGCATTTGCAGAGGAGTGTTTTACTTCCAATTATGTGATCGATTTTAGAGTAAGTGCCATGTAGCTCCAAGATGAATGTATATTCTGTTGTTTTTGAATGGAGAGTTCTGTAGATACTTATCAGGTCCACTTGATCTACAGCTGTTTGAGTCCTGAATATCCTTGTTAACTTTCTGTCTTGATAATTTGTCTAATATTGACAGTGGGGTGTTAAAGTCTCCCACTATTATTATGTGAGAGTCTAAATGTCTTTGTAGGTCTCTAGGAACTTGTTTTATGAATCTGGGTCTTCTAAAATTGGGTGCATGTGTATTTAGGATAGTTACCTCTTCTTGATGAACTGAATACTTAACCATTATGTAATTCCCTTCTTTGTCTTTTTTTATCTTTGTTGATTTAAAGCCTGTTTTCTCAAACACTAGAATTGCAACCCCTCCTTTTCCTGCTTTCTGTTTGCTTGGTAAATTTTCCTCCATCTCTTTATTTTGAGCCTATGTGTGTCTTTGCATATGAGATGGTTCACCTGAATACAGCACACTGGTGGGTCTTGACGATCCAGTTTGCCAGTCTTTGTCTTTTAATTGGGACATTCAGTCCATTTACATTTAAGGTTAATATTCTTATGTGTGAATTTGGTCCTGTGATTATGATGCTATCTGGTTATTTTGCAGACTTGTTAATGTTGTTGCTTCATAATATTATTGGTCTGTGTACTTTACTGTGTTTTTGTAGTGGCCGGTAATGGTTTTTCCCTTCCATATTCAGTGCTTCCTTTAGGAGCTCTTGCAAGGCAGGCTTGGTTGTGATGAATTCCCTCAGTATTTGCTTGTCTGAGAAGGATTTTATTTCTTCTTTGCTCATGAAGCTTAGTTTGGCCAGACATGAAATTCTGAGCTGGAAATTCTTTTCTTTAAGACTGTTGACATGAAGTCCTTGCCCATGCCTATGTCCTGAATGGTAATGCCTAGGTTTTCTTCTAGGGTTTTTATGGTTTTAGGTCTAACGTTTAACTCTTTAATCCATCTTGAATTGATTTGTGTATAAGGTGTAAGGAAGGGATCCAGTTTCAGCTTTCTACATATGGCTAGCCAGTTTTCCCAGCACCATTTATTAAATAGGGAATCCTTTCCCCATTGCTTGTTTTTCTCAGGTTTGTCAAAGATCAGATAGTTGTAGATATGTGGCATTATTTCTGAGGGCTCTGTTCTGTTCCATTGATCTATATATCTGTTTTGGTACCAGTACCATGCTGTTTTGGTTACTGTAGCCTTCTAGTATAGTTTGAAGTCAGGTAGTGTGATGCCTCCAGCTTTGTTCTTTTGGCTTAGGATTGACTTGGCAATGCGGGCTCTTTTTTGGTTCCATATGAACTTTAAAGTAGTTTTTTCCAATTCTGTGAAGAAAGTCATTGGTAGCTTGATGGGGATGGCATTGAATGTGTAAATTACCTTGGGCAGTATGGCCATTTTCACAATATTGATTCTTCCTACCCATGAGCATGGAATGTTCTTCCATTTGTTTGTATCCTCTTTTATTTCTTTGAGCAGTGGTTTGTAGTTCTCCTTGAAGAGGTCCTTCACATCCCTTGTAAGTTAGATTCCTAGATATTTTATTCTCTTTGAAGCAATTGTGAATGGGAGTTCACTCATGATTTGGCTCTCTGTTTGTTTGTTGTTGGTGTATAAGAATGCTTGTGATTTTTGTACATTGATTTTGTATCCTGAGACTTTGCTGAAGTTGCTTATCAGCTTAAGGAGATTTTGGGCTGAGACAATGGGCCCTTTATTTCCTTCTCCTGCCTAATTGCCCTGGCCAGAACTTCCAAAACTATGTTGAATAGGAGTGGTGAGAGAGGGCATCCCTGTCTTGTGCCAGTTTTCAAAGGGAATGCTTCCAGTTTTTGCCCATTTAGTATGATATTGGCTGTGGGTTTGTCACAGATAGCTCTTATTATTTTGAAATACATCCCATCAATACCTAATTTATTGAGAGTTTTTAGCATGAAGTGTTGTTGAATTTTGTCAAAGGCTTTTTCTGCATCTATTGAGATAATCATGTGGTTTTTGTCTTTGGCTCTGTTTATATGCTGGATTACATTTATTGATTTGCATATATTGAACCAGCCTTGCATCCCAGGGATGAAGCCCACTTGATCATGGTGGATAAGCTTTTTGATGTGCTGCTGGATTTGTTTTGCCAGTATTTTATTGAGGATTTTTGCATCAATGTTCATCAAGGATATTGGTCTAAAATTCTCTTTTTTTGTTGTGTCTCTGCCTGGCTTTGGTATCAGAATGATGCTGGCCTCATAAAATGAGTTAAAGCAATGGCAACAAAAGACAAAATTGACAAATGGGATCTAATTAAACTAAAGAGCTTCTGCACAGCAAAAGAAACTACCATCAGAGTGAACAGGCAACCTACAAAATGGGAGAAAATTTTCGCAACCTACTCATCTGACAAAGGGCTAATATCCAGAATCTACAATGAACTCAAACAAATTTACAAGAAAAAAAAAACAACCCCATCAAAAAGTGGGCGGAGGACATGAACAGACACTTCTCAAAAGAAGACATTTATGCAGCCAAAAAACACACGAAAAAATGCTCATCATCACTGGCCATCAGAGAAATGCAAATCAAAACCACAATGAGATACCATCTCACACCAGTTAGAATGGCAATCATTAAAAAGTCAGGAAACAACAGGTGCTGGAGAGGATGTGGAGAAATAGGAACACTTTTACACTGTTGGTGGGACTGTAAACTAGTTCAACCATTGTGGAAGTCAGTGTGGCGATTCCTCAGGGATCTAGAAGTGGAAATACCATTTGACCCAGCCATTCCATTACTGGGTATATACCCAAAGGACTATAAATCATGCTGCTATAAAGACACATGCACACATATGTTTATTGCGGCATTATTCACAATAGCAAAGACTTGGAACCAACCCAAATGTCCAACAACGATAGACTGGATTCAGAAAATGTGGCACATATACACCATGGAATACTATGCAGCCATAAAAAATGATGAGTTCATGTCCTTTGTAGGGACATGGATGAAATTGGAAATCATCATTCTCAGTAAACTATCGCAAGAACAAAAAACCAAACACCGCATATTCTCACTCATAGGTGGGAATTGAACAATGAGATCACATGGACACAGGAAGGGGAATATCACACTCTGGGGACTGTTGTGGGGTGGGGGGAGGGGGGAGGGATAGCATTGGGAGATATTCCTAATGCTAGATGACGAGTTAGTGGGTGCAGCGCACCAGCATGGCACATGTATACATATGTAACTAACCTGAACAATGTACACATGTACCCTAAAACTTAAAGTATAAAAAAAAAAAGACTGTTGAATATTAGCCCCCAATTTCTTCTGGCTTATGGGGTTTCTGCTGAGGAGTCCACTGTTATTCTGATGGACTTCCTTTTCTAGGTGACATGGCTCTTAAAAATTTTCCTTCATTTTGACCTTGGAGATACTGCCCATTATGTGTTTTGGGTTGATCTTCTCATGGATCTTACTGAAGTCCTCTGAATTTCCTGAATTTGAATGTTGGCCTGTCTTGCTGGGTTGGGGAATTCTCCTGAATGATTTCCTGAAGTATGTTTTCCAACTTGGTTTCATTCTCCTCATTTCTTTCAGGTACCCCAATCAGTTGTAGGTTTGGTCTTTTTACATAATTCCATAGTTCTCTGATTATTTTTCATTCCTTTTCAGTTTTTTCTCTAATCTTATCTGCCTGTCTTATTTCAGCAAGATAGTCTTTGAGCTCTGAGATTCTTTCCTCTGCTTGGTCTATTCAGTTATTTATGCTTGTGGTTGCATTGTGAAGTTCTGGTGTTGTGTTTTTCAGGTCCATCAGGTCATTTATGTTCCTCTATAAACTGGTTATTCTGGTTTACAGTTCCTATAATGTTTTCATGGTTATTAGCTTCTTTGAATTGTTTTAGAATATACTTTAGCTCAGCAAAATTTGTTATTACCCACCTTCTGAAGAATACTTCTGTCAGTTCATCCACCTCAAGCCTCCACCCAGTTCTGTGCCCTTGCTGGAGAGGTGTTGCAATCATTTGGAGGAGAAGAGGCATTCTGGCTTTTTGAGTTTTCAGCATTTTTGCATTGATTCTTTCTCATCTTCATGAGCTTATCTATCTTCGATCTTTGAGGCTGCTGATCTTTGGAAGGGGTTTTTGTGGGGCCATTTTTGTGGATGTTTTTGTTGTTGTTGTTTTCTGTTTGTTTGTTTTCCTTTCAACAGTCAGACCCCTCTTCCTTAGGGCTGCCGCAGTTTGCTGGGGGTCCACTCCAGACCCTATTCACTTGGTCCCTCCCCTACCTGGAGGTGTCACCAGTGGAAGCTGCAGAACAGCAAGGATGGCTGCCTGCTCCTTCTTTTTTGAACTCCATCCCAGAGGGGCACTGATGTGATGCCAGCAGGAACACTCCTGTATAAGGTGCCTGGAGACCCCTGTTGGTGGTCTCAATCAGTTAGGGAGTATGTACAGGATCGGGGACCACTTAACAAAGCACTCTGGCTGCCCCTTGGCAGAGAGGGTGCACTGCACTGGAGGGAATCTCCCTTGTCCAGAATGTCCAGACCCTTCAGAGCCAGCAGGCAGGAAAGACTAAGTCTGCTGAACCGCAGAGACTGTGGCTGTCCCTCCCCACAGGAGTTCTGCCCAGGAAGATCAGAGTTCTGTCCATAAACCTCTGGCTGGAGTTGGTGAAATTCCCACAAGGGGGCCCCACCCAATGAATAGGGATGGATCCAGGTTCCACCTAAAAAAGCAGTCTGGCCATGATCTGCCACAGCTGCTGTGCTCCCGGTCTAAACCTCCCTGTCTCCCCAGCACCACCAGGGGAAAACAGCCAACTGATGCCACAGTGATAGCAACCACCCCTTCCCCTGGGAACTCAGTCATCTTAGACAGTCTCCAGTCTGCTGTCACTGGCCACAGCCTGAGCGGTGATGAGAGTCTGCACAGCTCTGTGCTTGGCACCCAAGGCCCTGGTGGTGTGGGCTCACAAGGGGATCTCTTGATCTGTGAGTTGCACAGATCCATGGAAAAAGCATGGTTCCTCAGGAAAGGGAGCACAATCACTCACTGCCTCCCTTGACTGGGGGTGGGAGTGCCCCTTGCCCCATGCAGCTCCCAAGTGAGGCATTGCTCCACCCTGCTTTTCCTTGCTCCCTGTGGGTCAGGCCAATCACCTTGTCACTCCCAGTGAGAGAATCCGGATACCTCAGATGAAGGTGCAGAATTCACTCGCCATTTTTGTTCTTCTAGATGGGAGTCACAGACCACAGCTGCTTCTAATTGGCCATCTTGGCACCTCCTCATTTAACCTTCTTTTCTCATCTAAAGGGGATAAAGGATGAAACTGTCCCAAAGAAAAGTTTATAAACCAATTAAGGGAGAAAATAAAATTCAACTAGGCTTGCAGAATAATCAGTGGCAATCATGAAATCCACTTCCCAATTTGGCCTACTTCCTTGTAGCTAGTTACTTCTTACTCCCCCAAGATAGTGTAGCCCTTGTCACAAGAATGTGTTCCTTTTCTTTTCTATAGATAAGATCTAAGGCACATGAGATGATACGCTTTCTGTTTGAGTTTCTCCTTTATGTTACGCATACTGATAAAATTGTTGACGCCAGTTGATCTGAAGGTCCCAGCAAGGAGCCGACTCACAGAAGAATGCAGTTTTCACATCGTGATGATTTAATCTTCCTTGACCTGAGCAATTGACAACCCCAATTCTCCAGAACCTCACCCGCCACAATCCCCTTAAAAACCCTGGTCCAGAACCCCTCAAGCAGACAGATTTGAAGCTTGAGGATTCCTTCATCTCTTTGCCCAATGGCATTGTGATTATTAAACTCTTTTTCTGCTGCAAATTATGATGTCTCAGTGTATTGGTCTATTGCTGCTCAGTGGGCATATGAATCTGGCAGTCCTGTAACAGGGACAAAAGATAAACTACTGGCAAAACACTCGTAAAAGTCATAACCTAAGACATAGGCCCACTGAAAGGCGGATATTCAATCAGAGCACTATAGAACATATTTCTCTGCTCATACCATAAAATTTAAACCAACATGACTCCAATATAAGGAGACAGACAAAAGAGCTATAAGAAACAGACACTGTTTGAAGATGAGTACTTAAGGAAACCTAAAGTTAAGGGAGGAGACAAAAACAAGGACACTAGAGGAATTTGAAACCTTCAGAAACTTGAGCTATAACAAATATTAAATGCAGTTCAACTCCAAGACAGATTAACATATATCCTCAATTAACTTTATCTCAGTATCAATTTATCTCAGCATCAATTTATCTCAATATCTATTATGGATACCACATGTCTGGCTCTCAACAATGGCAACAAAATTACAAAACATGGTAAAAGGCAAGAAAAAAATTAACAATCTGAAGAGACAGGATGATCATCAGAACAAGACTCAGTGATGATGATGCATATTTTGGAAATAGCAATCAAGAAATTTACATAACTATGATTAAGATGTTAAGGACGCTAGTGGAAAATGTAGAAAATATTCAATAAAAGATGATTAGTATAAACAGAGAGATGAAAATTCTAACAAAGAACCAAAATAAAAGGCTAGAAATTAAAATAACGCCAATAGATTTTTTTAAAATGCTTTCAATGGTTTCATTAGTAGACCAGACATGTTTGGGGAAAGAATTGGTGAAACTAAAGATAGGTCAAAAATACATTTTAAAACAAAGTGCCAAGAAAAAATAAACGGAAAAAAAAAAGTGAAGGACATCAAGGACCCGCTGGGCAGTTTCTAAAGTTGTACAAAATGGGAAACTGGAATAGCAGAAAGACGAGAAAGAGAGAAATGAGGAGAATCTATCTAAATGAGTAATGGTCAAGAAATTTTAAAGCATAATGACATGAAACAAACAACCGGTCCAGGAAGCTCAGAGAATACAATTCATGACAAACAACAAAAATACAGCACCAGACATAGCATTTCCTATATGTAGAATAAAAGAAAATAAAATAAATCAATAAATAGACAAAGAGAAAATCTTGACAGAATCTGGAATGAAAACTACATTCCTTGTAGAGAAAAAAGAGCAAGGATTTCAGCCCACTTCCAGTAAGAAACCAGGCAAGAAAGAAGAGAGTTGCGGGAAATGTTAAGGAATAAATGCACCAACTTAGAATTCTACATCTAGCAAAATTATACTTCAAAAGCAGAGGGGAAATCAGAATTTACCAGACAATAAAACACTAACAGAATATATTGCCAGAAAACTTTCCTGCAAATGTGTTAAAAGAGGTTATTCAAGGAGGAGAAGAGTGATATAGATCAGAAACCTGTATTTACAATAAGAAAGCAAGTATGTTGAAAAAGGAAAAAAAATGTTTTATTTTTCTTATTGTAAGTCTTTTTAAACTACATGTTTGTTTAAAGTAATATTAGTAAATGTTTTGGGCAATTACAGCATGTGGGTAAGTGAAATGCCTGATGGTTATGTTACAAAAGATATGAAGGATGAACTGGGACTATTCTATTAACGTGTCCAGAATTGGTGGGTTCTTGGTCTCACTGACTTCAAGAACGAAGCTGCAGACCCTAGTGGTGAGTGTTACAGTTCTTAAAGATGGTGTGTCCGGAATTTGTTCTTTCTGATGTTCGGACGTGTTCGGAGTTTCTTCCTTCTGGTGGGTTTGTGGTCTTGCTGGCTTCAGGAGTGAAGCTGCAGACCTTCGCAGTGAGTGTTACAGCTCTTAAGGCAGCACGTCTGGAGTTATTCATTCCTCTCAGTGGGTTCCTGGTCTCACCGGCCTCAGGAGTGAAGCTGCAGACCTTCCCGGTGGTTGTCACAGCTCATAAAGGCAGTGTGGATCCAAAGAGTGTGCAGCAAGATTTACTGCAAACAGCAAAAACACAAACCCTCCACACCACGGAAACGGACCCAAGCGGGTTATCACTGTCCCTTGTGGCAGCCTGCTTTTATTCCCTCACCTGACCCCACCCACATCCTGCTGATTGGTCCATTTTGCAGAGAGCTGATTGGCCTGTTTTGACAGGGTGCTGATTGGTGCGTTTACAAACCTTGAGCTAGACACAGAGTGCTGATTGGCGCATATACAATCCTCCAGCTAGACACAAAAGTTCTCCAAGACCCCACCTCACTGGGGAGCCCAGCTGGCTTGCCTAGCAGATCCCGCGCTGGGGCCGCTGGGGGAGCTGCCCGCCAGTCCCACGCCAGGCGCCTGCACTAGTCAGCCCTTGGGTGGTTGATGGGACCAGGCGCCACAAAGCAGGGGGCAGTGCCGTTGGGGAGACTCCCGCCGGCCGCTGGGGAGCCCACGGGGGAAGGCGCGGGCGGGGAAAGGCTCGGGCATGGTGGGCTGCAGGTCCCGGGCCCTGCCACACAGCGAGGCGGCTGAGGCCTGGCAAGAATTCGAGCCTAGAGCGGGCGGGCTGGCAGTGATGCGGAACTCAGCGCATACTCTGCAGCGGCTGGCCCTGGGTGCTAAGCCCCTCACTGCCCAGGGTCTGTGGCGCCAGCCTGACCGCTCTGAGTGCAGGGCCGCCCCCGCGTGTGCGGCGCAGCCTCAGTTCCCGCCTGTGCCTCTCCCTCCACACCTCCCCGCAAGCAGAGGGAGCATGCTCCGGCCTTGGCCAGCCCACAGACGGGCTCCCACAGTGCAGCGGTGGGGCGAAGGGCTCCTCAAGCGCGGCCAGAGTGGACGTCCAGGCCGAGGAGACACGGAGAGCGAGCAAGGGCTGCCAGCACGCTGTAACTTCTTATTAAGGTACCTGCACTATATGTGAACTGGTGGAGTGCTATTTGAAGGTGATCTTAGATTAGTAACAAATGTGTATTGGATACTCTGGGGAACCACTAGAATAGTTGAAAAAGAAAGTATGCTTTACATGTAATGAGTGACATTAGGTTTGATAATGGATTTTTAGATATAATATTAATACGAAAAGTTCTAGCTATAAAAGAAAAAATGATGTTAGAGTTTGTTAAATTTAAAATGGAATTTTCTGCTCTGTGAAAGACTCCAGAGAGTTAAAAGACAAGCCACAAACTAGAAGAAAATATCTGTAAACCATATATCTAATAAAGTATTGGTATCTAAACATACAAATAACTCTGAAAACTGAATAATAAGAAAGCAAACAAGCCAATTACAAATGTGCATAGAATCTGAAAAGACACCTCACCCCTGCCCCCGAAATACCCATGGCAACTGGCATATAAAAATATGCTCAGTATTTTTTTTCTTTAGAGAAACACAAATTAAAACAATTGTGATACTACCACACATTAGTTAAAATGGCTTAAATCCATGAACCGAAGTATTACAAATTCTGGTGAAAATGTAGAGCAATAGTAGCTGTTTGCTGAAGGGAATTTTAAAAATGGTACTGCACGCTGGAAGACAGATTGGCAGTTTCTTACAAATCTAAATATCGTCTCACCACGCACTTCAGCTATCATTCTTCTAGGTATTTATCCCAATGATGTGACAATTTATATCACATAAAAATGTGAGTGTTTATCAGAGCTCTTTTTTATAATTATAAAAAATGGACAGCAACCTACATGGTCTTAAACCTTAAGTAAGTGAATTGATATACTGGTACATCCAGAAAAAAGAAATAAATATAAATCTACAGGAATAAATACATGAATATTCAATATTTATTGCTCTGTGAAAGAAATTGGTCAGCAAATGCCTCGTATTATATATTGCTAAATATATGACATGGTAGAAAAGGCAAAACAATATAGTATAAAAGATTAGTGCTTCCAGAGGTGAGGGGAGAGGAAGTAGGGTTAAATATGTGAAACATGAAAACAAATTTTTTACTGTACTGAAACTATTTTATATGATATTGTAATGGTGGACATAACATTATGCATTTCTCAAAATCCGTAAGAGTTTTTGAGCTTGAGGAGGAAACATTAATTTATATAACTTTAAAAAAAAACTATCCTTTAGGAAGTAGAGGGATTGCAAGATGGAATGCAGAGTGTGACAAAATATTATAACTGTATTGAAAATATATGAAACAACCTCACTGAGATGGGTGGGAAAAAATGCGTTGAAATAAGTAATTTCAGAAATGAGAGGAGACTGTAAAATTAAAGGTGAAAGGAAGTGTATACAAGCACAGTGCTCCAGTTAATAAAGTTGTTTCTCATGGAAGTATGGTGTAACGTTTCTGACATCACCGTATATGTACACTGTGAATGAACAATTAAGAAAGTGAGTGATGAATGGTGGCCGGGAACAAGTAGAGGGTTATTCTTGATATTCTCCTCAAATTTCTTTAATTAATTAGTAAATGAATTAGCAAGTCCCTAATGGCCTTTAGAGTCTGCTGAAGGAGATGAATAAACAGCTGACTATTAATATAGCATAATATAATATAGTGTTTAATATAAACAAAGGGCTATGTGAGTGTGGACCAAGAGACTATTATTTTCACCTTTTATCTAAAACCTTGAAAAAGTTGGCACTTCTACCTTACCTTAGATAGTAAGCAAAAGTTAGATAAGTTGAAATGACACATTTTTCATGCAGAAAATATTACACACGAAGACATGGAGGTTCAAAATTTCCAGGTTATAGGGAAATTGCAGGATGCTGAAAAATGCAGGTTGCTGAAAGGAATGCAGTATGATGCAAGATATTTGATGTTGGGCAAAAATAATTTTAACTTCTATTATACAGTCTGTAGAGAATGGGCAACATTGAGGGGTAACAGAAGCCTTTGTTACCCCATCTTTGAAAAATAAATAATAATAATTATCCCATTTAGATATTAAAGATTAAATAGGTTAGTGAATTCAAAGTATGCCATATAAATTCTGGCAAATAATATGTTCAAAATAAATTGTAACTTTGATTATTAAAACATGTATACACACACGTACATATATATGTATGTGTATATGTATGTGTATGTGTGTGTGTATAACAGAATTAATTGTATATCATAGTTGAAGTAAAAGAATGGGAAGAAAAAATACTTTAATGGGCCTCCAAATAGGACAAGACTATATACATATAGTCTTGCATATATATATATATATATATATATATACACACACACATCTAAATAAAATGTATCAATACACACACACACATATTCTCAGTACATGGGGATAATCAGAAAGATGGCTACAAAAATACAACCCTCTTAGTTTTATATAACCCTTTATAAATATATAAAACTAAGAGAAGAAAGAATGCCTTCTGAAGCACTGTAAACTAACCTAAGGGGGGTAAAGTCAGAGGATTTTACTATGTTGGAACTGAATTTATTAACATAGCTATAGAAAGAGTCTGTCAATGAAAGGAGAATTAGTTGCCTATGGAAACTGAGCTACAGATGAATCTTTAAGGCATAAATCTCTTTTCCACCTAAGTGGAAGTCCAATTCCTGAGGCAGGAAGTCTGGGCAAGTGAAATTGCCAGTTAAGTTGGTAAGCCTTCCTACAATAAAAATAAATGCATGTGCACATTTATATTAGCTTGATGGTGTTAAATATTCTAATCATTGAACTTTATTTTTCTGATCTAATACATACCCAGCTATCATGTGACTACATTTTGTTTTCCCATACAGATGTGCGTTTGGGTGGAAAGTATGTACTGTTTATGCTGAAGTAAGAATTTTATTTTATATAACATAGTTCTTGTTATAAATTAATAAACTAACATTCTGATTGTTTATAGTCATTGTGTGTTGAATCGGGTCTCCAAAATGAAATACTAATCCCAATACTTGTGAATGTGACCTTATTTGGAAATAGGTTATTGCAGATGTTATTTTGAAACAGGGTCATATTGAAATGGGATGGGCCCTAATTCAATGACTGGTTTCTTTATAAAGAAAGAAAATATGGACACAGAGAGACATAAAGAAATATAAGGAAGAAGGCCATGTAATGACAGAGGCAGACAGTGGGGTGATGCATGCACAAGTCAAGGAACACCAAAAATTGCTGGCAACCACCAGAAACTAGAAGACACACGTGGAACGGACTTTAAGTCAGAACTTTTCAGAAGGAACCAATCTTGCCAACACCTTGATTTCAGGCTTCTAGCTTACAGAGCTGTGAGACAACAAATGTTTGTTTTTTTTTTTTAAGCCACCTATATTGTGATACTTTGTTATGGCAGCCCTAGAAAGCTAATACAATAGTCAAAAGGATATAAATTATCTCCCTGTAGCCTAAAACTTTAAAATAATTTTTTTTTTCCCAGAGGCCTTTTCTTTCATTTGTTGGTTTTATTTTCTATACAATAGATCAAACATCTTCACTAATAGTTTTCTTAGACATTATTTTTGGAAACATTTTTAAAGGACTCATGGAAATCTATAATCTATGCTGATTGACTACTTCCATGTAAAGAATTTGATATTTTTCATAGTTACTACTGGCTGTTACTGTGCTATTCCTAATTGTCTTGAATGTTGCATATGTAGCATGAAATCCCAATTTTTATTGAAGTACGATATATATATATATAACTCTTCTATGGTTGTCTTCAAGCTGGAGCCTATTTGTTAGCACTGCAGGGCATCGTGTGTGTGTGTGTGTGTGTGTGTGTGTGGTAGAAGCTACTATATGAGAAATGTGGAGATACGCCTTTAGTTCAATTCTTTAGCTGCTAACTAATTTAGAGATCTTACTGTTGTTTTAGTCAGGAAATAATGAAATATATCATCAATAAAAAGTTAAAGGAACAAGATGAATCAGTCCAATGGGAGAATCTAAATCTTCCCAGGGATCTGTCCAAATCCATAAAAAGAGTACCATTTGATAGGTAACAGCAGGGGATTAAAGACTGAAGCAGTTTGCTGCAGGCTATGAATGACCTGATCCCTTAATCCATCTGTCTTTTTATATGAGAATGTTATGCTAATTAGCTGAGTAAATTGTTTCCTGATGATATTAATTTTGTGCCTTTCTGTTATTCTAGGCTTTGACTTTCACTGTGATAAAAATATACGAAGGGGCATTTTCAATTTAGATGGTTCCTATCCTGATAAATTCCAACACAGCAATGTTGTGGGGGAAACATGTATAAATAGCAAACTTAATCAATCCCGAGGATAGACATAGATGACTTTAGCTTCCTATATAATCATTCCCTTTAGCTTCTAAAGCATTACATTAACACACTTGAAATGTTAAAACATAATTCAAGGAGAATTTTAGGAAATGCAATTTTCATTGCCCCATTTTCTTTGGAGAAAATCAAGACTTGAATTCATTAACATGGAGGAAGTAATGGAACAGATAGTCGTGATGTGAAATCCTGCAGGTGTTGTGTTCTGATAATGCATATCCTTTACAAGTTTGGGTAAATTATTTGCTTTGCATATAAATTAACTCCAAAGCTGAATCAACATTAGAATAATAAAAATGTAGAGAATATTTTTATTCCAAGGAAGCAAAGATTTATAGCAAAATATATCCAAATCCTAGATGCAATTTCAGGAGGATAGATTTAAAAATATTTATCATACTCCAAAAAGAAAAAGGAGAAAGAAAAAAGGAAAAATACATACAATTGAGAGAAAGGAGGAATGGTTTTGGAAAATACAATATTATGTTATTATTGTTACATTAGGGAGAAAATAATTGAGAATCGATACATTTGTTTTTCAGTATAAAAACAAAAAGATGGCACTTATTTAACAATTCTTAAGTGATGTCTTCTGAGCTCCACTTTATTGGGTATGTATTGTTCCTAAGCTAAAATCTAATTTCAAAATATTACGTATTACAGGTGTAGTGTTGTCTTGGTCTGTGTTGTGTTGCTGTAACAACACCTGAGACTGGGTAATTTATAAAGAAAAAAAGGTTTATTTAGCTTATGGTTCTGGTGGCTGGAAAGTCCAAGACTATGGCATTGGCATCTGTTGAGCTTCTGATGAGAGCCACATGCTATGTCACAGCAAGGCAGAGAAACAAAACGGAAATCAGGCAAATCATTGCTTTATAAAAGAGGCAACTTTCTTTAGAATGACCAGCTCTTATGAGAACTAATCCATTATCATGAAAAATAACCCAGTTTCACCAGAAAGTTATTAATTTGTCTTAATGACCTAATCACCTCTTCAAAGAACGATCTCCTAACACCTTACATGGGAAATTAAATTTTGACATGAATTTTGGAGAGAATAACCCATGTCCAAACTATAGCAAGGGTAAAGACCCCAAATTTACTTAGACATGGGGATTAATAATCATGTGTCATTGCCAATAAACGTTTTCTTTCTTTTGCACTTCCAAAGAATTTTTTCACCACCTATTTTCCTCTATGTTTTTCTTTCTCTAGTATTTCTTTCTCTAAAAATTTGTGCTCGTGTAAATAATTTGCAAATGCAACTTTTTTCTTCTTTGAAATGATAGCTAAATTCAAATTACTTTTATCTTATTCAAAATTCAGAGAAAAATTCAGAAGTGACCTATTAGATGTTTGAGAATGTGCTATACTACATCAGGTGCACAAGTTCCTGTGAATAAGAAGCAAAAAAGCTAGCACTTTCCCTACTTCTGTTTTTAAAGAATAAGCTTATCAATGGATATTGAGGAAAAAAACTACTGGTAATATTTAAATGGTAAAATGGGTATGGTAAAATAATATTACGAGCATTTTTTCAAGTAATACATTTTGAACTTTAAGTTTTCTTCTGTTAATTTTATCTGTTTATAGGAGTAATCCTGTTTTGTTCACTTCAGTATATTCACTATTCCTTTCCCTTACAGTCAAGCATTGGACATGGCCTTGATATTGCTGGTGATTACCCATAGGGCTCAATGTTCATCTTTTGTTTCTAAATTCCAAAAGCAAAGTTGATTCTAAAGGACGATAATAATCATTAATAATTCATAGAATACCCACCTCCAAAACAGAATCAGGAATGCTATAGACAATAATAAGCACACATTAAACCAACTGGGCACTGTGCCCAGAAAATCAGCCAAGTACACACAATAGGCAAGAAAAGAGCTTGTATGTGTGTAAGGAGAAATAAGAAAGGGAAAGCAACGCATAAAAGGCTTCCAAACAGAACAACCAGGGAGTCAACAGATTTTCAAACTTTCACAGAAACCAGAAATATTTTGAAGTCATTTCTGCTGGGTCTACTAACTGTCTTACAATGTAAGATAGCCATGAACCCCAATGGAAGAAGTAGAAGCAAATTGAGTATATTCTAAAAAATTCAAAATTTGTAGGCATATTAAGTTTTAGGTTTTACAAGCTTACAAGTGGTGAATTACAAGACCACAATATAGGTGTAGGTTTATGGGCTTTTTTATTTGTGATGATGACTTAAACCAACCTTCTTTTTTCTATGTGATTTGTTGAAATTAAAGCACTGTACATGTGATTATGACAAGGAACAAGGAGTCTCATGTATATGTTTTCTTATATTATAAAACAGCACCTGAACTTTTTCATGTCAGATCTCTGCTGGCAAATTAAAGGAGGAAAATACCCCCATGAACTGAAGAAACCTATGGAAGTTAGCTTATTGAAATGCTGCCAGAGGCTTCATTTAGAGGGGTTTTTATAGGTAGTAGGTCTAAAGGATACTAGCAAACAAAAAATGCTAACAACATTTTTTTTCCCAAGGGAGAAGTACCCCACCAAATTTATTCCATGTAGGCCTGAGGGTTGGATACTAATTTACTTACCATGTATTTATTATAAAACACTACTTAGGCAGGTGTGACCAAGCTATAATTGGCAAGAAACCAGGGATGTACATTTGCTTTTGTTATTATAGCTAAACTAGAAGAAGACTAAATCCTTTAATAGGAATAAAAAGTTAACACAATGATTTAATTTAGTTCTACTTAGTATAGATAACATTTGGTAGAGCTTCAGGAACTTACTATATATTTTAGCCCTTAATTTGTAATGAAAGCATTGACAGTATAAATCTTGGGATAAACTAGGTAAATAAATTACTTTTTTTGAATATGAATGTTCTTTTTTATTTATCCTGGAGTCATATTCAGTGAAGTGAGAAATGCATTTTGTTAAACTGACACCTAGATTTCAGGGAGAATATACTCAAATGATAAAATATTTATATCAAGAAAATAACTTTTACTCCATGACATTATATTATTTATCAGATATGAGTGTCATTAAAATTCATTTTCAAACTGTGTAAAAGAGAATGACTCCTATGCCAATGTTTTCTTACAGTGTGAAATCTTATATTGATAAAAGTACAATATTTATATATGAAATTTTGGAAAGCTTTGAGCATAAAGTTCTCAGTCACATCATAACATTTTCTCTGACAGTGTGTGTGTCTTAGGGTAGGGAAAGAGAGTGGTTGAATGTCCATATCTTACTAACTAAGATGGTATGCCCACTGTCTTAACAATTTACTTCCTGTATTGACTCGACTAATTAGGCTGCCATAACTTTATTTCTTAATTGTTAATATGTTGGGGAAATTATCAATAAGTATAGAAAATGACAAAGTTATTGTTTCTGAAAAACTATGAAAAAGAGGATAGCCTTACTTATGCAGAGCCTATTAAAAAGAGAGTACTTTTTCTTCTTAAAATGCATAGCTTGACCAGCTCCATTTAACACTGTTTTTTAAAAGACGTGTTAATATCCTAATGGTATAAATGAATTCAGTCATGACTAGTTGAGTCAAAGAGATTTAAAAATTATTTGAACTGTTTTATCAAATTTCTAGCTCATTGTTTAGTGCTAGATATTCACAAAACAAATAGTTAAGTTCCTAAGATTATTGTTGCAAACTGTGGGAACTAAAAGTCTTTAATTACATTACTTTGAAAGCAAAAAGTGATTTCCATGCAAAATATTTTAAAGGATTTCTACCCAATGTCAAATTTTCTCATCTATTCATTTAATAAGCATTGATTAAATATCCGTTGTGTCTTAAAAATCAATGACGAATAACATCCTAAACTTCAGCAAGCATATGGTTGAACACTAAATAAAGAACAAAAACCAAGGTAATTACAGTAGAGTGTTTCAGTGATATATTACCACCAAGAACAGAGAGCTATAAAAATCACTGGAAGAACATCTAACTGAATCTTTGGGGAGTGAAGAAAAGCTTTCTTTGGAAAATAACCTCTAATCTCATATCTAAAGGACCAGTAGGAGTTATCCATAAAAAGGAGAAAGAAAATTCCAGGTAGTTGAAACGGCTTGCTGAATTGCAAGGGCACAGATTACTAAAATGTTTAGTAATACTCATGGTAATTTTGTTTATATTTTTGAAACAGATATCATGTAGTTAACACAATAGGTCAAATCAGGACCTTTGGTACACATAACCCTTTTTCTGTAAGGTGTTGATAGGTATCATTTGAATAAAATTGGCGATATTTAGTGTTTATTGGTGTTTGGGAAAAACATGTGCTTCCTAAAATTTTAGCATATTTTCCTATATGATTTCTCATTAATAAATTAATGCACAAAGCAAATATCCAGGAGGTGTTAATAGTAAGCAGTAATTTCCAAAATTGCGTGACCAAGAAACTTTTTACTCATAGAATAACTGAAATACTTTTCTCAGGAATATACTTTGAGAAATATTGCTTAAATACATGTGGAAAAAAAGTGTTCTAAATCCAAGTTCTTTATGATGGAGATTACTGAATCCAAGTGTTCTAAATCCAAGTTCTTTATGGTGGAGATTACTGAAAAAGTATGGGAGAAAATTATACATTTTGATAGAAAATCGTAAGAGTTGAATGGTGTTTGCCCAAAAGGTTTGTCCACCCAGAATCTCACAGTCTGACCTCAATTGTAATAAGCATCTTTGAAGATGTAATAAGGTAATAAAGTGTGCTCATCCTCTATTACAATAAATTCTAAATCTAATGAGTGTCCTTATAAGAGATAGAATAACAGAAAGACACAGAAAAAGCGGGGAGGCATGTGAAGACAGAGTCAGAGAGACTGGAAAGACAAAAACCGCTAAGAATTGCTGACAGCATGGAATGGGTTTCTTCTGGGTCTCCAGTGGAAACCAATACTGCCAACACATTCATTTGTCTTCTGGCCTCCAGACCTGTGAGAGAATCAATTTCTGTTGTTTTAAGTCATCAAGTTTGTTGTAATTTGTTATGACAACCCTGGAAACCTAATACAACAATGTGATGTTTTAGAACCAGTTGTGTTCGAACAAATTTAAGCCTTAACTCATATTCTTACCAAACAGTCCCCAATGAATTATGGATGTCCTTTGATTTCATGTCCTTGCATTATCCTCCCAACCAGACAATAGATTAGCCTTGTGAATTAGTTGAGCCATGAGAATGCAGCTAAAGAGACACTGTATAAGTTTCAGTCCTAGGCTTAAGGAAGCTTTATAGCTTTTGTTTACTCTGTCTTTTACCTTGAGCCACTGTGCAAAGATGTCTAGGTTAGCGTCCTTGTGGATGAGACACCTTATGATGAAAAAGACCAGGAGGAATGAAAGACTGGGAAGATAGAGAGGAAGACCCAGTTAGTTTCTAGTCATTCCAGCACAACATATGAATGGGGCCAGCTAGGATCCTCCAGTCCCTATGGAGCTGCCTCTAAATACAAACATATTAAATAGTCCAGCAGAAGACACCATCTAGGGAAGAGATGAGCCACCCAGCTGAGTTCAGCCCAGATTGAAGAATCATGAGCAGGTCCATCTGTGCTACTTAGCTGTTTTAAGCTGCTATGTTTAGACTGGTTTATTATGCAGCAATAGAAAGCTGTAACCATCTAATATGATTATCAAGTATGTGTTTTTAAAACAAAGACAAAAAAGATGAACAGATATAAGATTAGGTTGTGTGCTGTAGCAAAGGTGGATTTGACCTTTTTTTAAGTTAAGAATTTTGATAATCTACCATACATTTTTAAATTCTTTCTTGCATTAACTTTATCTCTGGATAAAAAATTCAGGCCACCTGTAAGTAAATAGAAACAGTAGGCATAAATACACAAAAGGAAAGTTATATTAAAATTCTGCAGAAATGTAACAAGAATAAAAAACCTGAACTGGATTTTTAGGATGTTCTACACTCAGCTTTTATGAGAAACAGACAAATGACAATCTCATGCCAAGGATTTGTTTTAAAAGGCTGTATAACAGGTAGACCATTGACTAACACATGTTTTACCACCTTTATCTTCAGAGTACTGCAGACAAATGATATTCATAATGACTCTACACGATATTGAAATGGTATCTGAATATTAACAACTAAATTCTGACCAGTTATGATTTAAAACATTTAGCTATTTATTGATTGTTATTTTTTTAAAAACTTGGAATGTGCATTATATGTATATTTAACTATAAAGTCACTGAACATTTAATTAACATATGTCCTGTTTTTCAATCATTACTAGGAGTAATCTTTATAGAAATACAAGTAGCAACCATTACCACAAATGAATTCTCATAAGAAACAGTTATTCAAGTCTTTTTCTCTCTCTCTTTGTCAAACGCATGTGCACACACACACACACACACACACACACTTTGTATGCCTGTGGATTGTGTGAGAGAGAGAATGAGACTGTAAATACAGAATTATATCAGAATTCTTGTAGCAAATAAGCCATCAGGAAAATTGAGCCAACTTAGTCTTGGTCTTGTGAAGGACATTTTCTCTTTTCTGACCTAGTCTTTTCTATTAAGTGAAAGATGTCACACAATGACCACTCATCTATTTTTGATGGATACATGAATTGTACATTACATGGAAAGAAGAGAGAAAATAATCCTAATTTTACATAATGTACAGGTTAGAAAGCCTGATACAGACTAATATAAAATTAATGCTTTGAATAAATTTGTTTATACTATTGCTCTGTTAGAGTGTTGCTACTTTTGGTTTGTTTTTCAATTGTTTTTCCAATATGTATTTAGTTTGATTTTTAATAATCTTCTCTCTCTCTTTTTTCTTTTCTTCTCCTTTACCTCTTGCTCCTCTTCCTTACTCTCCTTGCCTTCCTCCTCAGTCTCCTCATCCTCATCTTCCTCCTCATCCTCTTTCTTTGTTTTCATTACAAAATAAAATAAGCAATCAGAAAAGTTCATACAGATATTGTTACTTATCTTTAGGGACCTGGATCTAACTTAGTGCTGTTGCTTCTGTTTCTTCTCTTTTGTCCTCCTCTTCTTTTTCTCCTTTGTGTCCTGTTTTACTTTTTAAAAATAGATGCCACAACTCTGATTTTTAATCTGATTGTGTAAATGATCCTTAATAGTAAAATCAATTTTAATATCTTATAAAACAGAAGCACAGCAAAGCATTTTGCAGAATTTACCATAAAGTAAATAATAACCATTCCTAGTATGATAATGCTGCAACTATTTTTCTTTCATCCTCTGCAACATTTTTATCTGACACAGTCTCTGCTGTTTCCAAGTTCAACGTCCTGCAGCAAGCCTTGCCAGCAATACAGAATACTTTCAATTAGTAGTTCTCTACTTCTCTGGTCGCTAAGCAACTGACCTGTGGTGAAGAATACATAATGATCTGCATAGACACCTTAGAGCAATAGAAAGTATAAGCTTCACAAGTTTCATTTGCTCTCTTGTGTTGATGTTACAACAACCAGTTAAATGCATGGAAATATTTGATAGTAGTTTGCTATAATAAACTTTAATAAAGATTAGAGGAAGCCTTGGAGAAAGGTAGAAATAAACACAACATAAAATATTGTATTTGTCATTTGTTCATGTATGTCATTTTATTGTTTATAGGGAGGGTAAGCAATCAGGTTAATATTTTATTAAATGTTTATATTCTAGCTACTGTTTAAGACAGAATTCATCAAGTAGCAGAAGTGATGGAAGGGCCAAGGGGAAGAAAGATGGACAAAACCTGAAAATTGAAAGTGCAATAAAATGAAAATTACAAATGAAAACCAGTATGCCTGAGATATACATGACTGTTTAGTAGAGTGTCTTCATGTGGGTTAAAGAAGAAAAGGAATTACCAGCTGGAATCAGCAGAACAGATTTAGCACTTGACCCTTGGATACTTTTCATTCTATTTATCTATCATATTTTTATTGGTTTGTATTCCATTGACTACTATATGCACCGACCCTCAGCAAATTCATTCAATAGAGAGGAGAGATTATATCTCCACTGTATCAGTGGAGCTGCTTAGGAACATTTCTCCCGCTTCTTGTATGTATTTTGTCCTATTTGTACATTGTATTTTATGAGCTGCTTTAGAATAGTAGAATAACTTTCCTTTATATGGTATAGAACTTTTGATATATCTCAAAGAAATTTTTAAAAAATGATCAATTGAAATGTATGTTCTCATACTGTATGTGCAAATATCAGTAGAACAAACACTAAGGATTAATGAAAATGAAAATCCTAATATATTAAACTTAGAAAAATAGACTAAATATTTACTGAAAAGAAACAGATAACCAAAATTTCGTGATACACAATGAAAAGCCTTGAGACATTAAAGAGGACTTTCACTGTCTTTGATGATGTCATCTTTTACATATTAAGTTCTTCTAGCATGGTAACTAGAACTAAACTTTTAACTTCCTTTTAAACCACACACTGAATGCATCTGTGAAAAAGACCTGCATACTACAAGATAACTTTAATTACATGTCTTCTGTGGGGTCCGTGCTTTTAGTTTAGTATAGGTTTATGCAAAGTGATACTATTGGTAATGTGTAATTTAAACACACACACAAACTAACAGGCCCTGCCGCCTATCAATGTCTGGGTGATATCAGAGAAGGCCGTGTGGGAATCTAGAACTTTCTTCTCTGCCAGGTAGTTACAATGTGCCCCGTCCTTCTCCACCAGATTCCTTAGGTGTCAAAGTAAACTAAGTGAGAAGGTGGAACTTTCACCATCATCTAGTGGTAAAAAGGACCAAGGCCTCCTGAGGTTTGCCTTCCCTTCAGTGTAGGCCATAGTGGGAGCAGAAACAAGAAAAAAATCCCCCACTCTCCAAAGGTGGTTGAGCAGGGATAAATTTTTATCACCACCTAGCAATAACAAGGCACCCCCACTTTCACCATGTGTGGTGTCACAGGAGGTTTATTTCCAAGAGTTAAAATACAGAGCCTCATAGCATAATATCCAAATTACCCTAGATACGTTGAAAATTACTCAGCATGTCAAGCACCAGAAAAAAATCTCATCTTGAATGAGATAACACATGCCAACACAGTGATAACACATAAATTAGATTTATTCACAAGGATTTTAAAGCCACCACCATAAACATGTTTTAATGAGCAATTGCGAATATGCTGGAACAAATGAAACAATGGAAAGCTTTACAAAGAAATAGAAGATGCCAAGAGACAAATAGAAATTTTGGCACTGAAAAATATAATTGAAACTTTAAAAAATACTTGATGGCTCAGTAGGGTAATGGAGGAAATAGAGAAAAGAATAAGTGAACTTGAAAATAGGACATTAAAAATTTACTAATCCAAAGACCAGAGGGAATATAGACTGAAAATGAAAAAAAAAAAAAAAAAGAACAGAGCCTCAAGGACCTATAAGACTATAGCAAAAAATCTACTATTCATGTCACCAGAGTCCTAGAAGGAAAGGCAAAAGTGGGTTGGGCTAAAAATATATTTGAAAAAATAATGTCCAAAACGTTTTCGAGTTTGGCAAAAGACATACAACTACAGATTCAAGAAATGAGAAAATCTAAAATGGGACAGACACAAAAAAATCAACAAAGAAACAGGGCAATTTCAGAAAACAGCAGAAGAAAAAATCTTGGAAACAGTGAGGTAAAACAATGCTTCATCTCTCCAGAAGAAAAACAATTTGAATGACAATGATTTCCTGTCAGAAATAATGGTGGCCAAAAGGAAGTGATATATTTCTCAAGTACTGCAAAACAAGAACTGTCAATCCAGTATTCTGTATTAGGCAAAAATGTCCTTTAGAAATGAAGGAGAATTAAATAAATTCTCAGAAGAAGAAAAATTAAGAATCGGTTGCAAACAGACCTACCCTAAAGAAAAGCAAAAAGTTCTTGAAACATAAAATGAATAAGGGGCCTGAAATCATCAGAAAAATGTAAGAGTAACAGAAAGAGCAAAAATATGAGTAAGTACAACAGATTTTTCTTCTTGAGTTTTCTAAATTATGTTTGACTTTTGAATCAAAAACTGTAACATCGAAATGGTTATCAATACCTAAATGAAAAATTTTAAAAATTATATAAACAAGGATGGGTAAAGAGACTTCCAACAAGATAAGATTTTTACACTTCACTAGAAGTGTTAGATATTTTGATAGTGGTAGTGGTCACAAGAATTTACACATGTAATAAAATGACAGATGTATGCATACACATTTTTTCAATGTCAATTTCTTGGTTTTAATGTTTTACTGTAGCTATAAAAAAAAAATGTAACCACTGGGGAAACTAGGTGAAGAGTATGAGAGACCTCTCTGTACTATATTTGCAACCTTCTGTAAATCTATAATAATTTCAAATCAACAGTTAAAAAATAAAAATATATCTAATAGACCAATAGTTTCATATGGAGGGCAGAATGATTTTAAAAAAATGAGATATTTTGTTTATGCATACCTGTAAAGGCATCTATGAAAGGTATTATTAACATTTGAAATTATGTAAGTCCAATGCTGCAGGAACATGGGCATACTATAGCTTATTTTAGATGCTTTAGAAAGCCAAAGTCATCTCTGGTAAGTTCTACATTGATGATAATAACCTGAGAGACTTCTCAGTCTCCAAAATTGCACTATTTCTAAAATATAAGTAAATATTCCCTTCATCCTAAATCTTTCAAAGTTTAAGAATGTCATTGATAGTCTTTGCTTTAGAGGAAAATACAGAGATCAAGAAAAAAGGTCTGGAAAAATGAAAAAATAATTTTAAAAGCTTCCTCAGAGAGAAAGAGTTTCAGACGGATACAGTTTAACTATATTAACTCAGCCATGAATTTCTTACTTCTCTTCTAGTACCGGTTACTCTTTTGCTGAATGAATCTACCTTATGAACACAAGTTAAAAAAAATGTACCCATGATAAGTAAAACATATTAAATACAGCTATTTTTATAAAAGTTTCAAGTCAAAAATGGATCCATTTCTGTTCTTCTTCTTACAGGGAGTTGCTTATTCCGCATCCTTCATTAAAAGGGCCAAAAAGTATACTCATCTGTAGTAGAGAATATGCATAATGTTTATTAACTCATGCTTATTATAATATTAACACATTATCTGCCACTCCAAGAATGTGGGCATATTTAGAAAATGTTCAATATGGTATCTATAAATTATTCTATGGCAGACTTTGATTTAATTCTTTTCATCTTCATTTAATAACAGTGGAGTGGTTCTTAATATCATATTTTCATTATTTGCATGTCCTTTGCAAGAAGGCTTGGGAACCTATTTACCCCAAAATAAGTTCCAAACAGGTCAGACTTCTAATTGTTCATACAAATAACTAAGGATTAGAAATATAGATGCTATACAATTCTAATATAAATCTTTTGGTATTAACCCCTCACCATTGAAAACACATTAACTGACTTGTAGTGTTTGATCATTTCCACACAAAGAAGATGGATCACTGTATGTCTCTTAATATCTACATAGCCTTAAACCAGAAGATAGAACATGATTGTTCAGGAGAGTCACATGATTTCAATCAAATTATTGAAAGTATGTCATTTGAGCAGAAATAACACAATGTGCAGAATACTGCAAGTGAATTTTCTTTTCGCCAAATAGTGTGAGCTAAATCATGTTTACTATAGTGATAATATTAATTATTCTATGGATATGCTAGAATTATTCTACTGATCTTATGTTGTTTTCTGACCACATTTTCCAAAACACTTTAAATTGTGCTTTACCCTTTCATACCCTTTTATTGTTTACTGATTCATTCCACAAATTAAAATTAACTAATTGGTACTAATGTGTACTGAAACAAAAAACAATAATGTCACTTCAGATTGTGACTGATTCTTAAAATATTCTCCATGGTCTTCGTGGCCTAATGGTTTTAAGTTATACACACAGTATTTCACTTAAAATATTATGGAAAGCAGCATCTGGAGCTTTAAACAAGTTACTTAGTTTATATCTGTAGTTTATAAATCATGATGTGTTAAACTTTATTATGATCTTACAATTTGAATTTAATTCTTTTATAGTGTCTCTAGGCTCTCCTGATGATAGATAGATAGATAGATAGATAGATAGATAGATAGATAATTTTCCTTTTAGAAAACCTCTTGCTTTTCTCATATCCCACTCTCTGACAGCATTATATTCAAGAGCAAGGGTGGGAAATGTGTTGACTGCCAAGGTATTAGATAGCTAGGTTAAATGCCAAAATTAAACTGATATAAAAAGTAATACAGAAACAAGAAAAAAAAGTGGAAAATGAAAACATAACCTTGTAAAGTTTTTATTCTAATATACAGGTATGTTAATGAAAATAATAGAATCGTTTCTGAAAGACATAAATGGACAGTATTGTTTTATGAATACATCAGTAAGAAAATACTTTAACAGGAACGGGAAATTCTCCAGGTTCAGTGTGAGATTTCCACCTATAATTTTCATTTGGCTGGCGAAACTGACTTGCGTTACTTGAGTTATGCTATTTTAAAAGTATTTGTCACCAGTATGTATCCCTTCTTTGATATTTTTCCTCCCTTCTACAGTGACTTTTAAAATCCAAATCTAATCAAGCTGCCACTGAGGACATATTGTTATATTAAACATACAAATGTTTAAGCCTTATTAAATACAGACTGGGTTTCAGTAAATCAGAAACGGTTAAAAAAAAAAAAAAAAAAAGCCAGGCGCGGTGGCTCACGCCTGTAATCCCAGAATTTTGGGAGGCCGAGGCGGGCGGATCACGAGGTCAGGAGATTGAGACCATTGTGGCTAACATGGTGAAACCCCGGCTCTACTAAAAATACAAAAAAATAGCCAGGCCTGGTGGCGGGCACCTGTAATCCCAGCTACTCTGGAGGCTGAGGCAGGAGAATGGCGTGAACGCGGGAGGCAGAGCTTGCAGTAAGCGGAGATCGCGCCACTGCACTCCAGCCTGGGCGACAGAGCAAGACTCCGTCTCAAAAAAAAAAAAAAAAAAAAAAAAGTGGATGAAAAATAGTATAAAAGGAATTACTCCCTAATTATTTATATTGTGCTAAATAAAATTCCCAGTTCCACAACCAAAATGTAATGACTGCACCATTTTTCACTTTTTCTAGATGTGGTCAGAGACTTTAAATGAGAGAAATGATACATGCATATACTTGGAGAGTAATAGGTATTGCTGAATAATATAAAGTTTGAGAATACACTTTTGCTTAAAACGTAAAATTGGTGATTTATATTATTTTATTTTTAAATGTAGAAATAGCTAAAGTATAAATTTTGTATAATGCAAGTGCTTTTCCTAGGTTTTAGTTTTGTTTTAATTTAGGAGTAAGGGTAAAGAAGCTATTTATAAATAGTACTAAGTCTGTGTGTTCTTTTCTCTAAATACATCTTGATGTGTTACGAAGATCAAATGTTCTGAAAAAGCAAATTTCCTCTAAACCTGAGTCCTCTCTTTCACTAGCAGAGAGAAAAAGTCTCTGCTAAAGTTACTGGATGAAAACAGAAACTGTATATTTGACTCTATTAAAGGAAAAAATAAAATGTTTTTTATAATATTAAGTCAACTTGAAATAAAAGAAAAAAGTTAGCTATTCAGGCCTGTCCCTAACATTTGTGGAAGTTCAGAAGTATTGCAAATCTAGACCCACATATTAATGACTACATATTTATAAGACATCAATCAAGCTTAAGAACTGTTAAAGTGTATTGAAATTCCTACATTGACAACTTCATAACAACTTAAAAAATTAAATTGAAATCTGCATTCTTGGACTGCCAGGAGAGGTCCACAATGGAATGTGAGGATTGGAAAGAGGCCCCAGGTCATAGCCAATTTCATTCTCTTTCCACCCCTCTTTCCATCTTGCTGGATGAGGGGTTTGTTACATCCAAGATACTGCAGCCTATTTGTCCAGCATCTCCTCATGAGACATCCCTTTGACCAAGGGTTGTACACACCAGTCCACCTTCAAAAAGGCTGGTGTAGGGAATGGCCTTGAATAGACCTTGAAAGCAATCTTAGGACCTTTTATTTCTCCTAAAGAGGAATCCAGAGTCTTGAGTATTGGTACATTGGCATAGCACATGGATGGGCATGAGTCTTGTTTCACATGAGCACATTCACTTGTTTTGTGGACTCATCGCCACTTCCCCTTCTACTCTCCTTCCCAGCCCCCATGGGAGGAAGGTGAAAGTGGTTTGTGGTTCACTCTAAAGGGCTGGCCTAGAACCTGAGTTCCTCTTCCCTTTAGTCTAAGTTTAGCACTGCAACTATCTTGTTCCACTGTTCACATTTACCACGAAATGGGTCAAACATACAAAGAGAGCCTAAAGACACTTTTAATACATATTCGTAAATGAAAGTTTATTAATAAAATTGAAGGAGACGTATCAACACATAGTCACTTCTTTTCTAGAAAACACTCCCTACTTTATAGAATTGCTATGTGTATAGTTCCTCAGTAAGTGCTATGTGTGAACAGAAGATGTAGAATACAGATCTTTTATCTTCAGGTCACTTAATATCCAAGTCTGAACATAAGAAACATAAACACAAAAAAGTAACTTTCAGAAAAGTGCTATGCAATATATATTGGGGATCTTCTAAGGAGGGAGATGCCATCGTGGACTATGATGATCAAAGAAAGGTTAATAGAGCTTCCTATTATGTGATACTCTTCAATAATATGGGGAAGATGAAAAATGCATTATGGATTATTCAAAAGACAAGTGCAAATTTGGTGATAAGCATAGAAAACATTCAGAAGTATAGAATGCATACATTAGACAGAATAATGTGATTGTTTCAGAATATTTGAATATACAATTAGAAGTAAATGTTGGGACAAATTATGAAGGATTTAGAATATTAGATGTGAGAATTTGAACTTTATTCATAAATAATCAAAAAAGAAAATGATTGTAAATTGCTCAAAAAAGGGCTATCCATCAAAAGGAGAGTCAGGGAATAACATGTATTTTGTGCATTCAAAAAAAAAATCAAAAGACTGTCTTCCACTTTCACCTTTTAAGTGTAAGGGTCACAGAAGGTAAAGAAAGTAGAAATAAATTTGAGAAATCATTGAAAAAAAGAATTTAAGTATATGAGTAGGCATAGGCAAACCAAGGTAATGACAATGTCTGTGACCACAAATTTTTGATCAGTTTGACAATAGTACCTTTGACATAAATAGGAGAAACTTGAGTCAGGAACTTTGTCCTTTACTCATAGCACCTGGCATAAGAGCTGGAGCCAGTTTTATGTTTTTGCTAGTTTTTGTTTGTTTTCTTTATACATAAAACAAAGTAAAAAATGAAAATGGCCAGAAAAAAGTTGGAAATTTGAGACTGGATCTCAGGATAGGTATTATGATGTATTTTTAGTATACTCATTTACATAGAGATGATGGTTTACACTATTTTGAGAAAAAGTAATGGTTTAGATGGAAAGTTAAAAATCAAGAAAAGAAATAAAGCATTAGACAGAAACAAAAATATTCAGGATAGGTTCATGTTATAGAAGCCTTAAAAGGACAGGTTGATAGATTTTAAAAATATTACAGTAAATAATGATGTTAGAAAGAAATTGATCACAAATTTCTCACCAAACATGCTATCACAATCAGATTACCTCAAACCAGAATGTAATCAAAACCATTGCCTCTTTCTCTAACAACAAAGATTACTATTTACTACTGCTGTAGCATTTTGATACCTTCAGGTCTATAGGAAAGGAATAAAACACCAAATGATTCTCAGCACAAAAATGGATAATGAATATCCATTTATTGTTATTAAAATAATGGGCATGATTATGCTAATAGGTAACATTCTTTCTTTAGTATGAAATTGCATTGTATTGTGTCTAAGAAAAAGTGTTGGTTGTTTTTGCAAAGTATAATTCAGGAGATTAATTGTATTCACCAATCCACAGTTTTCACTAATGAGAAGTGAACTGGAATTTGAAAGCACATACACTTTTCCCCTTAAACAATTGCCCACTCCATTTTGCAAGCTGAGAAATGGAGAAAGAGGGATATCAATCTAGGTAAAGTCTGAGGTGCTACTTGTATTAACAGGACTCAGGAATCAAAAATCTGTACTTCCTCCCATAAAAAGGGGTGTGATTTTTCCCTGTAGACAGTGAGTTAATGTGGCTGCCTTCAAAGGCAAACAGACTTCAATGTGACTAGAAGAAAAGGACAATGGAGTGTCCCCAAAAGAGAGGCATGTTTTTTAATGAATGAAAAACCAGAGATACTTTACAAAATAATAGAATAGCATGGCTTAGTTATTTTCATTACATTACAATACATTTAGTAGACTGTCCTGTCCTTCAGAAATAAGAGCCACAGTGAAATGACAATAATACATAGTAACCCTTTACTATGAGCCTAACACTAAAAATATTATTTTGTATTTATTGTTTTATTTAATTTTCACAAAAATATAATGCCTATACTACCAATACACACTTTTGCAGATGAGAAAATTGTATCAGAAGATGTAATGAAATTCTTCAACTTTACATACCTAATAACTGCTAAGATTGGCATTTGAATATACTTTGTCTGATTTTAGAGATTGTGACCTTAACCACTATGTCATACTTCCTTCCTGAAGTGTTACTGATTCACATAGACACACAAATCTGGGCTTGGCTAGGTTCCTTTTCCCAAAGAGAGAGATGGGAAAATCTACTCCTTAAATGGACTATCAAACCAAACTTTAGATATCTTAGTCACAGAATACTATAAGTTAGTATATTTTATTTCTTAGTAGGTTATTAATGAAAAATTTTAGGAAGAAACTTAAAGCATAACAACACATTGTTACAATAGGGAGTTAGAGATGAAATATTTTTAATAAAGGAAGGACTATGTAATAGTAGCCATATCAAGGAGGTCTTTTGGAATGGACTAACATGAGTCTGCATTAGTACAGGAGGAACCACAGAGGATTAACAGCTTAAAGCTGATAGAGAATATTTGATGCTAGAGATAAAAGGAATTGATTGAATTTAAAGTTCTAGTGGAAAAGTTAGTCTGGACAATGGGCACTGAAAATTCAAGAATGGGTGATTTCAAATGTAGGAAAATGTGAGCTAGGATGATTTATAGGTACATAAAGGAGCTCTTTATAGATGGTCACTGATGGTTTCAATAAAGTAGAAATGAGTTCATTTGTCAAGAATAAAGAAATTGGGACCATTGGGAGCTTAAGGTGATTAGGCAAAGCTTGGCATAGATGCTGATAGAAGTGTATCAGAAACGTAACAGGTCCAATCTTACTGATCTACCTTTATTGATTCATTTGTTTACTTGTTCATTCACTTTTTATTTAACAAAGAATTTAGTCATAACATTTTATATTATATTTATGTATATATTTAAATTATATTTATATTTATTTAGCTCCCCACCCCACAACAGGCCCCAGTGTGTGATGTTCCCCTGCCTGTGTCCATGTGTTCTCGTTTTTCAACTCCCACTTATGAGTGAGAACATGCGATATTTGTTTTTCTGTTCCTGTGTATTTTTGCTGAGAATGATGGTTTCCCACTTCATCTGTGTCCCCAGGAAGGACATGAACTAATCCTTTTTATGGTTGCATAGTATTCCATGGTGTATATGTTTCACATTTTCTTTATCCAGTCTGTCATTGATGAGCATTTTTGTTGGTCCCAAGTCTTTGCTATTGTGAATACTGCTGCAGTAAACATACATGTGCATGTGTCTTTATAGTAGAATGATTTATAATCCTGTGGGTATATACCCAGTAAAGGGATTCCTGGGTCAAATGATATATCTGGTTCTAGATCCTTGAGGAATCACCACATTGTCTTCCACAATGGTTGAACTAATATACATTCCCACCAACAGTGTAAAAGCGTTCCTATTTCTCCACATCCTCTCCAGCATCTGTTGTTTCCTAACTTTTTAATGATATCCATTCTAACTGGCTTATGCCAGATGGCATCTCATTGTGGTTTTTTTTAATTATACTTTAAGTTTTAAGGTATATGTGCACAACATGCAGGTTTGTTACATATGTATACATGTGCCATATTGGTGAGCTGCGCCCATTAACTCATCATTTAACATTAGGTATATCTCCTAATGCTATCCCTCGTCCCTCCCCCCACCCCACGACAGGCCCCGGTGTGTGATGCTCCCCTTCCTGTGTCCATGTGTTCTCATTGTTCAATTCCCACCTATGAGTGAGAACATGCAGTGTTTGTTTTTCTGTCCTTGCGATAGTTTGCTGAGAATGATGGTTTCCAGCTTCATCCATGTCCCTACAAAGGACATGAATTCATCATTTTTATCTCATTGTGGTTTTGATTTGCATTTTTGTAAAGCCCAGTGTTGAATTTTTTTCATGTGTTTTTTGGCCACATAAATGTCTTCTTTTGAGAAGTGTCTGTTAGTTTGCTTCGCTCACTTTTTGATGGGATTGTTTTTTTTCTTCTTGTAAATTTGTTTAAGTTCCTTGTAGATTCTGGATATTAGCCCTTTGTCAGATGGGTAGATTGCAAAAAATTTCTCCCATTCTTTAGGTTGCCTGTTCACTCTGATGATAGTTTCTTTTGCTGTGCAGAAGCTTTTTAGTTTAATCAGATCTCATTTGTCAATTTTGATTGTTATTGCTTTTGGTGTTTTAGTCATGAAGTCTTTGCCCATGTCTATGTCCTGAATGGTATTGACTAGGCTTCCTTCTAGGGTTTTAATGTTTTAGGTCTTATGTTTAAGTCTTCAATGCAGCTTGAGTCAATTTTTGTATAAGGTGTTAAGGAAGGGGTCCAGTTTCAGTTTTCTGTATATGGCTAGCTAGTTTCCCAACACCATTTATTAAATAGGGAATACTTTTCCCATTACTTGTTTTTGTCAGGTTTGTCAAAGATCAGATGGTTGTAGATGTGTGGCATTATTTCTGAGGCCTCTGTTCTGTTCCATTGGTCTATATATCCATTTTGGTACCAGTACCATGCTGTTTTGGTTACTGTAGCCTTGCAGGGGTTGCAAACCTAATATCTGATAAAACAGACTTTAAAGCAACAAAAGTGAAAAAAGACAAAGAAGGGCATTACATAATGGTAAATGGATCAATGCAACAAGGAGTGCCAACGATTATATATATATATATATATATATATATATATACACCCAATATAGGAGCACCCAGATTGATAAAGCAAATTCTTAGAGACCTACAAAGAGACTTAGACTCCCACACAATAATAGTGGGAGACTTTAACACCCCACTGTCAATATTAGACAGATCAAGAAGACAGAAAATTAACAAGGATATTTAGGACTTGAACTCAGCTCTGGACCAAGCATACCTAGTAGACATTTACAGAACTCTCCACCCCAAATCGACAGAATATGCATTCTTCTCAGTACCACATCACACTTACTCTAAAATCGACCACATAATTGGAAGTAAAACACTCCTCAGCAAATGCAAAAGAATGGAAATAATAACAAACAGTCTCTCAGACCACAGTGCAATCAAATTAGAACTCAGGATTAAGAAACTCACTCAAAACCGCACAATTACATGGAAACTGAACAAGCTGCTCCTGAGTGACTACTGGGTAAATAATGAAATTAAGGCAGAAAGAAATAAGATCTTTGAAAACAATGAGAACAAAGACACAACATACCAGAATCTCTGGGACACAGCTAAGGCAATGTTTAGAGGGAAATTTATAGCACTAAGTGTCCACAGGAGAAAGCAGGAAAGATCTAAAGTTGACACCCTAACATCACAATTAAAAGAACTAGAGAAGCAAGAGCAAACAAATTCAAAAGCTAGCAGAAGACAAGAAACAACTAAAATCAGAGCAGAACTGAAGGAGATAGAGACATGAAAACTCCTTCAAAAAATCAATGAATCCAGGAGGGGTTTTTTTGAACAGATCAACAAAATAGATAGACCACTACCCAGACTAATAAAGAAGAAAAGAGAGAAGACTCAAATAGACACAATAAAAAATGATAAAGGGGATATCACTACTGATCCCCCAGAAATACAAACTACCATCAGAGAATACTATAAAAACCTCTACACAAATAAACTAGAAAATCTAGAAAAAATTTATAAATTCCTGGACACATCCACTCTCCCAAGACTAAACCAAGAAGAAGTCAAATCCCTGAATAGATCAATAACAAGTTCTGAAATTGAGGCAGTAATTATAGCCTACCAACCAAAAAAAAAGGCCCAGGACCAGATGGATTCACAGCCAAATTCTACCAGAGGTACAAAGAGGAACTGGTATCATTCCTTCTGAAATTATTCCAAACAATAGAAAAAGAGGTACTCCTCCCTAACTCATTTTATGTAGTCATCCTCTTTTTAAAGTACATTCTTATCATGATAAATAAAATAGGAATTTCTTGATTTATTTTATCTAATTATTTTATCTTGCCCTAATCTCTAATCTCTATTTTTATTTCCTTCTGCTTCTCCCTCTTACTTCAATTGCATTCATGTGTTTGTGGTAGACCCTTGAATATGCATTTTTTGAAAACTATAAAATTTTGTGGTTGTTTTTGAGTTATATGTTGTATATATAGTTTTTACTTTTGTAAATCCAACACTATATTATTAAGACCTATTATTGTTATCGTGTGTATCTTTACCTCATTTTTTTTTCATGCTGCACAGCACACTATTACTTCTTCTTCTTTTTTTTTTTTTTTGAGATGGAGTCTCGCTCTGTTGCCCAGGCTGGAGTGCAGTGGCATGATCTCGGCTCATTGCAACCTCTGCCTCCCATGTTCAAGCATTCTTCTGCCTCACCCTCCCGAGTACCTGGAACTACAGGCGCGTGTCACCACGCCTGGCTAAGTTTTGTATTTTTAGTAGAGATGGAGTTTCACCATATTGGACAGGCTGGTCTCAAACTCCTAACCTTGTGATCTGCCCGCCTCAGCCTCCCAAAGCACTGTGATTATAGGCATGAGCCACCACACCTGGCCTGTATTCCATTTTATAAACAATTGTGTGTGTGTGTATTACAGTGATAGATTCTTTGCCTCCTTCCAACTCCCTGCAACAACAAATGTCTCTACTAGATATCATATCCTTTCATGAGTTTAAACTTAAGTTTATTTGCCATGTGGATCAAGAGTAGGATTGCTGGTTCATAGGTTTGGATTTCATTTCACTCCACATTGCTCTCTGGATAGTTGCATCAGTCTGTACTCCCATCAGCAGTACATGTGAAGTCTAGTTTTCTAAATTTAAAAAAAAATTTGTTATTATTTGAACATTATCTTCCATCTCACTAATGAGCACTCCTCAAATTTAACCCTTCTGCTGTTTATACCATATATTTAATCCTTCATTTCAACAGATATGGTTTTCATACTGAAAAAATATTTTATGATTGCTAATTTCTTCTTCAGGTTCAAATATTGTGCCTTATGTCTTTGAGAACATTTACTATACATATTTTTGGATTTATTTTAACTTTTTTTTTCTTCAGAGACAGTGTCTTTCGGTTACTCAGGCTGGAGCAAGTGCAGTGGTGACAGCCTCCTAGCTAACTGCAGCCTTGACCTCCTGGGCTCAAGAGATTCTCCTGCCTCAGCCTCCTTGGTAACTGGGACTACAAGTGCATGCCGCCACACCTAGGTATTTTTTTTAATTATTATTTATTTTGTAGAGACAGGAGCTCTCTTGGTTGCCCGAGCTGATCTCAAACTCCTAGCTTCAAGCAATGCTCCTGTCTTGGACTCCCAAAGTGCTGGGATTACAGACGTAAACCACCACATATGGTCACATATTTTAAACTATTGTTAATTTTTGTAAATCTGGTTGTCTTTGATATACATGTATTTTATTTTAGAGTCATTGAATTCCTTTGAGGCCTATTTTTTCCTAGTAAGATTTATTATGCTGATTAAGAATACATGGCACTAAAATCAGGCTCAAGATTGACCCACCAGAAGTGTTTAGAATGAAGGACTCCTTAGGAAATAACTGGATTCTGCCACCCTTTGTTTGCCTTCCTCCTCCATAAAAGTTGGTGTATTCACGTGTCCTGGGTGGTGCTGTTTACCAAGACTGGTCTCCCTCAGTTTTAATCACCATCCTAACACTCATTGTATGGAGTAGCTGGGTTAGAGGAGAATGCCTAGGGTTCAGATGGTCTTTCTGCATTTGTCACTATTTCCTCATTTTCCAAGCTAGGTTGAGTCATATTCTGCCTGGCCGACTCCAAAATGGCTTTAAAGGAGTTAGCAGTGGTCTCTTTTCAACTCTAGTTTTGCTAGAATGGGAGCTCCATTTGGTCAAAGTTTTGTCTTTCTGGCTCTGTAGTGTATTCTCAGTATTTAGAAGAGTGCCTTGCACACTGTGGGTACTCTAACTATTGAAAGAGCAGAAAAAAATACAGGAATGCAATGAAAAGGAATGATGACCACTAAAAACTTCCGCCCCAGCATATTCTGGTTTCCTTACATCTCAGTTTTCTGCTCTTTGCTGTCATTTTTTTCTCTACTCGCAGACTTTACTGTAGTTTGTAACTGCAAAGGTTTCTCACATCTTTTAGTATTAGATGCTGATTTCTGTGTCATTTCCAGGGTTGTGGTCACAGAAAGAAGCCCACATCATGTTAGTTCTCCATCTTACCAGATAAAGCTTAGCTTAATGTACTTCTATGCCAATTTCTTTGAATAACTAAACTTTCAATAATTTAATCAATCACTGATTAATCCAAGATTTGTCTCAGATGGGGCACAACTTCCACAACCTAATGTAGCTTCCACAACCTAATTTTTAATCCCCAAAAATGAAATTTACCGATTATTTTGTTAAATCATACAAATATAAAAATTCTGAACAGTGAAATAAAGAAAGTATCTCAAAAGTAAGAGTACTCTTGGACAACAATAGCTAAAAAAGTGTAACAAATATGAAAATATGCAGGCTCTGTTTCTGACCTTTAATCATTCTATACTTCTGGGGAGCAGTTATTTTGAGACTCAGTTTTTACAGAAGTAAAATGGGAACAAAAACAGTTCCTCTGCCTGGCTCATAGAATTTCTGTGAGAATAAAAGACAATTAATCTTTCTAAAGATATATTACATATATTGTAAAGTACCACAATTATAAATACAGGAGAATACTTGCTTCTCTTCGTATCCATTTTTCTGTTTCCAATGCTTGTTTGGTTTTTAAAATTTAATAGTATTTTCCTGCTACTCAATGTTTGACTACTGAAATTTTTATATAAATGTTTTCTGCAAAAAAATTTTATGGACATAGAATAATAATTGTATGTGCTCAGTTGCTTGATTAAAATACTTTATTGTGATTATTTTGTAAAGAAAAGAATTGCACTATAATTTCGATGTTGTGCAAATTATAATAATTAAATATTTAGGCTAAAAAAGATAATGCAAGAAGGCTAAGTTGTATTGTCATATTGTTAAAATTACTTTTTATTTAATGTTCCTAATCAGAAGTGAACAATTATCTATGTAAAAATAATTTAATTCAGAAAATTTTGGTCTCAAATTTACATAATGCCATCATTATCCTTTTTATGTTCTGGAAAATTTATTCTAAATTACCTAGAAAAAAAGGTTGATTCTATAGTGTTATTTTTTATTCTCTATATCTCAGGTAAGAATAAAGGGAAACGAGTAAGTAAAGGAAAAACAAAGATGAAAAAGGAAATTGTACTCAAGTCACATAGACACTGAAGTCTCAGATGTATGTGGAACTTTCTGTTTGGTAGAGGATATAGAAAAGAGAAAGGGATATCGAATTTCTGACAACCTACGTGCTTAGTGCTTTGTCTACCAATGTGATGAGGACATATTTATTTTTTCCTTGTGCTTTCTGCATTGAGACAAGTACATTATAAGCTTATCATACAAATGATTCAAAAAAAATACTCGCCATTTATTTTCTATTAGTTCTTTTTCTCCCGAGGTTACTGCCCTACAAGGAGCTATTTTAACCTCCTCCTGTCTTTGCCAGTGAGAACATCTTGACATGACTCCAATTCCAATTCTGATGTACTGGAAGAATAAAAACACATTTATTTAAAAAATCTAAAGCATATTAATGATGCCATAGAAAGACATCTTGCTTAAGATAAACCCATTAATTTTACCTTTGTAAACATGTTTCAGCATGACTGTGTGATTAAGGCTTCATTCTGTGCAGACTACAACTGTAGTAACGGCAGCAGCCAAGAAAAAATAGCAAAATATTTTTAAAAACAGAAGCAAACAGCAAGGCTTTCACAATCCATTGTTTAAATTCATCTTTTATATCTTGTTTTATTACGTTTTTCTCTCTTACTTTATGTGTATAATGAAATACCATTATCACTGTCATCATCCCCAGATTAAAGCTTCGAGAAAGAAAGAAAGCCTATCCTAGAATTGATTTTTAGGCCATTTTGCTTGAGATGATCGACAATAAGAGGATTTTCATTTGCTTTGTCAGTGTAAGCTGGCTGCTGTTCATCTGCAGTGAAGGCAGCACAGGTCTCTGTTTGCATTCTGCGGTTTGTTAGCAGCAATGACCTGTCACAGAAAGGCTCTACAGCACAATATTTACACAGATCATTAGCAGAGCAGGCCCTGTTTGCCAGATCGCTAATCAGTTTTGTGACTGCCCCAGTTTCATCAAAACTATAAATAAAATAAGCCATCGGAAAAAGCTCCAAAATGGGCATTGTCAGAGCTGGTGACACTTCTGGCAGCTCTAGGCATATAAATCCTCTGATAACAATGCAGTGGTAGTGACAAATAAAAGACTGCATTTAAACTATGAGTCTGAAAATGAGTGTGTGTGTTACTTCAAGAGGACCTTCTTTTCTTTATACTCTGTCGATTTCAGCTTACTCTAGCCCTATGGTGTAAACAAGCTAGCAATAGTCAAGTAGGATTTGCTTTTTTCTCCTTTCACTCACGATTGAAATTTGTTTACTGCAGTTTGCGATGTAGAGTCCATGACATGTGAACCCATGGTGAAAAGCCACAAAAGAAGGGGAATTCGTAAGTGAGAGGGCACGCTGGACTTACTGGCCTGTCTGACCTCCGTTGAAAATATTACTCACAGAATCAGTAGCATTCAAAATGCTGACAGAAAGATTGTAAGAGGTCAGCAAAGGGTGAACCTGTATAAGAGCCTAGGGACCAACCTTTAAGAGTTATGATAAACTATTAGCTGTATGGTGGCCACAATTGAAATGCAACTATTTATTTATTTCTCTTTTTTCATTTTTTGATATGTGCCCAAATCAATAGTGATTGCTTTCTCCTTTGTTGTAGAAAAAAAGTATATAAAAGACTCAGAAGAGTCAAGCCCTGGGATGTTTTAATAAGAAGTTGACATTGAATAAAAACATTATTTGCAAAGAGAGTTTATTAAAGTCTTTCAGCTTTGCTCCCTCTGTCTCCTTTGTCACTTGACTCTTACTGAGAACCACAAGGCCATCTAGTAAAGATTACATGGTAATCATTAGTAGACAGATGCAATTTTGTCTGCCATGTAATCTTTACTTTCTGTTCCAGGAAAATATGAGTATTTTTAAAGTTAGTGGAAATTTACAGATTTTCTATATACAGGGCATTGGCAGGCCAGAGAAACGCTAATTAATTCATGTCATAAATGTTTATTGTGCAGCTACTATGTGTACTGGATAGAAAGTAGTATCTGACAGACATGTTCCTTGCCCTTTGAAACTCAGTTTAGAAAAGAGAATACAGGTTCAAATATAATGAACATTTGTTTTATTTTATATTACATAATATCTTTTTTTGTTGTTGTTTCTATCTTCATTTTCACCAGGGGAAGGGAATCTGTGTCTATTGGAACTCTTTTCCTATATTCGTTTTAGGATTGCCATACCTCTGGTTTCCCAGGTATAGTTCATCAAAACTAGGGAGAGATCTAGTCTTTATGGGAACTGCAACTTATAAAATGTGGAGTTCCTCTTTAGGAAAAAGGATATGCAGCCCTAGAAAATGAAAGGATCCAAATTTTTGAAGAAAATGAACTTAGTATGGTATATTCTTACTTTTTTTCTGAGTGAAAGATATCTTATGTATCATACCAATTCCCAATAAGTTTCATCCTTTTGTCTGCGTTATTTTCAGTTTTCAGTAAAATAAATGTGTGTATACCACAACCTCTAAGTACTTCCTTTAGACCTTATGGTTTGAATTTGGTATGAAAGAGGAAGCTTCTAAAAGTGTTTTCTATGTGCATGATGATTTATAGGCAAATATACCGGCACATATAGTTACCTTAAAACTTAGATATTTAAGTATATGTTGGATGAATGAAAAAATTGAAGAACAGAAAAATGTAAAAACAAAAGAAGGTAAGTCAAACATTTTGAGAGAGTTCTTGGATGAAAAGTAGAAATTTAAAATGTAAGGTTATAAAAAATAGCAATGTCCAGTAAATGCATGCACATAAACATGAAATAACTTAAATGTCATTATGCTAATTTTACTTGCATAAACTTTCAGGACATGAATACAGATAAGGACATAATTACAGTAGTTAGAATGATTAAAAAATAGTATGCCCCATACTATGAATTTCACACACAGTTTGATTACTGGGAGACATTTAGAGCAGCAGACTAAATGTATAGGTGCTATACTGTAAATTGTAAGTTGGATGGGAGGCCATCAACTTTGGTATTGGCTATAGCACTTCAATTAAAGAAAAGTGGCTGGGCCTGGTGGCTCATGCGTATAATCCCAGCACTTTGGGAGGCTGAGGCTGAAGGATTGCTTGAGCCCAGCAATTCAAGACCACCTTAGGCAACAAAGTGAGACCCTGTCTACCAAAAATTCAAAAAATTAGCCAGACATAGTGGTACGTGTCTGTGGTCCCAGCTAAATGGGAGGCGGCCTTGAGAGGATTACTTGAGACCAGAAGGTCAAGGCTGAAATTAGCTGTGATCATGCTACTGCACTATAGCCTGGGTGACAGAGTGAGATCCTATCATAAATAAATAAATAAATTAAATAAAAAATAAAGAAAAGTGTCATTTACATCTTTTTACGTTTTTTTAAATCCTGTTTGAGGTATTTTCTTATCACTATACAAAGTCACTAAACATATGCATTCTATAATAGGGTAATCAAGTAAAAAAAAGAGAAATTTATTTTTTCATAATATTTTTGTTAAAATTCATTGAAGGATATCTTACAGAAAATGTGACATTCTTACATTCTGATTATCAGGGCACAATTTGATAAAATTTTATCAAGTGAACAATAATCTGGTAATCAGAATGCAGATTAAGAAAGAGAACACTAAAACCTCATAACCCTACCTTCCCTGCACTATTTACTCTAAACTCCATTCCATCCATTAAAGATAGTGATGACTGAATTTTTTTTTTTTTTTTTTTTTTTTTGGCTATTCTTCTGACTCTAGTTTCTGAGATTTTTTTTTTTTATTATACTTTAAGTGTTAGGGTACATGTGCACAATGTGCAGGTTAGTTACATATGTATACATGTACCATGCTGGTGTGCTGCACCCATTAACTTGTCATTTAGCATTAGGTATATCTCCTAATGCTATCCCTCCCCCCTCCCCCCACCCCACAACAGTCCCCAGAGTGTGATGTTCTCCTTCCTGTGTCCATGTGTTCTCATTGTTCAGTTCCCACCTATGAGTGAGAATATGCGGTGTTTGGTTTTTTGTTCTTGCAATAGTTTACTGAGAATGATGATTTCCAATTTCATCCATGTCCCTACAAAGGACATGAACTCATCATTTTTTATGGCTGCATAGTATTCCATGGTGTCTATGTGCCAAATTTTCTTAATCCAGTCTATCATTGTTGGACATTTGGGTTGGTTCCAAGTCTTTGCTATTGTGAATAGTGCTGCAATAAACATACATGTGCATGTGTCTGTATAGCAGCATGATTTATAATCCTTTGGGTATATACCCAGTAATGGGATGGCTGGGTCAAGTGGTATTTCTAGTTCTAGATCCTTGAGGAATCGCCACACTGACTTCCACAATGGTTGAACTAGTTTACAGGTGATGACCGAATTTTAACATAGACTCAGTTTGCCTGGTTGTACATTAACGTGTGTGTGTGTGTGTAACTCTTATTTTTATATACTATGTTTTTTTGAGATGGAGTTTTGCTCTTGTTGCCCAAGCTGGAGTGCAGTGGCACAATCTTGGCTCACTGCAACCTCCGCCACCTGGGTTCAAGCGATTCTCCTGCCTCAGCTTCCCGAGTAGCTGGAATTACAGGTGCTCACCATCAATTCAGGCTAATTTTTTGTATTTTTAGTAGAAACAGGGTTTCACCATGTTAGCCAGGCTGGTCTCGAACTCCTGACCTCAGGTGATCCACCTGCCTCAGCCTCCCGAAGTGGTGGGATTACAGGTGTGAGTCACCACACCCAGCCATTTTGACATAATTTTAAACTTAGAAAGAAGTTGCAAGAATAGTAGAAGAAAGTCCTATATACCCTTTTATCCAGATTTTTTTCTAAATTACATTTGAATATATTGGTAGTGTGCTCTCTCTCTCTCTCTCCTTTCTATACTATTTGCAAATTGGAGCCATCTTATTATTTTAATCCTAAGTACTTTATTGTATATGTCCTAAAAACCAGAACATTCTCTTAGGTAATCACATTTTATTATATAATTCCTACATAGTTTAAAAAATCAGGAAAATTTAGACTATATTTTAGTGTTTTTTAAAAATATATACTAAGTATGAATTATTTCTTAATGGGTTAAACATAGACTTGAAACTAAAAAACTCTAACTAGGGCCACTCTTTCTTTATAGAAGTTATTGACATTTTCTCAAGGAGAACAGATGAAATCCTAGGGGGCATGCCTTGCAAATTCATCATTTAATATGAGAACTGCTACTGGTAGAGCAACAGCTATTTGGCCCTACATTTCAGTGAGGCCCTAAATGGCAACAATTTTAGAATTAATGGCAAATGTAGTCCCTGATTCTTTTTGTTTGTTTTTGTTAATAGACTCACTTCAGCGTCCATCAAATATTCCATTAAAGGTCGTCTTCTTGGTTTCTTGATGTAGTTGCTGTTGGTGATATTTCTTAATATATTAAGATGGAACAACTTACCATTCCATTTTGAGTCATATTTTAATTCATTAAGCTAAAATGTTTGAGTAAATACAGGGTTTAGCATAGTATTTTGCACAGAATACTTTAAGAAATACAGATGTTTAAAAAGCAATCTTGCTCTTAAGGACCTTCAATGCTAATAGAAAGACCACTCCTATAAGAAGAATATGTGATGTAATCCCAAGTGCACTAAGGATTTTGATGAGGGAAAAATTATTTCTCCTTGGGTTTATCAGAGAAGATCTTGAAAGAGCTGGCATCTGAGATGTGCTGTGAAGTTATGTAGGTTTCTACAGGTGATAATAGAAAAAGAGTGTATCGAAATGGGTATGTGTGTGATGCCACAAAGAAATTTTAGTAGAATTTAAGGTACTGAATAGTTTGATGAGAAGGTGGTTTAGCATGAGCAAGAAAAATGAAATATTACCGGAACAATTTTGAAAGGCTGTAAATTACTGGCTAAAGAGTTGGATATTTCTCAGAAAATGTAGGGAACCGTGAACATTATTTTTTGAACAGGTGATGCATTTACATGATACAGAATTGGAAAATTCCACATTCTATCCTTTTCTATTGTCTGCCCAGTTCTTACCTCTTAACAACAGCTTCTTGGTGTCTTAAGTATTTTATGTATATATAAGAAATAACAAAATACATTATTGATTTCCTTTATTTGGACAGCATAACACGTATCCTTTTGGCACATTGCTTTATTCGTTAGCAATTTATCTTGAAAAACTTTCCACGTTAATACATATAGAAAATTTTCAGTATTTTTACTATTGCAGAACATCAAAGGGATGTGTCATCATTAAGTCGTACTATATTAAAAACTTTGTTGTTTTCAGAATCTTGTTCTTATATATTTTTCTGCAATGAATATAGTCATATATGTCGTTTTATATGTAAGTAGTTATTTAGGATAATCTGCCTAGAGTATAATTGATTGGACATACACACATGCATTTTTTATTTGATAAATATGTACTAATTTATACTCCAATCATGTGGATGCATGAATGGTAGTACCTACTTCTCTATATGTTTGCTGAAGTTTGTGTTATTAAATATGCTATTCTAATAAGTGAAAGAATATTGATAGAGTTTTATTTGTAGTTTTATTATGGTTGAACTTGAATACACTTTTGTATACTTAAAAGTCATTTGCATTTACTTAATTTTTTATTTTTATTTTATTTATTTATTTTTTTGAGATGGAGTCTCACTCTGTTGCCCAGGCTGGAGTGCAGTGGCACAATCTTGGCTCACTTCAAGCTCCACCTTCTGGGTTCACGCCATTCTGGGCTCACTGCAAGCTCCACCTCCCGGGTTCATGCCATTCTCCTGCCTCAGCCTCCCGAGTAGCTGGGACTACAGGCACCCGCCACAAAACCCGGTTAATTTTTTTTTAGTAGAGACGGGGTTTCACCGCTTTAGCCAGGATGGTCTCGATCTCCTGACCTCGTGATCCAACCGCCTCAGCCTCCCAAAGTGCTGGGATTACAGGTGTGAGCCACCGCGACGGCCTGCATTTACTTTCTATCAATTGTTTATATACTTGCCTATATTTCTTTTGAGTTTGAGTCTTTTGCTCATAAATTTCTAGAAACACATCATATAGTAAAGAAATTATACTATATGAAGAGTAAATATTATTCTTTAATTGATTACTTGTAGTTTCAATTTGTTTACAATATTTCACTTGATCTTAGCCAAAAGACTGAGAAGTGAATGTTTACAATATTTTTTCATGAAGTTATTGTTACTGTATTCACATATACCCATTTTTTAATCTTTTAGCTTCTAGACTTTTAGTTATAATTACTTATACCTTAACCACTTAAAGGTTATAAAGGAAATGTCCTATGTTTACTTCTAGAGCCTTTGTGGTTTTATTTTCTACATTTAATGCTTTAATCTCTTTAAAAATAATCTTACACGCAGTAGGGGCATATGAATCTACCCATGTTATTTTTCCACAAAGTGGTAACTCATATTTCTTTACTGGTTTGAGCATTAATATGCACTTTTTGGGATATTCTATTCTTTTTTATTCACCAATCTAGACTCTATTAAAATTCTCACAGTCCTGCTTTAAAAAAAAAAACTTATTTTTTCTTTTATGCTGTCCTCTATCAGTCACATTTATTTACATCTTTGGCCCTTCCGGTTTTAATTTGAAAACAGCCTGTACTTTCTCATCCCTAGTAGGCAGAAAAGAATAGCTGTTCACCATTTCAAGCCTCTTTGTTTGAAAAATGCATTCAGTGCCAGTGAGATTTACATACATTTTTAGTAATAAAAAAGTAAAAGTTTTTTCCTTAACGGCACAAATCAACCTGAGTTACTGTAAACTACTTTATGAAATACTTTTATAAAGTATTAGTACTTGCTTACAGCTTATACCCTGCAAATAAAGCCCACCTAAACAATGAAGAGATTGTATATTATATATTTGAAGTAGATAGGTAGAAAAGTTTTCAGCTCTGCTTGATTTATGGTTCAGAGATCTCAGCAAGGAAGCACATTCTTTCTGCCTCTCCACCCTGCAGTTCACCTATTAGCTTCATCCTACTTCTGCTTCCCCTTGTAGTATGCAATGGCTGGTAAGAGCAATGAGCAGTACAGGATTTCTCATTCAAATCCAGTGAATACAAGGGAAAGAGTTTTCCCCTTTTATGAATAGAAGTCTTTCCTTCTTTATATTATAATAGAAACTATTTGCACTGTCTGCTTATTCCCAGATAACAATTTACAAACACAGGTACTGACTGATGTATGTCTGATTTTTTGAAACAACCAGGAGCAATGGGAAAATAATTACCCACATTGTCTAAGAGTAACTGAGGCCCAACTCTGGAACTGGGGAGTTCTGTTTATTTTATTCAGATATCCCTTCTATGGATAAAGCTGATCTTTCCCTAAACACAGGGACGATTTACAGATAGAATGGATATCTGAATAAAATATGGATTCTGTTAAAAAAAAGAAAGATAAGGAAAATGTAAGAGGGTTAGGCAGCCAACTGTGTGCACTAGAAATTGTTTTCTTGAGAATTCCATCAGGGGCATTCTCTGCATTCTCTACTTTATATTTGTGGTTAATCCACTATTCTGTCTCTCAAAGAATGTATCTATGTGTGAACTGGTTTTGTTACTCTAATTTCTGTGTGTCCAGAATGGCAGCTAATTACTTGGTAACTTTCTCTAACCTAAGATTTTGAATAGCTCATAAGACATATTTCTTTTAATTGTGGAAATGAGAAGCTAATGACTTGATTATGATGTAAAAGTGAGTTACCGTGTTCACCCGCATTTTATGTTATAGTCTATATTATGACACATATATCTTAAGATATATTTGCTCAATCCAAAGCTATGAATAAAACGGTAAATACTTTTACTACAGGAGAAATACTTAAAGTAATATATTTTTTTGGACGAAAAGTTACTTCATTAGCTCCAAAGTGAATTTTATATTTTTAGTACACTTAAATTCAGGTTTGCATATAAATTGAGTCTGTGATATCATCTCAGAATTCACTAGGAGTAAGAGTTCTTCTTTAACACAGCCTTTGTGAAGCTTTGTCTCTTACTCTTCCTCATTACTTCCCACTTGTTCTTTTGAAGCTGCTCTATTCTACAGACTTTTGAGGCATTTAGGGGCTGAATGATTGAATTCATTTGCTCTCGTGAGATAAAATTCAAGAGTTTTTTGTTTTTTTTTTTGTTTTTGGAAAACATAAATCCTTCTTCGTTGAGAAAAAAAGGATGGGAAGCAGATCTGCTATCTAGGCTCTTCCTTTATATAGAGGACAAGGAAATAAAAGTCATATCCCTGTTGTTATGAAATAAATCAAGTTCCCCTATAACCTATATGTTGAGTCTCTAACCCGCAAAGTGACTGCATTTGGAGATACGGCCTTTAAAGAGGTAATTAAGGTTAATTAAGGTCATATGAATGGGACCCTAGTCCAATAGGACTGGTGTCCTTTTAAGAAGAGGAAAAGACACCAGTGAAGTGCTTGCATCAAGAAAAGGCAATGTGAGAACACAGTAAGGAGGCGGCCATGTGCAAGCAAAGGAGAGAGGCCGCAGGAGGAACCAAACCTGTTGACACCTTGATCTTAGACTTCTAGCTTCCAGAACTGTGAGAAAATAAATTCCCACTCTTAAGCCACCTGGTTGATGATACTTTGTTATAATAGCCCTAGCAGACTAATACATTTGTAAACATGCTAAAAGCAGACTTTTTGCAAACAAGCTAGTTACGTTAGCTAGTGGGAGGGTTTTTATCTGCAAGGTGTTTTTAGCAGCATGTACTTGGTTGTTTAGCATCTCCTGTGTTAAAAAAAAAAAAAAAAGCAACCCTAGAATCTATGGATATATGGGGCATCGCTTCCTGGAAAATATTATGCATCCTTTGTGCCTATTTGATTATAAAATGGAAGTGTTTATTACTGATACTTTTTATCTTTTGTGTAAGTAATGTGCCAGAACTTATTTATCGTAGTAGGAAGAGATCCAGTGAATACTCAACCTCTCACCTTAGTTCTCCCTGAGCCTCTAGACACTAGACTTTTATATCCTAAAAATGATTAAACATTTCTATTTCATATGAGTCTAATTTGACAGTTGAATTATTTGTACCATCTCACCGATGATAAAATTAGCAGTTATATTGTGTAGAATATACAGATAGGTAGGTTATAATTTTTCTATGTTAAGTTTATATAGAGAAGAACAAATGCCACTGGTAACTGGTGATGAAGCATAGAACAATGACTTTTCTACATATCTAATTCAATAAAAGAGTTTACATGTGGAAATTCAACAAAGTAACTATACTCTGGCAATGCACATCAACTTAACTGGTGGGAATATTTCCTGAGGTGGAAATACTTCAGTTTTATGGTATAATCTACCAAGGATGAGTATAGTATAATCCACCAACTAAGATAAATTGTCTCCAGTTTTATTAATCAAATGAATATTATATTGGAAGTGAGCATTTAATATTTATATAGTTGTCTACTTCAAGAGTTTCTGATTATATACATCAGAAAAATAAAATTTTTGATAATAAAATATATTCAAAGGACCCTCCCAAACATCCCACAGTAACACAGCACATGATCTAACAACCCTAATAGTCACAACAGTCCACATAATGTCTCATTGTATATGCTTCCGGTTTTAATTTGAAAACAGCCTGTACTTTCTCATCCCTAGTAGGCAGAAAAGAATAGCTGTTCACCATTTCAAGCCTCTTTATTTGTTTGAAAAATGCATTCAGTGCCAGTGAGATTTACATACATTTTTAGTAATAAAAAAGTAAAAGTTTTTTCCTTAACGGCACAAATCAACCTGAGTTACTGTAAACTACTTTATGAAATACTTTAATAAAGTATTAGTACTTGCTTTTAAAAGTTATGCTGTTCAAAGAGGTTTTGAAAATACCTTAATGAAACACACAAAGTGATTACCTGTAGGTTAAAAGAACCATCCTAGATGGAAGAAACAATGTAATGTATGTATTTGTTGTTAAGGATTTCTATCTTGCCCATATCTCTATCTTAACCACCCTAGCTGTATTAGTCTGTTTTCACGCTGCTGATAAAAATATACCCAAGAGTAGGCAATTTACAAAGGAAGAAGGTTTAATGGACTTACAGTTCCAGGTGGCTGGGGATGCCTCACAATTGTGTTGGAAGTTTAAAGGCAAATCTCACATGGCAGCAAATAAGAGAAGAGAGCTTGTTCAGGGAAAGTCTCCTTTATAAAACCATCAGGTCTCATGAGACTTATTCACTGTCATCAGAGCAGCATGGGAAAGACCTGCCCCCATGATTCAGTACCTCTCACTGGGTCCCTCAAACAACACATGGCAATTCAAGACGAGATTTGGGTGGGGACACAGCCAAACCTTATCATTTCACCCTGGCCCCTCCCACATCTTATGTCCACACACTTCGAAACCAATCACGCCTTTTAAACAGTCCTCCAAAGTGTTAACTCATTTCAGCATTAACTCAAAAGTTCACAGTCCAAAGTTTTATCAGAGACAAGGCAAGTCCCTTCCACCTATGAGTCAGTAAAATAAGAAGAAAATTAGTTACTTCCTACATACAATGGGGGTACGGGCATTGGGTAAGTACAGCTGTTGCAAATGGAAAAAACAATGGCTAAAACAAAGGCCCCATGAAATTCTGAAATCCAGCAGGGCAGTCAAATATTAAAGGTCCAAAATGATCTCTTTTGACCCCATGTCTCATATTTGGGTCACACTGATCCAAGAGGAGGTTCCCATGGTCTTGAACAGCTCTGCACCTCTGTCTTTGCAGGACACAGCCTCCCTCCCAGCCGCTTTCATGGGCTGGCATTGAGTGTCTGCAGCTTTTTCAGGTGCACAGTGCAAGCTGTCGGTACAGCTACCATTCTGGGGTCTGAAGGACGATGGCATTCTTTTCACATCTCCACTAGGCAGTGCCCCAGTGGGGACTCTGTGTGGGGGTGCCCACCCCACATTTCCATTTCACAATATCCTAGCAGGGGTTCTCCATGAGCACCCTGCCCCTGCAGCAAACTTCTGCTTGAACATCCAGGTGCTTCCATACGTTCTCTGAAATCTAGGCAGAGGTTGCCAAATCAATTCGTGACTTCTGTGTACCCTCAGGCTCAACATGTAAAACCTGCCAAGGCTTGGGGCTAGCACCCTTGGAAGCCACGGCCTGAGCTGTACCTTGGCCCCTTTTAGTCATGGCTAGAGCAGCTGGGATGCAGGGCACCAGGTCCCTAGACTGCACATAGAGGGAACCTGAGCCTGCCTCATGAAACCATTTTTTCCTCTAAAACCTCCCAGCCTGTGAGGAGAAGGACTGCCACAAAGGTCTCTGACATGCCCTGTAGACATTTTTCCCATTGTCTTGGTGACTAACTTTCAGCTCCTTGCTACTTATGCAAATTTCTGCAGCCAGCTTGAATTTCTCCTCAGAAAATGGGATTTTCTTTTCTATCACATTGTCAGGCTGCAAATTTTCTAGACTTTTATGATCTGTTTTCCTTTTAAAACTGAATGCTTTTAACACCACACAAGTCACATCTTTTTTTTTTTGGGAGTCTCACTCTGTCACCCAGGCTGGAGTGCAGTGGGGTATGATCTCAGCTCACTGCAACCTCCCCCTCCTGGGTTCAAGCAATTCTCCTGTCTCGGCCTCCCGAGTAGCTGAGACTACAGGCACACACTACCATGTCCGGCTAAAAAGTCACCTCTTGAATGCTTTTCTGCTTAGACATTTCTTTTGCCATATACCGTAAATCATCTCTCTCAAGTTCAAAGTTCCACAAATCTCTAGGGCAGGGGCAAAATGCCACAAGTCTCTTTGCTAAAACATAACAAGAGTCACCTTTGTTCCAGTTTCCAACAAGTTCCTCATGTCCATCTGAGACCACCTCAGACTGGATTGCATTGTCCATATCACTATCAGCATTTTGGTCAAGCCATAGAACAAGTCTCTAGGGAGTTCCAGACTTTCCCACATTTTTCTGTTGTTTTCTGAGCCCTCCAGACTGTTCCAACCTCTGCCTGTTATCCAGTTCCAAAGTTGCTTCCACATTTTCAGTTATCTTTAGAGCAGAGTCCCACCCCACTCCTGGTACCAATTTACTGTATTAGTCTGTTTTTATACTGCTGATAAAGACATACCCAAGACTGGGCAATTTACAAAAGAAAGAGGTTTAATGATCTTACAGTTCCATGTGGCTGGGGAGGCCTCACTATCATTGCAGAAGGTGAGAGGCATGTCTCACATGGCAGCAGGCAAGAGAAGAGAGCTTGTGCAGGGAAACTTCCCTTTATAAAATTATCAGATCACATGAAACTTACTATCATGAGAACAGCATGGGAAAGACCTGCTCCCATGATTTAATTACCTCCCACCAGGTCCCTCTGACAACACATGGGAATTCATGGTGAGATTTGGGTGGGGACACATCACTAGATAACAGCAAAGCTGTACAATTCTTAAACATTGTCATGGAAAAGTAATTCCACAACTCTACTTTGAACTATATGTGATGTTGTTTACATTCATCATACCCTCTTTATGCTAAACTAAAATATTTAGCTGTAATTTATGATAACTATTTATAGTTCCTCTTTCTTTCCCTCTCTGAACTTCCTGCAATACCCTGCAAAGTTGGTATATTATCTACCTTTTCCTTTACTTTTACTATTTTTGTGAACAAAAATGTCAGAAGATGAAGTATTTTAAGTCAATTTTTTTTTAAATGGTGAAAAATTTTAAACACTGTGAGGGGCCAATAAAAGAGATTATTTTCATTGTAAGGGACATTTCAGCATGAGTCAAATCACATGACAGTCAATTTTGTTCTTTGATTAATGTACAGGTACAATGAATTTCAGTTATGGGAGAACTTCTCTTTCTCCTTTGACTTATTCTCTCAATTTTTGCACTCTCATTTTTGTTTTTTTGTTGTTTTTTTTTTTTTGTAAAGAGTTTCTAGTAAGGACTATGTGTTAATCAGTTTTAAGAACACAGATTTTATCAAAGAAAATTATCTCTTTAAAATATTTGCACTAATGGAAAAATATGTGAACCACCCAGTCTTATTTTATTGGACCCCAAGTTAGTTTGTGTTTGTGTGTATGTGTGGGTATTTATCTGATATCAACCATTATCTTTTAACATCAGCATGAAACAACATGCTGGTCTGAAACATAAAAATATATATCACTCTTACCAAAGCCAGTCTGTATTTTAATTGCTTTTTCCTGAAAGTGGAATCATGTAAAACTTAAAAACAGATTGAAATGAAAGGGAAAAATTTGATTCTGTAATTAACTTACCATGTGACCTTCACCACACTGATGGTCCTTACAGATCTAAATTTCTATATCTGTAAAATAAAGAAGGTTGATTTTACATGATTTCAAAAAATATAACATTTTTTTTGACAGTCATAGAAGTTTTATATAATTCTCTATTCTAGTCTACTGCAAAGGAATAGCAGCAGGTGAAAACTATAATGTTTGACCCTGAAGATTATTATGTGATATGTGTAAGGGTCTTAATGTGTACAATTCCATTTTTAGGGGCTCAAGAGATAAAATTTCTTTTCCAAAATGGATAAATACAAAATCATTTTTGCAATAAAAATGTATTGTGAGGGAATCTTTTGAATCAATGTGATTACTTATTGTGGAAGATACAGGCCATATCGCATAGCGTCTTGCCTCAAGGATCTTATCACTTAGTGAGTGAAATAAAACAATTACACAGATAACTGCCAGTAGGCAGCACTAAATGTCTTAAGTGATGGATAGACAGAGAGGTAAGAAGGGTCCAATCAAATGCTGAAATGTTAATAAAACCCAGATCACAGGCGGTGATGATCAAATGAATTGAACAGGCTTAGGAGAAATCCGTGAAAGAAAGAAATCTGTATCCCTGGGATCTTTCCATTTTTGAGAATATATTACATTTGAATCTCTTAGGGATGTGTGATTCCCCTTCCCTTTAAAATAGTTACAGTATAACTTTCATTAAAATCTTTGATTTTGTCAGTCATAGCAGACAATAGCATTTTATGTCCTGTGAAGAATTGTATGCATAATTTTGGAAACAAGACAAAGGAAAGAGGCTCTCTAAGCTGTTAGAAACAAAGGATTTTTAAAATCTTTCTTCTCTCATACCTCCATTAAGGTTGTCTTTTCTCCTTTAAAGCTATAAGAAATATTCTGAATACTAATGTGACAGAACCAGATGCAATCCCCAAATATCATATTTACTTAATATAAATTCATAGTCCTTACCTTTAAGGAGATTTGACAATTCACTTTGTCTTTTAGCCTTGGGGTAGTCAGGAAAGTTAGGCACAATGTTTTAATGCTCATTCCTTCTCTTTTGCTCTTAGCTATCATTAATCCCTAATGCCTGGAACTGCATAAATTTCTTCTACAAAGGAAGCCCACAGGTCGTTTTTATTTGGAGCACTTTTTTTAATAGGCGCCACAATATATTCTGGTATGTATTACCTCGTCTGAATGCAAAACTGTTTTATATGCAGATTTAAGGTAATGAGCAGTCAAGTTTAAAAAATGGTTCTGGTATCCTGTAGCTTCTCAATAATAATATACTCTTACATTCCAACAGAGAAGGATGGATTATGGGTTTTTCAATTTGCATCAGGCATATTAATTGCAGAGTAGGGCTTCCACATAAAATGTCAATGTACTGGAACAAACTGTTAATGTACCAGAATATGAACACTTACATTCATTTCTGGAGCTTTAAAAGGAATCATCCCCCTCCCCCGCTTTTTAATATCTATACCTCTGGAGATGGTACAGTTTTTTAGTCAGTTAATGAGAACTATGTAACCACCATTTCTCCAAAAATCCCTAATTAGATTAAGTGCAATAGGGCTATTTTAGTCATTTCTGCTGGGGAAGAATACAACAAGCCATTAGGGAAAGAGAATAATTTAGAAGGTTTGAAAGAAACTTATTTTAGAGTTACTTTTAAGAAACATGACATAAAGAAGATCAACTTTATGTCCTAGTTGGAGGCAGGGAGGCATACTCAACTTTTATTTGCATTATATTTCTCAACTATGAAGAGAATACCTAAACTAGTAAAAGTTTAATTGAAAGTTTTATAAGTAATTTTCAGCTGACGTTTAGCACTGTAGGTTTGATTGTAGAGAACTGGTACTTTATTTCATGGGAGTACTTGAATTATATATTCTCTTGTAAGCATAAAATTGTGAATGTCCATATTTTAAAAAAGCATTATAATAATAAAAACTCTTGTGTTTTAATTTGTCTAATACATTGGTAACTAATATAAATTATAGATACTCTGGTTAGACTAGAATATAGATGAAAATATTTTTAAATATGTTCTCTTTTTTCTTTAATGTGAATATTTCTTATTTTTCAAAAAATAAAGCAAGGGGAAGAAATAAAGTTGAGATTTAAACACGGCTACATTTTTTTCCCTGAGGCTTGTACTTAATATGCAAATGCTAAGTATTTGGTAAATATTCATTAAGTAAATATCAGACCTTTCACATTTATATTTCACTTTTCATTTTTGATACATGATAAAATTTGTGATTTTATTATTTTCTAACAAAAATAGAATGGGGGCCCACTTTTCAAATCCATTCTGCAAAAGACAATGTTTGAGTTTTTATACCACAGCTGTCCTAAGTAACGAATTATCTCACCAGAGAAGAGAAGAAATGCTAACCACATAATCCAACAGGAGACTTGATTCATTTTGTGTCTGGAACAGTCAGTGCAATGTTACAAACTGAAATGAGTTTCCTTTTCAATCTTCAGGTGAAAAAAGTAGTGAGAATGTCCCGCTTTAAAAAAAAGAAAATCAATGTGACCTTTTTTTTTTTTTATCTTCCTTGAGAAATAATGTGTGTTTGTGTGGGGGTGTGTGTTTTATTTTGCAGTGTTAGTTTTGACCTCATTATGCTCATTATGCTGTTGTAAGGCTAAGTATGTCATGGGTCAAAATGAAGGCAAAATAGACCTTTCTCAGCATTAAAGCACAACCTAATTTATGGTAAAAGTAATTTCCATACTGTTTTAAAGAAATAGCCCTGGACAACATGAATCTTCCTTTGCTGTAGCATGCTGGCTGAAAAACGGGTTAGATATGCATTCCATGAAAAGAACAGGGAAAATCACTAGAACTGTAAACTCTGCATTTGCTGGGTGCTAACATTTTGAGAAATGCTGAAAGTGTGTTATTTTGGTTTTGTATTACATTTAGTAGGTGTATTTTAAACTCAAAGAATTTGATTTCCAGTAAGAAGCCCAAATCAAGTGTTGCAATTGTTTTATTTAAGGTCAATTCTTTCAGCTAAACACCTTTTATTTCCAGATGTGTTTTCCCTCTTGTTTGAAATGCCGCATGACACAAAATGCTGCCTGTTTTGTGTGCTTTTTTCTACTGCATGCATAGATAGAAAATAGGTTCAAGTGCCTCATTTGAAAATCTTTTACTTAATTCCACCAATTGAAACGATGACATCATGTTTTCAGAGTTTACCTTTCTTGGTAAACATCACCAACAAAAGGTTAATGTTTATGAAGGACATCTTAAATCTTAATTTGATGCATACAATAATTTAAATTTTTATAAACTTTTACTAAATTAAATAAAAGCTGCTTTGAGGTTGTAAGTGATAATGCTAGAGGTAATGATTAAAGGCACCTGCCCCTCCTCCTGATGCATCTACCTTCTGTATCCTCTGATAAAAATCAAATGAAAATTAATCTCAGGTTCAAAGTGATGTTAACTGTATTCAGGAGTCTTAGGATGTCCTTTACTTCCTTTGAAGCATTACCTGATGACCTAACTACAATTTCAGCATAGCTGTTGATTTTTGATTGTAGGTTTTATTTTGTTTTTTTATTTTTACATTCTTGTGGGGAGGGGGATTTAATCTCTTAAACTTTGTTGGCAAATTACATTGATGAATGTGTTCTGACAGGAAGCTTTACTGAAATGAAAAGGAGTTGTGTGTAAGGGTGGGAATAACTATTCTATGAGCTTTTTCATGGTTCTCGTTGCCAGGGAAACCACTGCTTTGTCTGTACATGTTTGGAATGGCTGCCTCATTAGAACTCAGGCTCCTAGATAGTCACTTGTAATAGTGGTAAAGTGAAAGGAATGAACCTATTTTAGTTGATTAACTTCAAATTAATAAAAATAGCATATTTAAAAGATAGATGTTTAAAAGCTAAACATATAGAATTATGGGGGAACAATGAAGTGAATATTGATTAGGCCTATTCAGCCACTTGTGTGAGTGGAAGAATAATTTTATTTTTTACTTTCTCTTTGCCTTTTTACATATTTATGGGGAGTAAGCAAATGGACTATTATATGTTAATGCCACCAAATAAACTTGGGATATGATAGATCCTGATTTTTTCACAAATATACAGATTTTTTTCTTATGAATTCATTTTTTTTTCCTTGCCATGACTGGCCTGTGTCATGGCTAAAATATTATCAAAACAGACTGGATTTACTGGCTCTCAGGGGCACAAAAGGTAGTGAAAACTTAGATTGCAAATCCATCTCTGGGTAGTTTCATTTTTCTTGAAAGAACAAAAGAAGCAGCACACTAAGAAATTATATGAATCAATATTAAAAACAGAGGATAATATAACAGATTATTGCTCTAAATTTAAATTATTTTTAAAAAGACAAGAAACAGGCATAGACAGAAACATCTCAAGTTCAAGGAGCTGAGACTAACTCTCAATATACTACTACTTCTTCCTTTTTTTTACTATAAGCCAAATTTCCTTTGGAAATTTATTGACATTTAAAATGTTTGTTTTTAACTCATGACAAAGAGATGAAATCTTTTTATAAGTTTTTTTCTTCCAACAACAGAAGTTCTTTAAATTTCTTGTTCTATCATTCTATCTAAATATACTCAAAGTACTATAATCTTAAATATTATTATTTAATACTCTTTCCTAAAGGAACAAAGAAAAACAAAATCCAAAGATCTTTTTAAAAAGTCTATATTATTCAAATAAGTTCGCTTCAAAAAATTGGCAATACTGGTTTTTTATTTGTAGTACTATTTTAGGAAAAAATGTCAAAATGATATTTTGGACTTTGCAAGTCCTGTTTTGGGTAGAAATGTCAAAAACTTAATTTTATGTATGTTAAAACTTGAAATGGCCATTAGACATTCAAAAGAAGATGTTTAAAAGGAATATTTTATAAATGTAGGATTCATGGGATGTGGATTTTATTTGAGTGTGGAATAAGAGAAAGGTGAGGATAAAGTCTGGGTTTAACATGACTCCCAGTCCTGGATGAGCAATTGTGTGGAAAACAGTGCCATTCATTGAGATGAAACTACTAAAGCAATGGTTTTCAACCTTGCCTACACATAAGCATCACCTGCGGAACTTTAAAAAAATACGAATTCCTGAAATCCAACCTCAGAGATTCTTATTCAGTTGAAATGGGTTTGGGTCTACAATAGTATTTAAAAATTGCTCTCCTGGTGATTCTAATATGAAACCACCTTTGAATACCCTGATACTAAAATTCATTCTTGTGCTTCCTAACTTTCAGATTGCCTGAACCTTTTAGGGGCACCTGAAATATTTTTAAAATCTCAATGTCTAGGTACCCCAGATCAATTACATCAAAATTTCTGAAAGTCAGACTCAGAATTTTATTTTTATTTTATGAGACAGAGTCTCTTTCTTCCTCTGTTGCCCAGGCTGGAGTGCTGTGGCACAATCTTGGCCCACTGCAACCTCTGCCTCCTGGATTCAAGTGATTCTCCTGCCTCAGCCTTCCTAGTGGCTGGGATTACAGGCGTGCACCACCATGCCAGGCTTAATTTTGTATTTTTAGTAGAGATGGGGTTTCACCACGCTGGCCAGGCTGGTCTCAAACTCTTGACCTCAGGTGATCCTGTCGTCTCGGCCTCCCAAAGGTACTGCTGGGATTACAGGCCTGAACCACTGCACCCAGCCCAGTCTCAGAATTTTAAATTTCCTCAAGTGATTCTCATGAGTGTCAGGGCTGGGGAATCATGATACTAAAGAAAGAATAGTTCAGGTGGAGAAGCTGCTGTTTGACAGAAACGTGGTATTTGAGGTGGATCTGGAACACCATTCTGGAAGGACTTAGTAGGTTCTTTTTTTTTTTTTTTTTTGAGACGGAGTCTCGCTCTTTCGCCCAGGCTGGACTGCAGTGGCGCTATCTTGGCTCACTGCAAGCTCCGCCTCCCGGGTTCACGCCATTCTCCTGCCTCAGCCTCCCAAGTAGCTGGGACTACTGGCGCCCGCTACCACGCCCGGCTAATTTTTTTTTTTTTTTTTTTTTTTGTATTTTTAGTAGAGACGGGGTTTCACCGTGTTAGCCAGGATGGTCTTGACCTCCTGACCTCGTGATCCACCCGCCTCAGCCTCCCAAAGTGCTGGGATTACAGGCGTGAGCCACCGCGCCCAGCCATTAGTAGGTTCTTAAATGTGAATCTGATGTTATACAGCAAAAGTCTGTACGGGCTACAGAAACATAATGTGTAATAATGGAACCCTGCAAGAGGAGGGAGTCATGAGGGTGCTTACAAAGAAGGACGAAAAAGGAGCAAAGAGCAGAAGGTTGGGAAACAGTGGCCTTTGAGAGGAAGGAAGGATAAAAAGAACCAGAACTGAAAACTGAGAAAAATATAGAAATGGATTTGGAAAGAATGATGTCATAGAAAGCAAGGCTTTTAAAGAAAAGTTGAGACTCAGTATGAAAAAATAATACAAAAACTAAAAATAATTAACTGGACTTGGAAATCAAGGGAGATATTAGTGCCCTTCAAAAGAACTGTTTTAGGGGAGAAGTAGAAGTAGAAAGTATTTGGAGTACATGAGAGAGGAATGAGAAACCATTGTCTGAGTTAGTAGAACAGTGGTTTCAAAATACGGCTGCGTATAAGAATCACATGGGAAGGGCCGGGCACGGTGGCTCACGCCTGTAATCCCAGCACTTTGGGAGGCCGAGGCGGGCGGATCAAGAGGTCAGGAGATTGCGACCGTCCTGGCTAACACGGTGAAACCCGTCTCTACTAAAAAATACAAAAAATTAGCCGGGCATAGTGGCGGGCGCCTGTAGTCTCACCTACTCAGAAGGCTGAGGCAGGAGAACGACGTGAACCCGGGAGGTGGAGCTTGCAGTGAGCCGAGATCGCGCCACTGCACTCCAGCCTGGGCGACAGAGCGAGACTCCGTCTCAAAAAAAAAAAAAAAAAAAAGAAAAAAAAGAATCCCATCCCATGGGAAGTTTAAAAACAAACAAACAAAAAACAAAAGAAAAAACCACAACAACAACAAAATTATGCCTGTCACTGTACCCTAGACCAACGGAATCAGAATTTCTTGAGGAGGGAAAAGGACATCAGTGTGGCTCAAAACCTCCCCAAGGTGACTCTAATGTGCAGCCAGATTTGAAAAACATTTCATAGAATATTCTTTTCAGAAACTTGACTGAAAATGAAAGGCGAGGATTTAGGGTAGTTTCTACTCGGAGGTGGAAATTGTGAGAGAAAAATAAGAGACTTGACTGTAAGAACTATGACAGAGCCACCGTGTCTGAACATTAGTTGAAAATACTTGAGATCAGAATTCAGGTTATGGTAGAAATGAAAGTATAGAAATCAAAGTCACTGGTGGAAAAATCCCCTCTAAAAAGGGAATGGTGAAAAGCTCATCCTGTGGGCCTATAGAAAAAGATGTGAAAATGAGTAAAATTCTAATTCGGCTGCTTTTCTTTTTATTTGTTATATAAAGAGATACAGACAGGACATTGAAGGAATCTTACTAATAACCACAATTTCCCATATGATTATATTCACCCTTTGCATTTGTAGCGGTGGAAATATGAGGGACTTGAGGTGCTTTGTATCCATTTGGAATAACTTATGTGGGAAATGGAAAAGGTGACTGATAAAGATCATGTTTAACTAGTTCATATAGACCAGATGAGGTTTAGAGTGTCATAATCTACACAAATACTTGGTTTCCTCTAATGTCATTCTGATATCAAGATACAGAAAGAGAAAAAAAATTGGTACAGTGATCCAGTACTTGTGATCATCATGGAAGGTAGAACATAAATGAAGAGATTTAAACACTAAGAATGTGGGCATGAAATTTCTGTTTTAAATGGTCCATCATTTGTTTAGATGAGAGAAAAACTATGGGGGATGCTTATAAACTGAGATAAAAAGGGAAGAATCTGAATCTTTCAATTGTACAAAAAACAGATAGATACAGAAGTACAATCTTCTTTTAGTATTTGTGAAGTATTGGTTTCAAGACCCCTCAGATATCGAAATCTGCAGATGCTCTAGTCCCTGATTAAAAATGGTATAGTATTTACATAAAACTCACACACATCCTCCTATATAATTTAAATAAACTCTAGATTACTTATCATGCCTAATACAATGTAAATGCTCTGTAAATAGTTGTTATGCTGTATTTTTGTATTATTTTTATTGTTGTATTGCTATTTTTATTGTTTTTTCTCAAATATTTTCAATCTGTGTCTCTTTGAGTCCATGGATATAGAATCCACAGATAGGAAAGACCCAGTGTAGCAAAGAGGTGAGCAGGTAAAATAATAAATTAATTTTACTAACAGTCTTTTAGATATTGAAGCTCTAAATTTGAAATAGTTTGGGATAAAGAATACTCCAAGAATGTCTAGGAACACCATAATCCAAGATAATCATTCTAGGATGTAAAGTATGAGAGAAAATTAATACATTTAAACCAAAGAATTTAGAATTTATATTACTGAACACTTATAAACCTAGATACTATTCATGATAAAAGCATAATTCACTGTGAAAAGAAATAATAAATATCAATGAGTGGGGCAGTGGGGGAAGGAGAGAGAGAGGAGATAGGAGGCAGGGGAATGTGAATAATCTGGGTTCTTGATGTTTCAGCTTCTGATAGCACCACAGCTTCCTGCAATGGATTATATACTGCCCCTAGAAAGATCAAAAATCACTGGGAGAAGCCATCTTTGGTTAGATCTATCTTTTTAAGTTTAGAAATATCCATAAAATACTGTTTTTCTCATGGAATAACAGTAACTCAAAGCAACTCTGAATTTCTAATTCAAAACTACTCTAGGTTTCCAGCAATAAGAAAAGGTGTTTTTTTGTTTTTTTCCCCGTCCCACGTATGTATGAGTTTCACTGATGGGAGATTACAGGGCTTGATTAAGTAGGAGATTTTGATAATATATCTTAAGGTATTAGAGTGATATGAATTTCACTAGAAATATTGATAGTTTTGTTTTATTTTATTTTATTTTTTGAGAATGAGTCTCTGTCTGTTACCCAGGCTGGAGTGCAATGGTGCAGTCTCGGCTCACTGCAACCTCTGCCTCCTGGGTTCAAGCAATTCTCCTGCCTCAGCCTCCCGAGTAGCTGGGACTACAGGTGCACACCACCATGTCTGCCTTATTTTTGTATTTTTACTAGAGACGGGGTTTCACCATGTTAGCTAGGCTGGTCTCGAACTCCTAACCTCAGGTAATCCACCTGCCTCGGCTTCCCAAAGTGTTGGGATTACAGGTGTGAGGCACAATGCCCGAACGATAGTTTTATAAAACCTGGATTTAAGGCAGAATTTAGAAACAGAAACTCTAATAGGAAAACCTTTTTCTATATTATTATTATTTTTAATGTAAAAGTAAACTTTAGTGTCAAAAATGCAAACTTGGGGAGGGCAGAAAGATCACACATAAGGCTGCCACCTCACACCTGGAGGGTTGCATCGTGGTTGGGCAGAGGCACTCCTCACTTCCCAGGGGCTGCGTATGAATCACAATGTAGGGGATAAAGCGGTTAGATAAAAATCTTGAAAGTAAAAGTGGATAAGAGAAAAATGCAAAAGAGTTTAGAGTGATGTGTGAAAGAATTCAATAATAGATTATCTTTTACAAACAAGAATGAAGATAAAAATATGGTTTCAAAATACCATAAACAATGTACGGATTTGTGTAACAGGTTATTGTATATGAGAGTTGAAAGAAAATAATGATTTGAGATGGGAGGAAATCATTTTTATTAAGACATAATAACTTTGAATTTAATGGCTGAACATTTATGTGGCTTTTAAAGAGTCAGTGCATTTCCAAAGTGGTACTGCAATATATGGAAAATGCCAGTACTGGAGATGTTGCATGCCATCCATGCAGAAGTGGACATTCAAATCTTAAGAATGGCTGAGATCTCTCAAAAGGCAATTATAAATGATGACAGTAAGAGAACTGAAGAACGTTGAACCATGGTATTAAGGGCACATGTAGCATGGCATGACAAGAGAACATAGTCTTAGAAATCAGACTGAATTGTGTTTGTATTGTGGCTTCAGGATTTACTATCTTATCTTGGGCTTTCCTATTAAATGGACAATTTCATTGTATTCTTATTATAAATTAGAAATAATAACTTTCTAACAGGATTGTGGAAGTGTGTGTGTGTGTTTATGTGTACACACAGAGAGAATATAAATAATTATTAAATAAACATTTCTATTTTATGGTAGATCGTAAATAGAAACTAAGTCAAAAGTTAAGTCAAAGTAGTCAAGAAGATTATAAGGTATAAGGAAAATTCAGTATTTTAGAAACCGAGAGAGGGTTTTAATGACAATGGTTGGTCAGCAGTTTCAAAAACCACTAAGAAAAATTGCTCCTAGAAGATAAGAGAATGAGTCTATCCCTTACAATAAGCCTAGGATCACATTTCTTAACTTATTCCTCTCAAAATTGAAACATAAAGTACTTCTATGCATATTGTCTTATTTGCCTTATGTAAAAGAAAAAAGGAAGCAAATGGTTTCCAAATGTTTAAAAACATATATTGTCTCTCTCCCCATTCTTCCCTCTCTCCCCTCTCTCATCTCTCTTTTCTCCCCTTTTCCTCTCCTCCCACTGTATTTCTCCACATTTTCTAGACCTATCAGTTTTACAATAGAGAAGTTGCATTTGAAGATGTATTAGAATCTTCCCAAATGGGATTGGTCGTGAGAAAAACTAATATATGGGATCCCTAATGCTGACCCAATTAAATTTGTGGTTTTGGCATAGCAAGATTTATTGACTGATCAATGCCATGTGTATGGTGGATATGCTTGCCTTGTCTCACAGAAAGGCAAACAAGCAGCCCATTATATTAAAGCATGTGGATTACGTTTTAGTCCCTATGGAAAAATAATATAACTTCCTTATTCTTACTCCAATCTTTAAGGATCTCAAGAGAAAAATAATTGCATAATTCATCGTCTTTTGTGATTTGAGACATACATGATCATGTTATTGGCAGAAAATGAATTGGTTTTATACATTTTATTGATAAGTGTTCCCAAACGTTTGTAATTAGTTGGCCATATTCTTGTTTCTCTATCTTCAGAAGAACTGGTTATTATGATTACTTTTTATGAAGGTGGTAATTACAAAATAGAATTGAGCTGAATGAAATTAAAGAGAAACTGAAAAAAGAAATTCCCTGCCAGGAAATAATTTCATTTGAACGAGTACAAAGTTCTTTGCAATTCTTACTTAGCTGAAGTGTATTTCTAGTTGTGTTTCCAGATTTATATCATTATGAAAATAGCCACTTCCTAGGTTCTCATTTTTCATATACAAACAATGTTCACTAGCAGTAAATTTCTTCCCTGGATTCAATTTCTGAATATTCACAAGGTGAAAATTGTGTTCACCTCTTTTCAGATGGAGATTCTCTGAACTGTAATTGGGTGACTATTTCATAGATGAAATCTCAGCACGTATCACTTTAAAATGATATAGTGTAAAAGGGCCCAAATTGTGTGTGTACACCTGGATGTGTGTGTGTCAGCATGACGTGGAAACTATGTGGATAGATAAATATCTAAAATAATAGGTATATAGATAGCATGATGTTCCAATAATTACCAATAAGATCATGTCTTCAGTGGAGAGTAATACATACCAAATTTTTAAATCTTTAATTTTTTTCATATCTGATTATTTCTACTATGATCTCTTTTTTATCAGAGGAGTTACTAAAACTACGAGTAGATAAGAATACATTTGAATTTTTATGTGTATGATAACTTTAAAATTTTGCCTACTTTATAGATTTCTCAGTTGGACTTACATTAAATCTCTATTTTTGTTTTTAACTTGGAATAAATTCTCTAAGACACTAATTACTAAATTGTCAGTATTTATAATGTAAACATTTTAAATCCCCTAAATGTCTACTACAGAAAGAATAAATGGTGATGTGTCTGTGTTATGGAATACCCTGAAAACCATGGAAAATAATAATAAAGCTCTACGTACATTGACATGGAAGGAATAAATTAATAAATTGTTTCACTGAATGAAAATCATCCAAGTTGTGTAAATAAAAATATGTACCTGTAGGGCTGCAACAGTATGCAACTCAAGCAAGTATATAATTCAGCAGTGCTATTAGGTATGCATTATAGATATTTCTGCATACAAATATACAGTGAAGAGAAATAATTCATATTTTAAAAATGTATATATGTTTATACATATGTAGAAAAAGTTATGAAAGTAAATACTGCAAATTACTAACAGTGGAAACTCTTTTAACAGGTAGGTGTGAGGTTAATTTTGCTTTTTATTTTGCGTTACACACTTTTGTATTGACTGAATTTTAAAATTAGATTTGCATTACCTTTTTTCCTAAAAATATAACTATAATTGAAAGCCTAGTTTCTGAATTGTACATTCTGTTTAACTCATGTTCTTTCTCTTTAATCATCAGTTTCTTCACTGACATCACAAAAATACTAGGAATTTTCCAATTGAAACAAAAAACCTAAAAATCAGGAAAATAAAGAAGTATTTTAGAACCAAACCTTCTCTTAGTGTCATCACTCTTTATTCCAGGCCTCGAAATGAAATGGCACAGACTGTTTTTGTCTCCTCTCCCGAAGATGCTTGGTTTATTCAGTAATCACCTCCCAACTTTGCAATGGCCCAGAAAGATAGCCTTTACTTTGCATACCTTCTAAAATACTAGCCTGATTCAAGTATTTATCATTCTTGAATTATAGCTAGTAACTTCTTCACTGGTTTCCTTGCCTGTAATTTCTTACCTTTGCAGTCATCCCCAGATATTGCCATAGGGCTATCTTCCTAATGCAGAGATCAAATCATGTTGTTATACTTAAAATATTTTTGGCTCTATCATCCACAGAGTAAGTTTCAGATTTCCAGACATAGCATCATGACCTTTCATGTCCTATTGCCAGATTGCTCTTTTAGCATCACTTCAAACTTCACTGTTTTTTTTAATATATATATAACTTTTAAGTTAAGGGATAAAGGTGCAGTTTTGTTACATAGGTACACTTGTGTCATGGGGATGTGTTGTACAGATTATTTCATCACCCAGGTGTTAAGCCTAATACTCATTAATTATTTTTCCTGATCCTCTCCCTCCTCCCAACTTCTGCACTCCAGAAGGCCCCGGTTTGTGTGTTGTTCCCATCTACATGTCCATGTGTTCTTATCAATACCTCCCACTTAATAGTGAGAACTCCAAGTGTCCATAAATATAATATACCGTTTTATGCCTTTAAGTCTTGTTGTTTACATCTCTTATTCTTCTAGTCTTTCAAGGCCCACCACAAATATCATGCTTATATCTGACAATGGAAAGAAATATTCCTGCTCTCCTAGGGCACTTTGCTTTACCTATATTACAAATCTTATTTCATTTATACTTACTTTAGTTAGCTTTCATTTGTTTCACTCAGCACAAAATAATGTAGTCTTGAAATCAGGACCCACTTTCGATTGATCTCTGACCTAGAGTCCTTATCTGAATTCAATATATTTGTTTGCCTTGCTTTTAACCAAATATATTTGGAATCTGTTTATCCATACACTTATGAGGAAACAGTATTGAAAAGGTTGCTATCCATTAATATGGCTGTGGAAAAAAAATGTCACCTTAGTTCTATTTTAAGATAGGAAAAAGTCTTATCTATTTTTAGTAGATTTGATAATACTCGTATGAGTTTAAATCTTACTGATGCTGTACAGTTGTGCTATCCAATATGGTAGCCAATAGACGCATGAGGTTATTTACATTTGTATTTAAATTAATCAAAATAAAATAAAAGTTCCATAAATATACCATTGTATGCCTTTAATTCTTGTTCCAAGGTTTCAGTATATTATAGAAATTTTTATTGTCACAGAATTTTCCATTTAAAACCTCTGCTCTAAAGTTTAAACTCAAAATATAAATTACTCCTGTGCTAACTTGGTAAAATCCTGATACAGAAATGGCACAGTTTACAGTAGATTTTTTGCATTGTTTTGATCTAAGTTGAATATAGTCACCAGGCAATTGTTACAGGGAGTCATCATTTCTTTTTTTTCTTTTTTTTTGAGACGGGGTCTCGTTCTGTTGCCAGGCTGCAGTGCCGTGGCGATCTTGACTCACTGCAACCTCCGACACTCCCAGATTCAAGCGATTCTCCTGCCTCAGCCTCCGGAGTAGCTGGGATTACAGGCACCTGCCACCACACCTGGCTAATTTTTTTTGTATTTTTAGTAGAGACAGGGTTTCACCATGTTGGCCAGGATGGTCTCGATCTCCTGACCTCCTGATCCGCCCGCCTCGGCCTCCTGAACTGCTGGTATTACAGGCGTGAGCCACCACGCCCAGCCTCATCATTTCTTTAACACTTTAAAACTTATTCTAATGAACTCAGTTGATTGCATATACCCCTTTACCCATCCAGGTCATATGAATCACTGTACTAGAATCAGCTACTCTGGGGGAAAAGAGGAGAAGAGGTTGTGCATGTTTGTGGAATATGTATTATTAAACAAAAGTCCCAGTTCCCTGTGGTAGCAGATCTGACCATTCTGACCATCCTGTGGCTCAATTTTAGGAAATAATGTCTAAGAAGGAATCAAGAATGAATGGATGTACTGCACTCAAAATATAAATTTGTTCTCATCACTAGTGTGGATGTGTTCCATCCTTACTCAGTAATTGTACACAGTGTCATGCCTTCAAACCTTACATAATCATCTGTACTTCATTCATTCTCATCCTTCAAGGTTCACCTTAAACTTTTTTTTTTCCTAGGTTTTCTCCACACTAGCTAGGAAGTTTGCATGTACAGAATGTAATGAAAAAATGAAATTTCTCTATGCAGGAATTCGACATTGTGTGTTGAATCCTGTGATAACAGCATTTCCTATGCAGACTCAATATATATTTGATCATCTAACATGAAAATTGAAACTGGCATCTGTTTGTAAACCACCACTTTGCTGGCTCAATTTTAGACCTGCAAAGGAATTTGCTGCCCTTTTGTTAACTAGATAAGCTATATATTTCACTTTGAAAAGACATGTCCCTGCAACTTTGATGGTGAGATACTGCCTCATAACATTCATTTTTCTCTATTAAGGTATTATAGTTTTGATTTAATAATTTTCAGCAAAGATTCATTTAACACTAGAGTGAATGAAAATCTAAAAGAGGATCAAATGGTTATTAGTGGAAACAGAATAACATTTACCAGTTGACCTTCTGTAATGGAGAGACTCCTCAGTGGGAAGAAATCTTTCATGTTGAAACTTTCCTGATAGAGAACTCTTTGCATATATAATCATCAATAAGGTATGGGAATAGCTTCATCTTTGGTATGAATAACAAAAAAGTTGTCATAGAAAGCTGTAGAATTAAAATTTATTTTTCAGAAGGAGTATTGTTTGCTTCTTTCAAAAGTGGAGGTAAAAATGATACAGGGGAAGGTACCCTCAAATAAATTAGTATAACCAAGTAATAGCTTTTCAGAAATAGATTAGAAAATATTCATCCCCCAAAATTAATGTTTGCTAGTTACATTTATCAATTTCCTTTCTACAATGCTAATTTTAACATCACAATGCTTTCATTAGTGCATTATATAAAATATCAGGTATATGTAGATTGGTGTTGTTGAAATAAGGTTTTGTTGTTTAAAAATAAGATATCCATTCAATATACATGTATTAACACTAACCACAGCAAAAAATCAAAAAGAAAAATTAAGAGCACTTTTTTCGCTACACCCCTTGAACACACTTATCTCTTATGCCTTAAATTAGATTGTATATAACAATTCTAATATATTGGTATCTATATAATTATATAACTTAATTTTAATCAGGGAAGCAAATGAATATTCCTCATCATTTTAAACCTTTTTATTGTTATACCATTTCCTTTTTCCCTGTTTTTATGCTTTTGCATGTTTAACATAATATGAAACCTCAAAAGATATCTCTGGGCAACTTCTGAAGATTGCTATGTTAGCATTGCTAAACAAATGTATTCAAATGCATTTTCATGACTGAATATTATGCAAGTTCAGTGTTAACCTTTTCCTTGCTTCTTTGAAAATTGTTTTAGGATGTTTCTGAAAATAACATCATCCAGATTAAAATGATGAAAATACCCCAAAACATATAAGGCTCATAAAGAGTGTGGGATATAAGCGTGCCAGCTAATCTAGTTCTCATTCTCATAAAGGGCAATAGTGGCACTTAAGAGCCAGTATACCTATTCCTTTTCATTGTAATAAAACCATTCCTGAAAGTGACTTTGTCCAGAGCAAATGACTCTAACATCTTTTACTTCAGAGGTAGATTGTCATAACTCACTAAAGAAAGTGACCATTGTATAGCTTAATAAAAAAATTACCTGTTTATTCAAGTATTTTTTTTTTCAAGCTGAAGATATTTTCTCCTGCCCTCCCAAAACGTAGCACAACGCTTCAGTAGAAAGGGGTATAATCTAACTGCTGTCATGGCCAACAAATGGAAAGGAATGCAGAAGAAATAAAGAAGTATGTGTTTTTTCTGTTCTAATAGAGAAACAAGTTAAATACATTAAATCATAAAAACAAAAACAAAAAACACCCTGACAATATAAAACACTGATGAAAAGTCTACTGGTTAAAAGTGAAAATTTTGAAAGCAGTAGTTGTATATAATCAGTGGATATGCCTTGCTTCTTTTCAAACAAGTGGTTTTTAAAGGTGTGTTGCATTATTCTCAAATGATATGTATTTATTTCATAAATTATATAAGTCTTCTTAAGCTGAATCACTGAAATACAAAAACTTGGGCTTTATTTTAATGTTTTTGTAAAATGGTTTTTTCACATGGATTGCAAATATCATATAAACCGATGTTTAACATGAATATATTAAAGATTTCTTTGGATTATAATTATATGAAAGAGTTATACATTTGTATTCTCAAGACCTTTGTTATACATTGTATAATGACACTTTCTACCAAATATGAATGAGAAATAGTAAATAACTATTAAGGCAAAAGACCAGAAGAGGAAAACTATGAGGAAAGATGATATAAATATTCCTAGTTTTTAAATTAATTTTTAATTCTGTTCTTTCTGATGACTTAAAACAATGAGGATCTGCACACCTGTAGTCTGAATTCAGTGTTATCCTCTTTTGTTAAATTGAAAAGGAGGCAAGGATAGAAAAATCATTCACTGGCTAGAGAATGCTTCTGGTCAGGTCATGGATTCATGCTGTTTTCAGTATATAATTTCATTGTCAATTGAAACAAAGTGCTAATTGAGCACAATATTGATGGGTGGTTCAGAGGTGAGACTAATATTGTCCTCTAAAAGGGATTAATAATAACCACTCCTGTTGCAGCTTCCACCAACATGTCTAGGAGAGGCATGCAGGCAATTATCTGTTCCTCAAAGACATTTCTCCTGCTGCATAAATTATCGGAGGCCTAGACTAGTGGCCCTATAGACCCAACCAATAGCTCTTACTGTCTCAAAGTGGTTTATATCATGAATGGCCTTTGTTCTGATTTGGTCAAAATCTTCATATATTTTGAAACTGTTATAATTTAAAGACTTCACAAAGGGACACAATACTAGTCTCTCATTACATTCAGTTCTGTAAAGGCATCTACTGTGTTACTGCTGGATAATAACAACCTTCAAATGATTCTATAATTTTAATATGTTCATCATCACAGATTTCAAACTTTGGTTTAGGTTTGCCTTCTGAAGCACTACTGAATACATTGTTTCCATTTTGACAAGTCAAACAACCTTTCAGATATTTGGGGAAAACTAAGTTCTGTGGTTGATTGATAACTATAATTTTGGTACCCCATATTCTTCTTCATTTTGCATTGTCTTTTAACGTTTCCTTTGGAGACCTTATCCCAATGCCGGGTGCTTCAGAGGAAGTTTTCTCAACCTCACCACTATTGATATTTCAGACCAGATAATTCTTGGTCGTTGGGACGTGTCCTGTGTATTACAGACTGCTTATGAACATTCTTGGGAGTGTTTGTGGTGGTATGAAAATGTTGAGAAAACTATACTTCCCAATTTCCTGAGCAGTTGGGAGAAGCTACTTGATGCAACTCTGGCAAATGAGAAGCAAACAAGATACTAGCTGATGCCTCTGAGAAAGCTCTTTAAAGGATATAATCAATTCTTGTTTGTTCTTTCTCACTGAATCTTATTCCGTAAATGCATTGTCAAGTGATGTGACAACAGTGTTATGCTTCAAGCCTAAGCAAGACTCTAAGAATACTGGAGTGAGAGGATTCCACCAGTCTTGGTCCTTGAATCTTTCTTTGCTCATTTTGGCACTCAGTCTCCAGATATCTTGTTGGGGGAAGAATAGTGGCAGGAACTAACTTTTTTAATCTACTAGTTTTATTTTGTCTTCTATAAAGAAATTAAAATCTACATAATCTCTAACTAATAGTAATAGCTTTGCTTTAGGAAAAAAACAAGTGTCCATATTATAAATATCTCAAGCTTCTTCTTATGTTCAAGCTGTTTTCAAATGTATTTTTTTTCAGTCATTCCTATTTATCATTTCTCAACTACAATGGGCAAGGTACCCTACTAAGCTCCAGAGATAAAGATAAAAGAAACAATATTATTATTTCCTCAGAAAGTCTCTGAGGATAGTGAAGACAAAATTAATGGAACTGCTAGTGTTTTGTGATAATTGTGTGTAAACTATCAGGAGAATAGGAGAATATTAGACAAGATAGGAAATGAATCTCAATAAAAAAGAAAATACAATAAAATGTCACTGTTAAATCATTTAAAACATATGATAAAGGCAGGAGGAGCTATTGCTGACAAATTCCTAATTTTATATCTGTTACCTCAGCATCATAAATGAAGACATAAAACAAAACCTGAGTTTTAAATTTCCAAAACTATCTGTTGCCTATCCACATGATTTTTCTTTTACTGTGTCACAGACTAGTATATTTTCAAGTGCCTAGCTAGGCTCAATTTTATTTTTGTTTCAGTTTTATAGTATTTAATAACATCTTTTCTCCCCAAAGACCTTTGCTTAGAAACCAAGAGATACACAATGAGGAGCAAGTGTTGTGCTAAGTACCCCTCTGTGGCACGACCTGTGGGCATGCACCTGCCTTCCTCCCAGTGTGCTGATTGCATTCCTCTCACTCCCATTGTCAGATTTGCTTCCTGAGCTCTAGACTTTGTCATTAGTTATGACTCATCAATTGTGGCATAATCATATCAATTCCAGCCCAGTGTCTTCTGTCCTCATTTAAATACAAATTTTTCTTCTATTGCCAAGCTATCAAATATGTTTCATTCACTGAGTCTTTGTAATAAAAGGTGAAACAGCACAGTCTGCACTCAACAGCCAGATTTTTTTTAAAAGGTTGTAACATTCGAATGATTTGCAGGCATTTTTCTAACACATTCTTTATTTTTGAAAACCTAACATCTATGACACCACATATGTATATCTGCTGATTGTAGTTAGCAGTCTCATTCAACACTTATTAAAAAACATGAAATTGTCAATCCTATCAAGTTGTTTTTTGGTTGTTTGAAACAGCTCTCAGCCATCTTGGAACTGACCCAGAGTGTAAAGGTCTTGAGGATTCTCTTCATCAGTATTACCTGAATACAAGCCTTCTGAAAGGAAAAAGAAACTCTAGCTTTTCAAACCAGAAAGTCTAGTAAAATTCAATATTGTAAATTGAATTTCTTTATTTTTAACAAAATATAATAAATGGTAGACAAATCCATTCTTACAGTTCTATTTACAATCCTCTTTCAGTTTTATCTACGTAAGCACCACCATGTAGGTTTATTATATTTTCTGTTCACATTTTTTTTCCTACATTTTATTAGTTGCATTTCCCCCTACATTTTTATTTTAGTGCTGACCTTCAATTCCTCAGGGGTCAGTTCCTTGTACATAATACTTCCATGTTTCATGAGGTCAGTTACCGCTCAAATCGGCACTAATGGCAGAAAATAAAAACAACAGAATCCAAAACTTCTCCCTGAGATTTTATCACATGTTATAATTTTAGAATTCCCACTTTGGTAGCTTTTACTTTTTATTGACAGATTGAAGTTTAACTGTAGCCAATTTTAAAAGACAGAAGTACGACTGAGTTATCATATAGTTCAGTGACAAATCATATTAACATTATATTTTGATATATCTCAATACAAATACAGATAATTCTCTGATATCTTAGACCCATCTCAGATACTTTTGTTTCTACATTAAAAATAGAAATAATTCGGGAAAATAAAATTGGTGAAAATTACAAAGCAAATATCCAATTTTTTCGAAAGAACAAACTTGTCTCTAATTGTCATTCAATGCAATTTCATTTTTGTCTTCTGTAGTTCTTTAAATATGTATTCAGGAAAAGTTTCCAGATCTGTAAAAAAATCTAGCAGCTTTCATGACTTCTTTTGGTTATTGGTATTTAACAGATAGTTATATTATGTTGTAAACCACAATTTTATTTCAGAAATTATAATATGAATTTCTATATTTTAATTAAAATATAATTCAGATATGTTTTCTCCCCTACCTCTTTCATCTGTAGGCTGTGGGAAGGGGTCATTCTTGGTTTCTTTTCCTTTTCAGCGGTCTTCACCTTACTTACCCCCTCTCCTATTGGATAACTGCTTCTACTGACCACTCTAGGACTGAAGTCTGGAAATAGGAGTGGTAATGAAGAGAGAAATTTCTTTCTTAACTGATAGTAAGTGATCATTTAATCTACAACTGTCAATTCCCATGAAACTTTTCACTTTCTAGAATAAGCTTGTCCAACCCACAGCCCAAAGGCCACGCACAGTCCAGGACAGCTTTGAATGAGGCCCAATAGAAATTGGTAAACTTTTAAAAAACATTATGGGATTTTTTTTTGGTGATTTTTTTTTTCTTTAGCTTGTCAGCTATCGTTAGTGTTAGTGCATTTTATATGTGGCCCAAGACAATTCGTCTTCTTGCAGTGTGGCCCAGAGAAGCTAAATGATTGAACACCCCTGTTCTAGAAGTTCATTCCATGCAATGGAATCCCACCCAAGTGTTCTTAAAGCACACTTGGCTTCAAGCCATCTGCCATCTTTCATTGCTCATGTGGATCATTTCCGATCTGGGTTAAAAGGTAATGCATTCGTGGGCCCTGAAATCCAGAAAGTGAAACCCCAGGTCAGCTACTTAATTTGCAGGATCCCTTTTACAAACAAAAGAAAATATAATAGAATTTTTTTTCCTATGGTTTCTTTCTTGACCTGTCATGATGTTTTTTCTTTGCTCTTAATTTCACTCAGCCTTGGAAACAGGAATGCTCACAGAGCGCTCAAAATTACTCAGGATATGACCCTGAGTCTCCTTGTATTTGGCCTCAGACCCCTGCTGGGTAAGAGGTGGTGTAGTGGTCTCTAGGTATCAGTGGGGGAGCAAGATGGCAAAAGGTGAGATCACATGTGAGCTGAGGCCCCATGCTCCTGGCTCATGCTCCATTGTCCCATCAGAGTTCACTTACAAAACACAAATTCAAAGATAAAATTATTAAGGATTTCAAGACAGTAACAGTAAAGTTTTGAAGGATCCACTGAATGTGGGTTCTTATACAACTACAGTGGTCACAAACCCATGAAATTGACAATCTAAATGTATTAGCAGCTGTTCTTTAATTTACCAGCAAAACAGCTTATCAGCCTTTGTCTTTTACTCTAATTCTGGAAAATAATTAATTAAACATCAGACTCCTGTGCCACTCCTAAATTTTGGAGATATTCATCGAGCTTTATAAATACTCTCCCCTCACCTGAGTGGAGAAACATTGCTACCCTCCCATCCAATGTGGCTATTCTAGAACACCTTTCCCAACTAAACTTTTCATGAGAAAGAAAATTCTTATTTTCCTCAATTCTGGTAATTATTTGTGGTGTTTTGCATTGTGTCATCTTGAGTAGGCAAAAAAGTACATTTTTTTTCAAGATGTCCTTCTCTGTATTATCCAAAAGAGGAACTTGTACGTAACTAGGAAAAAGGAAGTAAGGTGGTGGCCCTTATTCTCTGAAGGTCATCATAATCAAATGCAGTATCGGATCAATGCAGAGGTTCCAGCCGGCTTGCAACCTGTCCTAAATCTGCTCTATTCCACGTTCAACACCTTTGCCTACTGTTGCCTCTGTCCATCAACAGCAGCCCAAGACTCACCAAAAGATTCTTAGATGTGAATCAACAGAGGTTGTAGCTACACAAAATCACAGCCTCTCAAAGGGCATCCCAGGAGCAACCCTTACATAAAGAGATATGTTTGGTATTTCATATTGACTTGTTAGTGAGAGGTCCTCTGATTCTTGAACTTCCCTTTCAGACCTTGAGTTTCCCAGCTACTTGTACAGCTCTACACATCTAATTCCTTTAATAAGTCCTTTATCCCATAAAACACATTACTAACTTTGCTCCCCTGTCTGACTCCTGTCTGATATATCATTTTGTACTTGTATTTTGAGTTAAGCAAGTTCTTACCAAGTAATTTTAAAATCTACATCTTGTAATTCTATTGATTTATTTCCTATGGTTTTAGTCAAATTTTTGATTTTATAATCTAACTTTACTGGCACTAATTCTTTATGCTGTGGTCATTGTATCGGAGACAAAATCAAAGTGTCATACATCAAAAAAGCAATGTGGAAAGGAGTAAAGAAGTCCCTGGAAATACTAGGTGCTCATATTGTAAAAATTTACCTTGGGCAGTTATCCCTAGGCTTTCTACAAAAAACAGGTTGACATTAGATCTAGCAGTTTAATCTGTATTGTCTTTTATTTGTCACAAATGTGTGTCATGCCTATAATTCCCAGAAATTACACTGCTTCAGCCTCACTGATAGTAAACCTGTGTGCTCATAGCTCTTATGATATATATCTAATTAGTGCCTGCAGGGAAAATACCCCTAAACGTTCTGTCCTATGTTCTGATAACGGATTCTTTCACTGTTACTTCCATGAAAGACGTTTTCTTCTCTTACAATAAGAAGACCAGGATATTCTGCCTCACTATCAGTTTGTGTAGAGGTTGATCTGTTCTCCATTTTAGAAAATCAGCAGTTGGACCAATATTGCTTCTGAAACTGTGATATATGCACTTTGCATTTTATAATTTTATTCATTCTGAGAACATCAGACATAAAGATTTTGCTTCATCATATATTCCCTGACTTTCTCCTCATTTTTTTTTATTCCTTCCTTCAGCTTGACTCAGGCTATGCACACTCTGGGCTTTGAAGATATGGCCTAGCTTTGGTCTCTGGGGACTGGTTGTGCTGTGCCAAACATTTCTTGTGCCATGGTCCCTCTTTCCAGAATAACTTGTTTTTACTTTTATTATTGGAAGTGATTGTGCAGAATCGATATAATTTCCTGATTAAATGTTTGGTAAGATTTAGCAGTGAACTTATCTAGCCCTGGTGCTTTCTATTTAGCAGGGTATTAATTATTAATTCAGTTTCTTTAATAGATAAAGGCCTGTTCAGATTATCTATTTCTCCTCATGTGAGTTTTGGTTGATTGTGTCCTTCAAGGAATTGGTACATTTCACCCTCATCATTAAATTTTTGTGCATAAAGTTGTTCATAATATTCCTTTACTATCCTTTAATGTACATGGGATCACTAATGATGTCCTCTCTTTCATTTCTGGTATTAATAATTTATGTCAACTCTATTTGTTTTAGTTAATCTTGATAGAAGTTTATCAATATTATTGATGTTTTCAAATAACTAGCTTTTTTCTTTCATCAGTTTTTTTTCTATTTATTTTTTGGCTTTAATTTTATTGATTTCTAATTCAACACAATTTTGAAAATGCATAAAGGAAAGCACAGTATTATAAAAGGTACCAATTCTGTTGAAACATACTTAAATATTTTTTAAATAATTTTTAAAATTATACTAAAAGGTTTTTTCTAATGCATTAATAAGACAACATGTATGAACTATAAGCAATAAATTTTATTTGTTAAAGGCAGATTAGTGTTAAGGTATTCTCTTTAATTTGAAGAAATTATTAAACCATGAGGTAAAATTTGATAAATCCTCATATATATCATGTTAGATATCTAAATGATTTATTTTTGTTGTTTCTTTATAATTTATTTTTATTGCTTGTCTGTTTACCAATGTTAAATATATTGATTTGTAAGGATTTACTTTTCCAAGTGTAACTAAGGTTTTCATAATTCACACCAGATGAAGGCAGGTGTCTCTCAAGAAAACTTCAAATTTTACAAGATTATTTGGTGAAACTCCAACTAGAGTAATTTTTTTCTGCTAAGATTTAAAATGGAAATTCTTAATATTTTGCAGCTTGGAAGAGTAATTTCTAAAACCTCAGTGTGATTTTCAGCTTCTGATTAGGATGTAGAAAGGTGAAAAGAATGATGCTCCCACCCTTAAGGTGAGAAATATTTGAATTATCTACAAAGTCATAAGTTGTTTTCAGCCCATCAGAGATGAAGTTGCATGACAACCAAGTAAACTGATTCCAGAGAGGGACAAGCCCTCAAGGATGGAAAGGACACAAAATGAGTTTCATCTTTGACCAATCAAAAAATGAAGAGGAAGTCACCATATAATCATATAAGAAATCAGCTAAACTTTAATAAATTCTTAAAGGCTAAATGTGGGTAAATTGTAAGTTTAGAATAGCAGGAGGCCTCAGGCACAAGAAATGGTCATTTCTTAAACTCTTTTACACGGAAATTTGTCTGTTGAAGGGAAAGACTGGGAACTGGGCAGAAGATGAGAGAGACCCTGCTGCATAGTGCAGGCTTCGGGTAATAATCAGTTGCTGCTGGGGGACTGGCAAAAAGCCTTGCCCACTACCCCAGAACATTCTTTCTTAGGAAGCAAAGCTTTAAGCCACTATAGAAGAGACAGCACAACTGTCATTTCCACTAATCACAGGCAAAGATGCACTGAGGCTTGGGAACAAGTGGAAGAATGCATCCTATATCTTTGGAAGAGTGCTAGGAAACAGTTGTGGCTAAGATTCTATACCAATAACAAGAAGAAGCCTTTAACTACTATAGAGTGGTAAATATTTCCACCCAAAACCAACCACAGATCCAAGACAGAGTTTCATTGTCATAGATGAGTTGGACACAATGCAAGAACACTAAGAATGCCCCATTTTGAGAAAAAAAAAAATTCAGCTTAATTCAATGACAGTAGTCTAAAACCAACATAACAAAAAGACAAAAAGGAATGAAAACTTGGACTTTTTTCACACAGGACATACCTAAGATTGAATGAGGCTGAGACAGGGCAACATAAAACACCCCACTTTTTACCCCTATGCCAAGCCTGATACCAAATAATAAGCATCAGCTGTCTACGTATTGAGTAAGGGAAAGAGGAAAGACAGAGAACACCTCGGCGGTGCAGGAAGGTAAGGATGCTGAAAGCTGAGAGGGGAACAGAGGTACTAAACAAAATCCTCCAGCACCCCAGGACCCACCTTAAACCCAGCCAACATCAGCCATTCCTATAGGAATTTGAAGCCTGTGTGGACTGAAGGTAATGATAATCACGATAAAATCTATATCTAGCTCAAACCCCTGACTAAAACAGTTTGCTGTCTCATACAAATTGTCGGACAAAATGATGTGCTCTTTTGCTGGCATAAATATTATTTTAAGAGTAATTACTGCTACCTACTTGATTTTGGAATAAAACATATGCTAGCCTTAGCTAGGCAATTTGTTTTTCTATATTCAGAAGTAGCATAATAAATAACAGATTCTTAAAATTCTGATAGAATTTACTTATCTGAGGATTTGAAGGAATGATCTTTAATAGACTAAGAAATAAATATTGAAATGATTGTTAGATACTTCCTGTAAAATCCTATATTCTTTATCTTTAGTTCCTATTATTAATACGTCTTAGTTGTTACAGTCCTTACATCTTTCCATCTCTAGCATTCACATTTATTACAATGAAGCTATTTTAATACTTAAAATTTTTTAATTGTGCATATTACACAGTCTCTCTTATTGTCTTGGTTAACCTTCCACAGGTTTCTGTATCCTAAATGTTTTCTCAAAAACTAACTTTTGGTTAGATTAACATTCTTTGTTGTTGCTTTAAAGATTTTTGTTCATTAACTATTTCTATTGGGTTTCCTCCACTGCTCTTTCTCCAATTTTTAATTGAAAAATAGAGCTCGTATAATTTTAATCTTTAATAATAAATGTATTTCAATGTACATATTTTTACCTTAAATTATATTATGTCATGTTGTCATGTAAATATTGCCCCTCTAGCTTTTTAGTATTTAAGCCTGGTGTGTTATAAAATAATTTTAATGTTAGTAGTTATATACACATATATTTTCTTTTAAATTTTAACTTATGTCAACAACATGTTTTGGCTCTTATTAAAAAATTTATAAAAGTCAGGATCCTTTAATTACTGCTTTTAACTTATTTGCATTTATTGTCATTATTGTTACATTTAACTTAGTTCGGCCAATTTACATCATATTATACATTTACTCACATTTTTAGTTTGTTTCCTTTCCCCATTTCTTCTATTGTTTGTCTATAGAATAGCTCACTATATTAGTTTAACAAGTATTTAAATTTATCTCTGTGGTAATTATCTTAACATTTTAAATAAGAAAATAAATATTACTTTCTTAAACTATTGATATCTGTATATTGTATCTAAAGATACATTTGCTTTGTCATAGTCATGTGTTTCTTAGATTTCAATTTCATCTTTCTCATTATATAGATAATTTATATAATTTCAATTCTGAATTGCTTTTGTTTTAAAATTTGCATTCTCTTTATTTTTTTCCTTGTTTTTCTCTTTTCTCTAAACTATAAACTGACTCTCTACTCAACTCTCTTCTTATGAAAATTGTATAAAATATGCATGGAGGTATCAAAAATATTCCAAGGCATTAAAGATTACAGGGCTAAAATACCGAAGAAAACAACACTTCAGAGAATTGAGAACAATATGGACTATCCCTTGACCCATGAAAGATTTTCTCACACGTATGTGGCTATTGATAGACCAAAAACCTAAGCAGAAATATTCATAGTCTTATAGTTTTAAGAGAATAAAATATATGGCTCAAGACTTATCAATGAGAAAGGCCGATTTATACACCCCAGGCTTCATTTGACACTTCAAAGGTTTAGGAATATTAATGGAAATAAATAGATTATAATTCACAATAATTGCAGTTTGGTCTCAAACCAGCTTAATCACTGATTATATGAATATGATCTGTAACACACCTTAGATAACCCTCCAAAAAACAGAGTTAGAGTTAACCAGAATTAACTATTGGCTGCAATTTCATTAGAATATTAGAAATATTAAGGGCAAAAGCCACATTTAAATAGGTAAACTTAACATTTTTCAAAAATGTTGGAAGCCAGGCATGGTGGCTCATGCCTATAATCCCAGCACTTTGGGAGGCTGAGGTGGGCGGATCGCCTGAGGTCAGGAGTTCCAGACCAGCCTGACCAACATGGTGAAACCCCGTCTCTACTAAAATACAAAAATCAGCTGAGCGTAGTGGTGGGCACCTGTAATCTCAGCTACTTGAGGGTTGAGGTGGGAGAATTGCTTGAACCCAGGAGGCAGAGGTTGCAGTGAGCCGAGATCGTGCCACTGCACTCCAGCCTGGGCAACAAGAGTGAGACTCTCTCAAAAAAAAATAAATAAATAAAAAATAAAAAAAAAGATGGAAAAACTGTAAGTCACAGTCTCAGGAAGTGCCAGAGTGAAGCATGATAAATATGGAGACAACTACATAGCTCATATTAGAGAATTAACGACAAAGAGACTATCTCAAAAATAGTTCTAGGAAAAAGCATATTACCTTCAAAAAGTGGCAATATGACTTAGGGTTGACTTCTCAAATGGAAGCCAACTGTTAACTAGAATTTTATTCCTAATAAAATATTATGGAATATGAGAAAAAAATAAATTCATGTTCAGGAAAACAAAAAATAAGGGAACTATCTATATCATTTATACATTACACCAAATGAAATAATAATGTCTTTCAAGCAGAAGAAAAATTATTTTACATGTAAATGTAGAAATTTAGAAATGAAATCAAGAAAAGGAAGGACAAAACATCTGGATAAATCTAAATAAATAGTGACTATATAAATAAAATCCATCATATAAAATTTAAAATAAATATCAACAAAACTACCTAACAAAATATCAAAAGTATTATAAGATCTTCATAGTCTAAGAAAAGTAATGAAAATTTTACTTTATACTCAGACACTAATAAGTCAAGGAATCATGAAATAATATCTAGGGCAAAATCAAAAGATACTTAAACTTATAGGAGATTATAAGGGCATATTGGAGAAAAAAATGCTTAATTGAGAAAAAAGGCAAGAAAGAGCAAGTCAAAAATACAACAGATGGAAAAATAGCAAAGTGGTAGACCACAATCAAAATATCTTGAGCTAAATATAAATGATTTTCATACTTCGGCTAATAAAAATATCTAAAATGAATTTTAAAAGTAATTGAATGTGTTTTATTAAAAATAAGAACTGAGGAAGTCTGAAAAAAAAATGTAAAAATGGTCTGTTAGGCTGACATAACCAAAAGAAAGCTGAGATAGATGTACTAACATCAGATGAAATAAATTTAGTGGCAAGAAGCAGTACTAAGACAAAAGAATACCTTTCAAAATGATAAAATGAGCAGTATACCATGATGTGACAATTTAAAATTTGTATTAATGTAATAATGGGAGAAATATAATGCATCCATATCATACTGGGGACTTTTGCCCACTTTTCTTACACGGTTGGAAGAAGTAGAAAAAAATGTAATTAAGAATAATAAAGAATTAGATATCTCTATTAGCAAATTTGATCTAATTGATATATATAGCATAATATTAAACTCGATAAACTTAAAATTGAATATGTAATGTGAATGCACATTTAATATTTATTCAAATGCTCTATATTGTGTCATAGATCAAGCCGTGACAAATTTTCATAATTGAAAATAGAAATAATACATTTTCTGACATCAGTTAAACTGTTAGAAATCATTTACAAAAGGACAACTTAATCCACAAATATTTTAAAATCAAGCAACATATTCCTAAATAATTCACAAGTCACAAAATTAGTCTCAATGGAAATTAGAAAATATTTTAAGAAAATGAGAATAAGCCGGGCGCGGTGGCTCACGCCTGTAATCCCAGCACTTTGGGAGGCCGAGGCGGGTGATCACGAGGTCAGCAGATCGAGACCATCCTGGCGAACACGGTGAAACCCCGTCTCTACTAAAAATACAAAAAATTAGCTGGGCGTGGTGAAGGGCGCTTGTAGTCCCAGCTACTCGGGAAGCTGAGGCAGGAGAATGGCATGAACCCAGCGGGGCGGAGCTTGCAGTGAGCCGAGATCGCGCCACTGCACTCCAGCCTGGGGGACGGAGTGAAACTCCGTCTTCAAAAGAAAAAAAAAAGAAAGAAAAAGAAAGAAAATGAGAATAAATGTATGACATATTGAAACTCAAGAAAATGGATATCCTTGGTTACACAAAGTCATACAGATGGTAAAATGGTCATTGGAGACTCAGAGCGGGGAGGGTGACAGAGGAGTGAGGGATGGAAACTTGCCTAGTGGGTACAGGGTACACTATTCAGGTGATGACTACATTAAAAGCCCAGACTTCACCACAATACAATAAACCATGTAACCAAAAACGCTTTAGCCCTAAAGCTATTGATTTTTTTTAAAAAACTATAGCCTTAATGGTGATATTGCAAAGAATAAAAGATTAAATGCCAGTAGTCCAAATACCCACAGGTTGAAAACAGAACATGCTTAAAAATGGTACATTTAAAGAAGCTGAAAACCAAACAGTAAACCAAATCCAATGAAAATAGAAGTCATACAAGAGATATTAATGGAAAATAATACATTCAAAAAGAATCACATAATCAAGGGGATCAAAAAAAAGCCAAAAGTTTTTCCTTGTAATAATGTTAAAATAATCTTTTACAAAATTCAGAGACCAAAAAAAAGTGTGAGAGAGAGAGAGAGGGAGGGAGGGAGCACAGTAATATAAAAAGAAAAGATATTACTACTGATCCTACAGAAGAAAGAAATTCAAAGTTATGAGCTACATTACTGCAGTACATATTTGACAGTTTCAATAAAATTTGTAAAAAACTTGAAAAAGTCACTTACCAAAACTGACATGAGAAGACATAAAAATCGGAATATTCCTGTAACTATTTTTAAAATCCATAATAAATAACTTTTTCTCATATATGTACAAAAGTTCTAGGTCCAGATGTTTCACTAGAGAATTCTCCAAAACATATTAACAGGAAAGAAAACTAACATTACTTACATATTTCCCCTATTGAAAAATTTCTCAGCTTGTTTTATAAGGTTACCGATAATTTTAACATAGAAATGTGACAAGGACATTAGAAGAAAAGACAGTAACAGTCCAGTCTCTCTTACAACCTAGCTAAAAATAATTTAAATATTATACATAAAACTCCGCAATATGTAAACCACAAACATAGGTTGGGCTTGTTACAGGAATGAACGTGTTTTAATATTCAAAATTTTAAAACTGCAGTGTGTTTTTCTTAACAGAATAAAAGCCAAAAATCATATGACATTCTCTATAACTAAAAAAAAAAAAACTCCAAAGTCTATGAGTGACAAAGCCTATTACCTAAGTTGCAATGATGAAAAAATATTTAAATTATTAAAGGCTACCTCCAAAATGACTGTGATGAGCACCTCTGTAATGGCAAAGTGTTGAACACTTTCCTACTGACATTGGGAATGAGAAAATGATACTGACTATGATCAACTTTGTTCAACCTTACACCTGACAAAATTGCTAGTGAGAAAGTAAAGAAGAAATAAAAAAGATATAAGAACTTGAGGAGAAGTAATTAAGATAATTTTTCACCAAAAAAATGAACAATTTACAGATAAACTCTTATATGAATACATTTACAAGGTATGTGCCTATAAGATAATATTTGAAATCAATTGCATTTCTTTTTTTAAAGAAAGAAGAACTTCTAAAATTGAAATTTGAAAAAAAAGATACCTCTAACAATAACATCAGAAACATCAATTATACAGGAATTAATTTACTAACTAGAATACAAAATCTGAAAATGAAACCCCAGAAAGCATTATGAGAAAATTGTTGAAAGTCGGGACATTAGTTACCTGGAAAAGGTAGGCAAGTATTATCCTAGGAATGAGTTTAGGAGAATTCTGGGTTGTCAGTAATAGCTAATTCCCTAACCTGCATGGTTATTTATGTTTATTGCAAAATAGTAGCTTACTTTTTTTAATTTTATAATATCCATTGAATGTTTATTATGATATACCCATTGAGATCTATGTTTATGATTTGTATATTTTTTAGGGGTGTGAAACAACAATAAAACATTTGTTTAAAACAAAATTAATGAATAACAGTAAATTTTATTATGACATCAGATGATTTGTACCTCTGATAGTTCTTGACATATCATCTATATTTGAATTTCTTGTTTGAATAATTTCTCTAAAAATGTTTTTAGTACCCTGCTTTGGGTAGCAAACCACTTGAGGGAGGATGAGTCTGGGAATATTTTTTAAAATGCTCTCAATGTTCAACAGCATTTCATTTGGATATAAAATTCTACATTATAGCTGTTTTCCTTCTATAATTTTTTTATAAAATATATTTCCATAGGTTATTGGGGAACAGATGGTGTTTGGTTACATGAGTAAGTTCTTTAGTGGTGATTTGTGAGATTTTGGTGCACCCATCACCCGAGCAGTATACGCTGCACCCTATTTGTAGTATTTTATCCCTCACCCCCTTCCCACCTTTTCCCCTTGAGTCCCTAAAGTCCATTGTATAATTCTTATGCATTTTCATCCTCATAGCTTAGCTCCCATTTATGAGTGAAAACATACAATGTTTGATTTTCCATTCCTGAGTTACTTCACTTAGAATAATAGTCTCCAATCTCATCCAGGTTGCTGCAAATGCCATGAATTCATTCCTTTTTATGGCTGAGTAATATTCTATCGTGTGTGTATACACACACACACACACACCACAGTGTCTTTATCCACTTGTTGATTTATGGTCATTTGGGTAGGTTCCAGGTTTTTGTAATTGCGAATTGCGCTGCTATAAACACGCATGTGCAAGTATCTTTTTCGTGTAATGACTTATTTTCCTCTGGGTAGATATCCAGGAGTAGGATTTCTGGATCAAACGGTAGTTCTACTTTTAGTTCTTTAAGGAATTTCCGCATTGTTTTCCATAGTGGCTGTACTAGTTTACATTCTCACCAGCACTGTAGAAGTGTTCCTTGATCACTGCATCCATGTCAACATCTGCTGTTTTTTGATTTTTTGCTTAGGGCTATTTTTGCAGGAGTAAGGTGGTATCGCATTGTGGTTTTGATTTGCATTTCCCTGATCATTAGTGATGTTGAGCATTTTTTCATATGTTTATTGGCCATTATGTATATCTTCTTTGGAGAATTGTCTATTCATGTCCTTAGTTCACTTTTGATGAGATTGTTTTTTTTCTTACTGATTTCTATGAGTTCCTTGTAGGTTTTGGATATTAGTCTTTTGTCAGATGTATAGATTGTGAAGATTTTCTCTCACTCTGTGGGTTGCCTGTTTACACTGCTGACCATTCCTTCAGCCTTGCAAAGGCTTTTTAGTTTCATTATTTCCCACCTATTTATCTTTGTTTTTATTGCATTTGCTTTTGGGTTCTTGTCATGAAATCCTTGCCTAAGCCAATGTCTAGAAGTGTGTTTCCAATGTTATCTTCTACAATTTTTACAGTTTCAGGTCTTAGATTCATTTATTTATTTGTTTATTTATTTTTGAGATAGAGTCTTAGAGTCTTGCTGTAGCCCCAGGCTGGAGTGCAGTGGTGCAATCTCAGCTCACTGTAACCTCTGCCTCCTGGGTTCAAGCGAGTCTCCTGCCTCAGCCTCCCAAGCTGGGATTACAGGCACATGCCACCACACCTGGTTTACTTCTGTATTTTTTTAGTAGAGATGGGGTTTTGCCATGTTGGCCAGGCAGGTCTTGAACTCTTGACCTTAGGTGATCCGCATGTCTCAGCCTCCCGAAGTGCTGAGATTACAGGCGTGAGCCACAGCGCCCAGCCAGATTTAATTTCTTAATCCATTTTGAGTTGATTTTTGCAGAAGGTGAGAGACGAGGATCCAGTTTCATTTCCTACGTGTAGCTAGCCAACTATTCCAGCACAATTTGTTGAATAGGGTGTCTTTTCCCCACTTTGTGTTATTGTTTGCTTAGTCAAAGATCAGTTGGCTGTTAGGTATTTGGGTTTATTTCTGGGTTCTTTTTTAATATGCCATTACCTTCTTGCAATCCAGTTGCAGTAAAAGTTTGATAGAATGCTTTGGTCCTCTGCAGGTGACTATTTATTCTCGGTTATTATTATCTTATAGTTAGAATTTTGTTTTGACTTAACCGAATTGGCTTAGAAACAGAAGGCACATTATTTTCAAGAGCATATAGGATATTTTACAAAATAAAACAACCATATGCTGGCTGTATAGCAAGTCACAGTCAATTTCAAGGAATTTAAATCATTCAGATTATGTCCTCTGGCCAAAACATCTGGAGAAAAGCACCACATTTTGTTTCTTTGTTTAAAATTCTGTAGAGCATATATGTATAATTTCTGTTATTTCTGATAAATGTAAGATAGTGTTAAAGTGGTTTAGTACTTCTTTTCTGTCCTCCTTGCACAGTCACCCTTACTGTTTTTGGATTTCTTGTGGTTTGTGTTGTGACACAAGCCTAATTTTTCCTCAGGTTTTAAAGCCTGCTACTTGTTTCTGAAGTACTGAGTCATTGCTCAAGCGAATATTTTAATATATATATCCATATCTTATCATTTCACCAAATTTAGATAGTTAAAAATTTTCAAAGATGACATTGATACATTTCTCCCAGTAGTTACATTTATTATGCCTTAGAAAGCAATAAGAAAAGGACTGAAAAACAGACTGGGATTTGGCAATTCAGGAATCAAATAATTATGTTTTAAAAAGATATTGTCGATTCTCCTGCCTCAGCCTCCTGAGTAGCTGGGACTACAGGTGCCTGCCACCACGCCCGGCTAATTTTTTGTATTTTTAGTAGAGATGGGGTTTCACCGTGTTAGCCAGGATGGTCTCGATCTCCTGACCTCGTGATCCACCCGCCTCAGCTTCCCAAAGTGCTGGGATTACAGGCGTGAGCCACTGCACCTAGCAGAGCTTACAGTGAGCCAAGATCGCGCCACTGCACTCCAACCTGGGCAATAGAGCGAGACTCCATCTCAAAAAAAAAAAAAAAAAAGAAAGAAAAATAAATAAAAAGATATTGTCTAAAGAAATGTAGACAAGCATGACATTTGTCACTACAATGCTTATTCTTCACAATTTAGACATTGATTAGGTAAGGGTTATGAGAGCAGGAATGAAATAGAGACAAATTAAAATAATATGAATGTAAACTTAAGGTTGACTGTAGATTTCCAAACCAAAGAAACTGTTATTTATTATAATAAAAAAGGAAGAAAAGGAGCAAATTGTGAGTGAAGTGAATTTACAATAGACGAAAACACTGAGCCAAGGGAATGTCTCCCAGACTCAAAATCATGAAATAAAATGAGCCAGTGAATGTAACAGTGAAAACTTCAAAAATTTGAAGCAGAACTGTAAACCTGCTATGTCACAGAAGACAAAGGCTTCCATGAGTATTGGCTATAGCAAATAAGCAATTACTTATGAACATAAAGAATAACTGACTTGGGAAAGTAATGACTATTATTTCCTAGTTCCTGAATATTTCTGACAAGAAAAGCAATAATTTGGATCAACCGTTATATTTTGATAAATACTTTACTTTCTAATTCTACATATTTCTGCACTTCAATTTAGGTGGGATGGCTATAGTAATTTTTAAATTACCTATTATTTCCTTTCTATCTAGTTGAATTGTTTTTGAAGTCAAAGTCAAACCTCTTTTGACTTTATGTATGCCATCTAGTTCTTACTGAGGAGCATCAGCATGCTGCTGAAACCTCTATTTAAATTACCTATTTTTAAAGTTTTTCTAAAATCCTTTCATGAATATTATTTCTTTTACTAGAAGTAAAAGAAATATGTAGAAGTGTAGAAGTGTTACTACATCACACTTATGTAGAAGTGTTACTACATCACACTTCTCAAAAAATTATATACCAAGAAATACAGCTGGGCACATGCACAAAGCAATGCAGTAGTATCAAGGAAGGAAATTGAGGAAGAAATACATATATCTAAAACAATCCTTCATTAAACCAAGATAATTAAAAGATAGACTAAATTTAATGAAATTTTAAAATCACATATTACTAGATGATGACTGGAAAAGAAAACCTTTTGAAAAATAAAGACTCATAATTTTGAACTACTTTATATTGAATTAGAAGTTCGGTTAACAATAACCAACCAAGTAAATTTTAGTAATTGAAATGAAGTACCAGAAGGAATAAGTCAAGAAGGAAAGCAGAGAAAATTTAGGATAATTAAAGAAAATTATGATTCAAAGTTAAATAAAATTTAGGCATTGAGTCTATGTAAATGGAATAGAATTAAATAGTAAAGAGAACAGAATGTAAGCAATAACAGGTAAAACAGGCACAAGGCAGGTCGCGATGGCTCACGCCTGTAATCCCAGCACTTTGGGAGGCCAAGGCGGGCATATCACGAGGTTGGGAGTTCGAGACCAGCCTGGCCAACATGGTGAAACCCCATCTCAACTAAAAATACAAAAATTAGTCGGGCACGGTGGCACGAGCCTGTAATCCCCACTACTGTGGAGGCTGAAGCAGGAGAATCACTTGAACTAGGGAGTGGAGTCTGAGGTTGCAGTGAGCCGAGATTGTGCCACTGCACCCCAGCCTGGATACAGAGTGAGATTTCATCTAAAAAAAAAAAAGTAGCTTAATGTTATATTTTAATATCAAATGGAAGATACAGAAAAGAAGGATTTTTTTAAAGAAAAAATAATTTTATGAGACCTCTTTATAGCCCACTTACAGAGTAAATATGTCAAAGAAATGTTTGCCATTTGGTTGTTTTTATGTTTTGGTCCCATTGTTCAACACGAAAAAGGAAAATAACATTTGCACAAAACAATTGTACAAGTCATTTTACATGAAAATTCAAATTATAGTTACCAATTGGCTTTTGCTTACAGAAAAAGAAGTTTAGAGTAGTATAAAGTTTTGATAATATGGGAATATAACTGTAAGTAAATGTGTTGGTTAAGCTCTATAGAAGTGGTTCATCCTTTGAGAATGTCAATAAATGCTCCAGGAAGAACTTTTTTATTTAGGAAGATAAAATATAAATAAACTAAAACACTAAAATATGAACTAAAAACAAAAGTGTGAAACAACTGAAAAGTTGAAAGGAGTATATTAGTAAGTGGAGAGGGAGGCAATTTGATGGGGATATTTGAAAAAGTTGGAGGATACATGGATTGAGAGAAAGAAAATCCAGGATGGAGGAAAACTTTAAAAACACTTGAAAACCACATAGAAAACACGCAAGAAAAATACGAAAGAAAATATAAAACCACAACTGAGAACTATAACTGAAATTATAATCATTTTTCACAATATAATAATATATGTTTTTACCAACCCTTGGAATAAAGTTTAAAATTTGAATTTATTTATATAGAGAATAATACACAACCTTACAACAAAATATATAATTTAAAAATCCTACCTATTTGATTTGAAAGACTTGTAGAAATTAACAAAATTATTACATAGGTTTGATTTCTCATATTTTTTACTTAACATTAAACTCAATTATTTTCTAACAGTTTTGTACATCAAAAGTCCAGGCAGACTCCACCAGTTTTTTTACTTAGGAACTCACAGGGTGATACTGAAGATATGGCTAACTTTAAGTTTTTATCTGGAAACTAGGGGGAAAGTCACCTCTAAGCTCATTCAGGTTGTTGGAAGAATTCAGTTTCTTGTGATTGTAGCACTGAGGCTCACATTTCCTCTGGATGTCCACTTGGGATTGCACAAGCTGCTAGAAGACACCCTTTGGTTCTTGCATGTGGCCCCTTTCTGTCTTCAAAGGCAGCAACAATACACTGAACCCTTCTTGTGATTCAAATCACTTTGACTTCTCGGGCTGCAAGCCAGGTAAGACTCCTTTTTTCCTTCTTTTAACTTTTATTTCAGGTTCAGTGGTACATGTGCAGATTTGTTATATAGGTAAACTCGTGTCACGAGGCTGTGGTATATAGAACATTTCATCATCCAGGTACTAAGCATAGTACCCAGTATGTATTCTTTCTAAATCCTCTCTCTCCTTCTGCCTTCCACCTTCTAGTAGGCCCCATTGTTGGTTGTTTCTGTCCACGTGTTCTCCTTATTTAGCTCCCACTTATAAGTGAGAACATGCAGTCTTTGGTTTTCTGTTCCCGCATTAGTTTGCTAAGAATAATGGTCTCCAGTTCCATCCATCTTGCTGCAAAGGACATGATTCCATTCTTTTTATGGCTGCATATATTCCGTGGTGTATATGTACCACATTTTCCTTATCCAATATACTGTTGATGGGCCTTTAGGTTGATCCATGTATTTGTTATTTTGAATAGTGCTGCAATGGACATATGTGTGCATGTATCTTTATGGTAGAACAATTTGTTTTCTTTTGAATATATATCCAGTAATGATGTTGGGTCAAATGGTAATTGTGTTTTTAGTTCTCTGAGGAATCACTACACTGCGTTCCACAATAGCTGAACTAATTTACACACCCACCAGCAGTGTTTAAGTGTTCCCTTTTCTCCACCACATTGCCAAAATCTGTTGCTTTCTGATTTTTTAATAATAGCCATTCTGACTGGTGTGAAATGGTATCTTGCTGTGGTTTTGATTTGCATTTATCTAATGAGTGGATGTTAAGGTTTTTACATATGCTCGTTGGCAGCATGTATGTCTTCTTTTGAAAAGTGTCTGTGCATGTCCTTTATCCACTTTTTAATTAGGTTGTTTTTATTTTTATTTTTTGGCTTGTTAATTGGTTTAAGTTCCTTATAGATTCTAGATACTAGACTTTTTTCAGAAGGCTACTTCGCAAAAATTTTCCCCCATTCTTTAGGTTGTCTGTTTACTCTGCTGACAATTTCTTTTGCAGTGCAGAAACTCTTTAGTTTCATTAGATCCCATTTGTCAGTTTTTGCTTTTGTTGCGATTGCTTTTAGCACGTTCATCATGGAATCTTTGCCAGTTCCTATATCCAGAATGGCATTTCCTAGGATATCTTCCAGAGTTTTTATAGTTTTGGGTTTCACATTTAAGTATTTAATTCATGATGAGTTGATTTTTATATATGGTATAAAGAAGGAGTCCAGTTTCAATCTTCTTGCATATGACTAATCAGATATCCCATCACCACTTATTGAATGGGAACTTCTTTCTTTATTGCTTGTTTTTGTTGGTTTTGTTGAAAATTAGATGGCTGTAGATGTGTGGCATTATTTCTGGGCTCTCTATTCTGTTCCATTGTTCTACGTGTCTGTTTTTGTACTAGTGTTATGCTACTTGGGTTACTGTGGCCCTGTAGAAGAGTTTGAAGTCATATAATGTGATGGCTTCAGTTTTGTTCTTTTTGCTTAAGATTCCCTTGGCTATCCAGGGTCTTTTTTGAGGGCTAGGTGAATTTTAAAAATAGTTTTTTTCTAGTTCTGTGAAGAATGTTGTTGGTAGTTCTATAGCAATAGCATTGAATCTGTAAATTGCTTTGGGCAGTGTGGTCATTTGAATGCCTAAATTTATTGAAGGTTATTTAACATGTAGCAGTGTTGAATGCATCTATTGTGATAATCATGTGGTTTTTGCTTTTTATGCATCTATTGAGATAATCATGTGGTTTTTGTCTTTAGTTTACATGATTAATCACATTTATTGATTTGCATATATTGAACCAACCTTTCGTCTTTGGGATAAGGTCTACTTGATCATGATGAATTAGCTTTTTGATGTCCTGCTGCATTCTGTTCGCTAGTATTTTGTTGAGGATTGTTGTATCTATGTTCATCAAGGATATTGGCCTGAAGTTTTTTTTTATTTTTTTATTTTATTTTTTATTTTGCTGTTTCTCTGCCAGGTTTTCGTATGAAGATGATGCTGGTCTCATAGAGGATGATGCTAGTCTCATAGAATGGGATTGAGAGGAGTCCCTCTTCTTCAATTTTTTGGAATAGTTTCGGTAGGATTTGTACCAGCTATTCTTTGAATATCTACTAGAATTCAGCTGTGAATCCATCCAGCCCTTGGCATTTTTTTTTTGGTAGGCTATTTATTACTGATTCAGTTTTGAAGCTCATTATTGGTCTGTTCAAGGATCAATTTCTTCCTGCTTCCATCTTGGGTGGATGTATGTGTCCAGGAATTTATCAATTTTTCCTACATTTTCTAGTTTGTGTACATAGAGGTGTTTAAAGTAGTTTATGGTAGTTATTTTTTTTTTCTGTGGGATCAGTGGTAACATCTTCTTTGTCATTTCTGATAGTATTTATTTGGAGCTTCTCCTTTTCTTAAAAGTCTAGGTATCCATATATCTATTTATTGATTTTTTCAAAGATCCAACTCTTGGATTTGTTCATCTTTTTATTTTTTTTTATGTCTCGAACGCCTTCATATCAGCTCTGATTTTTGTTATTTCTTTTCTTCTGCTAGTTTTGAGGTTTGTTTGCTTTTGCTCCTCTGGTACTTCTAGTTGTAATGCTGGGTTTTTAGTTTGATATCTATCATTTTGATGTGAGCATTTAGGACTACAAATATCCCTCTGAATACCACTTTAGCTGTGTCCCAGAGATTCTTGCTTGTTTTATCTTTTTGTTATTTTCAAAGAATGTCTTGATTTCTTCCTTAATTTTATTGTTCACCCAAAAGTCACTTAGGAGCAGGTTGTTTAATTTCCATGTAATTGTATGGTTTTGAGTGATTTTCTTTGTACTGAATTCTGTTTTTATTGCACTGATTTTTTTTTGTTTTTTTTTATTATTATTATACTTTAAGTTTTAGGGTACATGTGCACAATGTGCAGGTTAGTTACATATGTATACATGTGCCATGCTGGTGTGCTGCACCCATTAACTCGTCATTTAGCATTAGGTATATCTCCTAATGCTATCCCTGCCCCCTCCCCCTGCCCCACAACAGGCCCCAGTGCGTGATGTTCCCCTTCCTGTGTCCATGAGTTCTCATTGTTCTATGAGTGAGAACATGCGGTGTTTGGGTTTTTGTCCTTGCAATAGTTTACTGAGAATGACGATTTCCAATTTCATCCATGTCCCTACAAAGGACATGACCTCATTATTTTTTATGGCTGCATAGTATTCCATGGTGTATATGTGCCACATTTTTTATTGCACTGTTGTCTGAGAGTGTCGTTTGTATGATTTCGGTGTTTTTTTTTTTAATTTGCTGAAGAATGGTTTATGTCTGATTGTGTGTTCCATTTTACAGTATGTGTCATGTGGTAATGAGAAGAAAGTATATTTTGTCATTTTTGGATAGAGCGTTCTGTAGAAGTCTATTAGGTCCATTTGATCAAGTATTGAGTTCAAGTTCTGAATATCTTCATTAATTTTCTTCCTTAATGATCTGTCTAATACTGTTAGTAGGGTGTTGAAGTCTTCCACTATTATTCTGTAGAAATCTAAGTCTCTTTGTAGGTCTCTAAGAACTTGTTTTACAAATCTATGTGCTCCTGTGTTGGGTGCATGTATATTTTGGATAATTAGGTCTTTTTGTTTAATTCAACTTTTTACCATTATGTAATGACCTTCCTTGTGTTTGTTGAGTTTTGTTGGTTCAAAGTCTGTTTTGTCTGAAATTAGGATTGCCACCTCTGCTTTTTTATGTTCTCCTTTCGCATGGTAGATTTTTTTTCCATCCATTCATTTTGAGCCTATGGTTGTCATTGCATGTAGGATGGGGCTCTTAAATTCAGTATACCATTGGGTCTTTTTCTTTATCCAGCTTGCCACTCTGCCTTTTCTTTGAGGCATTTAGGCCATTTACATTCAAAGTTATTATTGATATATGTGGATTTGATCCTCTCATCCTGTTCTTAGCTGATTATTATGCAGACTGGTTTGTGTGGTTGCTTTATAGTGTCACTGGTCTGTGTACTTAAAGGTGTTTTTGTAGTGGCTGATAACAGTCTTTCCTTTCCATATTTACTACTCCTTTCAGGAACTCTTGTAAGGCAGTCTGGTGGTAATGAATTCCCTCTGAATGTGTTTGTTTGAAAAGATCTTATTTCTCCTTCACTTATGAAGCTTAGTTTGGCTCCATCTGAAATTCTTGGATGAAGATTTTTTTTCTTTAATAATGTTGAATATAGACCCCCAATCTCTTCTGGCTTGTAGGATTTCTGCTGAAATTTCTGCTTTTAGCCTGATGGGGTGCCCCTTGTAGGTGATCTGCCTTTTTTCGTTAGCTTACTTTATCACTTTTTCATTCATTTTGGCCTTGCAGAATCTGATGATTATGTGTCTTGGGGATGGACTTCTTTTTTATCATCCTGTAAAGGTTCTCTATATTCTTTGAATTTGAATGTTGGCCTTTCTAGAGAGGTTGACGAAGTTTTCATAGATGATATCCTGAAATATGTTTTCTAAGTTGGTTGCTTTCTCCCCATGCGTACAGCACACCACAGCCACCATTTAGAGAAAAGCCCCATTTCTTGCTGCTATGGGCCCTTGACCCCCTGTTCCCCAACAAGCAGAGCCTCTAGCTCAGGCAAGCAGTGCAGCTGCTTCACCCTCTGGCTGAACACTCCCAGTAGCAGCAGCTCCACATTTCTCAGAGATGGAGCTCCCAGGGGCAACCAAAAGTCCCTCTGCCACTGCCTGTCCAGTTTAACTTCCCTGTTTACCCTTGAAGTAGGGAAGGAGCAAAGACTCCGAGTGCTTTATCCCGCAAGTTGTAGTTGCTCTAAGGAGAGGAGGCCAGTCTGTCTCCCACGGGTCCTACCCACATTCTCTGCTAGTCACCAGACAGGATCCCCCCAGCGTGGGCTCACAGTGCAGCTGCCCCATGCCAGGCTGATCATGCTAATTGATTGCAGTTCTGCATCTTTCTGCAATGGAGCCCCAAGTGACAAGAAAAGACGTTGAGCCACAGGGTCTCCTCTGCTGCTTCCAAGCTGGGGAAGTAACATAAAGCCTATGATCATTTCAGAACTATGGTGTGCAGTCTGGATGCACCAAGCCAAGATCTGCAGTGAGCACTCAAGTTGGAGAGGAGCCTACACTGACTTTCAAAACATTGAGAGGAAGCATAGCTGCAACCCATGAGGAAATACGGAGGAGCCACATGACTGAGCAGGAGCCTACACAGTGACCATTACACTTCAGCACCAGCTACTAGATCACACCCCAAAACTTCAACACCAATAATACTTTGCTATCATACCCTGCTGTGAAAAGAAAGACAAGAATTTAGCTACAAATAAAGGCCCTAAACAAAGCCTTAGGACTCTGAAAACATGGAAAGAAGTCTACTGACTGTACTCAATTTACACTGCAATTAAAGGAACACCCCCACACACACACACAGATGAGAAAGAACCTATGCAAGATCTCTGGCAACTCAAAAGGCCAGCATGTCTTCTTTCCTCCCAAAGATCACACTAGTTCCCCAGCAAGGGTTCTTAACTAGGCTGAGATGGCTGAAATGACATAAATTGATTTCAGAATATAGATAGGAACAAAGATCATTGAAATTCAGGGGAACATCGAAACCTAATTCAAGGAAGCTAAGTGTATTAGTCTGTTATCACCCTGCTATAAAGAACTTCTGAGACTGGGTAATTTATAAAGGAAAAAGATTTAATTGACTCATAGTTCTGAATTGCTGGGGAGGCCTCAGAAAACTTATAATCATAGCTGAAGGTGAAGGAGAAGCAAGTAACTTCTTCACAGGGTGGCAGAAGAGAGAGAGAGTGAAGGGGGACAGTCACTTTTAAACCATCAGATCTCATGAGAACTCACTCACTATCATGAGAACAGCACGGGGGAACCACCCCCATGATCCAATCACCTCCCACCAGGTTCCTCTCTCAACACATGGGGATTACAGTTCCAGATAAGATTTGAATGGGAACACAGAGCCACACCATATCACTAAGGAACAAACACAAAAAATAATTCAGGTGCTGATCGGTGAAATAGCCAGTATAAAACAGAACCAAATTGACTGGCTAGAGTTGGAAAACACACCACAAGAATTTCATAATGCAATCACAAGTATTAACAACAGAATGGACCAAGTTGAGGAAAGGACCTCAGAGCTTGAAAACTGGCTCTCAGAAATAAGACAGTCGGGCAAAAATAAATAAAATTTTACAGAGCTCATTGTATTAGATTATGTACACTTGGATAATCTTCCTGTCTTCACATCAACTGATTATTAACATTAATTACATCTGCGCAATCCATTTTGCCGTGTAATACAATATAATCATCAAAGTAACACTGGGAGTCTAAGGTCATGACCATCTAATATTCTGTATACCACACAATCGTATTGCTTTCTGAGGTCATTGAACACTTTCAGAATCCATGAAAGTTGGATATTCACTATAAATAAGATAGATATGGCTAGCAAGAAGAAAAATATAGGGATTCTATACTTAAAAGATACAGCTATTTCCATTTATATAATTGTCACAATAAAAATTTAAATGTGAATAAGTGAATAGCAAGTATAGAAAGTTTAGCAAAATAATGAGAATTAGATATATAAAAGAATTTTTAAGATAGTCTCAGAAAAAGTGTAATATTTGTCATTTATCCTGAAATGTCAAAAATTTTCCTAAGCAGAACTACTCACCACCAATTTCTCAGTTTCATCCCTGAAAAAAAAATCATTCAAGTGGATTTATTTTGGCAAAGTGAAACTGTGAATTGCTTGGCTCCAGAACAGCTGCCCATACTCAGCAGGACTGCATTCCCACACTCCATTCACCCTTACCCCATCCCTTCCAGGAACACTTGGACTAGGATCCAGCTCTAGATCTGCAAGAAGTTGTGTTCCAGCTCTTAAATCATTAGTAGGACCAGATTTTACTCAAAAAACTATTCTAGCATTTGAAATTATTTCCACTGCTTTGTTGCTTACACTGAAATTGTCCCTCAAAAAATATAAGAAATAGAATATGAGCCCTGCTTATTCTTTAGGACAAAATTTAGGATGGTGTATCTAATAAATGGATTGTAATTATGAAGATGGTTTTACATTTGTCCCTAGATTCTTCTGTTTTTCTCAGGCCTCTATGAATCTTTCTCTCTGAGAGATCCCGACTTGCTGAGAGCAAGAACTATTGAAAGGAAATGAAGTAAATAACTGATGGTTGCCCATGGCAATTAGGAAAATAAAGAGCAAACTTCCCTCTTTGAATATTACTTAGTGTCAAGACTTAATTATACTCATTGGCTATACAAGTCTAAATATTTGGGCACTTATATTTTTGTATTTGGGCATATGATATTACAAAATAATTTTGAGAGGTAAGAGACATACGTATGTATTTTAGAACTCCAATAGCAGTAACTTTCTCAGTAGCATATAGTTTTCCAATCTGTTGGAAAAAGCTTGGCTTCAACTAGGAAAGATAAGTAATAGAGCTAGAGTTTCAATTCTGTTCAATATGAATAATAATATTTCACCAGTAAAAATTAAATATGTATAATCATGTGACACTTAGTAATACTGATATGATCTGAGAAATGCATTATTAGGCAATTTTGTCATTATGCAAACATCATAGATGTTTACAAAACCTTGACAACATAGTCTGCTACATATCTAGGCTATATGAGATATAGCCTATTGCTCCTAGGCTACACACCTGTACAGCGTGTGACTATACTGAACATGTAGGCAATTGTAACATAACGGCAAGTATTTGTGTATTTAAACGTATCTAAACATAGAATAGGTATAGTAAAAGTACAGCGTAAAAGATGGAAAATGTTACGTCTATATTGGGAACTTACCATAAATGGAGCTTGAAGACTAAAAGTTACTCTGGATAAGTCAGTGAGTGAATGACGAGTGAATGTGAAACCCTAGGACATTACCGTATATGACTGTGGATTTTATAAAAATGATACACTTAAGGACCATGAAATTAACATTATCTTACTATACCTTTTAATCTAATATATTTTAACGCTTTTATATGTTTCAACGCTTTGATTTTTTATAATAACATTTAGCTTAAAACACAAACACATTGTGCAGCTATACAAAAATATCATCTTTTATAGCTCTGTTTTATAAGATTTTTTCCTTTTTCAGCTTTGTACACCTTTTTGTTAAAAAGTAAAATGCAAACACACACATTAGCCTAGGCCTACACACGATCAGGATCATCGATATAATTGTGTTTTACCTTCACACCTCATCCCACTGGAAGGTCTTCAGGGGCAATAACATGCATGGACCTGTAGTCTGCTGTGATAACAATGCCTTCTTCTAAAATATCTCCTGAAGGACCTGCCTGAGACAGTCTTACAGATAATTTTTTTTAATAAATAAGAGTATACCCTAAGATAACATTAAATAGTAAAGTATATACATAAATGAGTAACATAGTAATTTATTATCATTATCAAGTATTATGTGTTGTACATAATTATATGCACTATTCTTGTCTATGATTGGCAGCACGATAGGTTTGTTTATATCAGCATCACCAAATGCACTTGAGTAATGCATTGAGCTTTGAAGTTATAATGGCTATTATGTCACTACATGGAAGATATTTTTCAGCTCCATTAGAATCTTATGGGACCACTATTTTAAATGCAGTCTGTCGTTGACCAAAGCATTATTATGTGGGGCATGACTGTAAACGTTTCAAAGAAATTGGTTTTCCCTTTCATTCTATTACTGTTCCACCACTAGCTGTTTTGTACGTTTCTCTTTCTGTGCTGTTCCTTAAATGTAGAACTCCTCTAAATGTATTTCTTTTATTTATCCTGTCCCAGAACAATCTCATTAACATTCCTTGGAAATGTTTCCTCTCATCAGGAATGCTCTTCTGAGGCCTGTACCTGAATGACCATTTGTCCCCATTAAGACTCATTTGGGGGCAAGTAACATAAATGGAAAAAAAAAGTAGACTAAAGTAACTAAGCCCAAGGGTAGTATGATTTAAGCTAAAGGTGATTTCAGGCTCCAAGTAAAGTAATCAGGGTTCAGCTTATCTCCATTTGTTATCTCTTCTTCTAGTGGGTTGGACCCATTTTCAAAGAATCCCTTCCCTTACATAGCAGTCCATATAGAATCTCACTTCAAATACAGTTTAAAGAAAAAAAAAATTATCTTCAAAGGCAAAAGCAAAGTCTGGAACCAGATTTCCATTGACCCAGCCTGGATGCTGGTATTGGATGCTCTATTACGCTTAAGTGAGATAAATAGCCATTTCTGGCCCTCTTTTTATTTGTTTACAATGCCCCACTTTGGAGAAATGCTGGAGTGCATTTAAGAAGGTTCTATTCATGAATAGAAGAATCTCAGTTGTATAGAAAATGATTTATTTGAAATTACCTGCTATAAAAACTTCCCAGGCTCATTGCTTTTTGGATCAACTCTGTCTCTTCTACTTCCTTGTATTGCTGTCTGGAAGAACCCTGGCTCACAATGGTGCAGAACTTTTTATCCTGATATCTGAAGTAAATTGATCTGAGTTTATATTAGGTTAGATCTTAGTGCCCATATTATCTACTGGGAGTTTCCCAGCCTGGTATGATGGAGCTTAGAAGAGAGTAAATTAGCTTTTACAAGTCAGTCTCTCAATATTTATTTAGTGAGTGAGTGGACAAATGAATGAATATTTCTTGGAGGTATTATTCATTTTGTGTTCCCTTCATACTTCAAATTATTTTTTACCTTTAGTAAGAAATGGATACTGACATGGCTTTAATGAATCTCCTCCAAAATTCAAGTGTTGCCAATGTGATAGTCCTAAGAGGTCAGGCCTTTAAGAGGTGTTTAGGCCATGAGAGATCCTCCCTCATGAATGGGATGAGGTGATCTTATAAAGGGTCTTGACAGAGAGAGTTGGTTCTCTCTTGCCCCTTCCACCTTCCACCATGTGAGGATGCATCAAGAAGACCTCAGAGCCTGGTATCTTGATCTTGGACTTCCTAGCCACCAGAATGGTAAGAAGTAAATTTCTGTTCTTTATAAATTACTCAATCTATGGTATTCTGTTTTAGAAGCACAAAATGGTCTAAGACACATAATTTTACCCTTTCTAAATCCAAATTGAATGCAATTTTATCATAAAGTTTTATCATTTCTCTAATAAAAATGTTTTTAAATTTTTTGAAAGTCCACAAATGCATATATATTTACATGCATATCTATATGAATGTCCAACTTTGATTCTGCTTTGTTTTGGCTTTCTTTTTTGTATTACTTTTCTCCAAAGAGTAAAATACACACTTGTTTTATTCTCTTATTCCTACAGCACCTAACATAATTCTTACTAAAAAATATTATTTAATGAAGAAAATTATTATATAATACATTTTGTTGATACATTATTTTCTACATATTATGTGTCAATTTTGTTCCTTACTATCCTCAGCTGGAATCCATTTAAAGAGACAGAATTGTGTAGATTCAAGCAATACATAGTAGGATACCATACATACTGTAGGGTTTGGCTCTGTGTCCCCACCCAAATATCACCTTGAATTCTAATCTCCATAATCCTCATGTGTCAAGAGCAGGACCAGATGGAAGTAAGTAGAACATGAAGGTGGTTTCCCCCATGCTGTTCTCATTATAGTGAGTGAGTTATCTTGAGATTTGATGGTTTTATAAGCATCTGACATTTCCCCTGGTTGCACTCATTGGGTCTTGCCACCCTGTGAAGAAGGTACCTGCTTCTCTTGCATTCTGCCATGATTGTAAGTTTTCTGAGGCCTCCCCAGAACTGTGAGTCAATTAAACCTATTTTCTTTATAGATTACTCAGTCTCCAGTCTTGGGTATGTCTTCATGGCAGTGTGAGAATGAACTAATACTCATATAATGGATACTAACAAGTAAATCTTTATTTACCACTTATTAGAAGCTTGACTTAACCAATTATCAAATTTTATATAAGCTTTAATGTTATTGGGAAATATCCTTTTCCTGTAAAAATAAATGAGATTACCTACCTGAAGTACCTTAGGCCTTTCTAATATTTTCAATTTTCATTAAATGTTTATTTTTATGTATCTATAGATATCTTGAATATGTATTGTAAATATTATATGTATGTAGAATATATGTATTCTGGTATTTCTTCCAGATAGCACTTAAAAACCAGTGTTTGCATTTTTGCATGTGAGCAAGCAATTCCTACTTACAATGATGGAAGAAATAGATACCCTGGAAGAAGGAAAATTAAATTCATGCTTTCAAAGCATCCTTCCCAACAAATCCAATTCATCTTTTGCACAGAAGGAATAATTAGATGAAGATATATTTTAAGTCAGATTGTTAGTATTTTGGCCACATGGCTACATCAGAAGTGTAGTTTAGAATTCTGTTCATTTTTATTTTTTTAAATCAAAACACTCATTGAACTGTACTTAATTTTTAAATGCAAAATACATAAAACTCTTGCATTTCTTGGAAATAAATTCTCTTTATTCTACTAATAAATAAACATTGTTACCACCATTGAGGCAAATGACAGAAATTCTTACAATTGATTATCCTATATGGGTATGAAAACTTTAACATGCTCCTCTAAGTAACTGAATACTACAGAGTGATTTTGGATCAATGTGGCCTTATTTTGAATATAACATACAAAATCATTGAGTGTTTTATGATTTATCTTCATTTTAACTCAAGCTTTGGGATATATGAAGACAGAAGATAAATCAAAATGTGTCATGTATTATATTTTCTGAAGTTATTAATATATATCTAGCAAAAGGTAAAATAGCACAGATATACCAACCAAATTTTCATGTGAAGAAAACATTTTATATAAATAATGTTTCTTCTTTTATATGAAATCACTGCAAAAATGAGAAAGCTACTTTTTATATTCCCCAATGAATATTCCCCAGTCCTGTGATTCCAAGTTCAGTAAAATTTAGAAAATTATGGCCAAGAAATTTAGTAGACCGAATGTACCTTCACTTTCTGGAATGTACTTGTAACCCTACATTCACAGTTAGAAATTTGCTTGAATGAAAAAGTGTTCAAAGTAATTATTATCTTGTATTTGGCTTCTCTGGGTACCTGTTTGGCTTTTATTTCTAAATAAAAAAACAAAACATGCACAATGTAAATATTTTTAGTTTGTAAAATTTTCTTTCCAATTACATATTTTGAGATGTTGTATATACTGTAAACATTTTGAAGTAATTTTGCCCAAATTAAGAAAAAAATTCATTCATCTTTTTATCGTCTTTTTATTTTGGTTCACTTTTCACCTGGGTATTAATATGGATGTTGCAGAAAGAATAGCTCCTATAAATGATAGGTTGCTATATGGATATGCAACAAAACCATCTTTATTTTACAGAAAGGTCTCATTACTCTAAAAGAAGGCCAGTGAAGAAATTTATATTGACCTTTTGGCATGACCTTTCTAAACCAACTGTTCCCTAGTACATAAACTAGTGAGTTTACTGCATAGAGACACCCAAAGGAGTAAAACATGAAGTGGGAGACTTTGGCCCTATTAGAAACCTTAGGGCCAGGTTCTGTTCCTTATCACCTATGAGATTTCCCTTGTTAATGATGCTGAGTTGGGCATATTTATTTTTTAGCCATTTCATCAACAAGTTTTGCTTATGACTAAGGATGTCATTTCTTGTTCCCATCACATGGTGTTTTAGGACATTCCTGCTGCTTTAACAAAATATCTTACTTAGAGTAATTCATAATTTATAAAAATTCCTTATACATTCTTTGTAGATTCTGACAATTCCATAAGTGTCATGAATTTCAGTAGGGAAGTGACTTTTCAAAGTGAGCTCTGGACAGGTAGCCATAAGTAAGACTACGGTGGTACGGATATGCTGTGCTTTGATCAGTTGTGTGGTATGCAATTTTTATTATAAATATCACTGAACTCCATATGACAAAAATTACTCATCAACTTTTCTTTTTTTTTTTTGAGACGGAGTCTCGCTCTGTTGCCCAGGCTGGAGTGCAGTGGCGCGATCTCGGCTCACTGAAACCTCCGTCTCCCGGGTTCACGCCATTCTCCTGTCTCAGCCTCTCCGAGTAGCTGGGACTACAGGTGCCCGCCACCACGCCCGGCTAATTTTTTTGTATTTTTAGTAGAGACGGGGTTTCACCGTGTTAGCCAGGATGGTCTCGATCTCCTGACCTCGTGATCTGCCCGCCTCCACCTCCCAAAGTGCTGGGATTAAATTAGATGTAAAATGTTGTTCAGGTTTATTAAATAAAGAAAGAAAAAGATTGTTAACTAGATGTCTTATTTTGTTTTTCTCTGACAACAGCTGTCTTGTAAATTGGTATATTTAGATCATGCACATTTAAAGTAATTATTGGGTGGTAAAAAAGTTGGGCTGGTATTTATTATGTTTATAACTATTTTCTATTCATATCATTTATTCTTTGCCTCCCAACAATCACTCTTTTTCTTATTTCTATTGTTTTAATTGACACTTAAAATAATCCCATTACATTTCCTCTCCTAGCATGTCAGTTATACTTTAGAACAGTTTTAGTGATTTATGTGAGTTTGCAATACACATTTTTAACTAATCTCAATCTACCTTTAAATAAGACTTTGAATAACTCAACACAAATATCACTTTACAAGAGTGTTACAGACTCAATATTTGTATTCCCCTCTTCCCCCAAAATGTGTATGTTGAAACCTAATCCCTATGGTAAGAGTATTTGGAGATGGGTCTGTGGGAAGTGATTAGGTCATGAGGGCAAACTGTTATGGATAGAATTAGTGCCTTTACAAAAGAAACCCTAGAGAGCTAATTTGCTCTTCTGCTGTGTGAAATCCCAGTGACCCATCCTCTATGAACAAGCCCTTGCCAGACACGTAATATGCACATGGCTTGACCTTGGACTTCCCAGTCTCAGAACTGAAAACTGCATTTTTGTTGATTATAAGCCACCTAGTGTATGGTATCCTGTTATAAAAGCCTGAGCAAACTAAGATACAAGTAATCCCAATTCCTACCATTATTTATGACACTACTGCCATTTAATGTATTCATTTATATACTATATTCATTCAATACATTGTTACAGTTATTCCTTTTAAACAAAATATTATCTTTTAGGTCAATTAAGAATAAGAAAATAAAACATTTTATTTTAGTTTCATTCATTCCTTCGATGATATTCTTCCTTTCTTTATATAGACCAATTTCTGACCTATACCCTTTTTCTTCTCCCTAGGAACTTCTTTGAACATTCCTTGCAAGGCATGTCTACTGACCATAAACTTTCTCAGTTTTTGTTTGTCTGAGAAGGTCTTTATTTCTTCTACACTATTGCAGGATAATTCTATTAGATATAGAAATGTAGGCCAGATGCGATGGCTCACACCTGTAATCCCAGCACTTTGGGAGGCCGAGGCGAGCAGATCACGAGGTCAGGAGATTGAGACCATCCTGGCTAATACAGTGAAATCCCGTCTCTACTAAAAATGCAAAAATAATTAGCCAGGTGTGATGGCATGCACCTGTAGTCCTAGCTACTCGGGAGGCTGAGGCAGGAGAAATTGCTTGCTCAGGAGGTGGGGGTTGCAGTGAGCCGAGATTACACCACTGCACTCCAGTCTCCAAAAAAAAAAAAAAGAAATGTAGATGGTGTGTGTGTCTCTGTGTGTTTCACTTTCAACACTTTAAGTATTTCCCCCCACTCTCTTCTTGCTTTCATCTAATGAAAAACCAACTGTAATTCTTAGCCTTATTTATTTACAGGTAAGTTTTCTTGTTTACCCTTGGCTCCTTTCAGTATGTCTCTCTGTCTTTGATTTTCTTTGGTTTAAAAAATATATACCTAAGTATAGATTTTTGACATTTATTCTGCTTGGTATTCTCTGCACTTCTTGAATCTGTATTCAGTATCTGCTGTTAATTTTGGAAAATTCTTAGCCATTATTACTTTAAATATTTATTTGGATCTGTTCTTCCTTTCTTTACATTCTGGTATTCAGATGTACCAGCTAATATTCTACTAGAAAGAAAATAAAATATAAAATTGAGTAAAATAAAACAAAATAAAATAAGGAGTAGCAACACAATGCATTAAATTCAATGCAACGGATTAAATATGTTTTGATCTGTTAAAAAAATCAATCTGAACAATGATGTGGTTTACAGTTAGTATGCAATATAGAACTCTGAATTTAATTGTTTTTATTTTTCTACAGTGGTTTTACAGTAAAAATAATTTGAGTTTAAGTTTGGATTGTTACTTTTAAAAACAGAGCTAATTAGCATTGTTTATTACTTTCTCACCTTAATTTTCTTATATATATGTGTGTGTGTGTGTGTGTGTGTGTGTGTATATATATATACATATATATATATATATAAAGAGATTATAGATCTGTAATGCTTAGCATAAGTCCTGGTAAATTGCATCTATTCAATGAACATTTGTTCTCCCTTTAATTCCTGCAATCTAGATGGTGGTTCATGGATATAGTTGCTCTCTAATTTTTTGAGCATATTAAGGACTTAAAAGCTAATGATGGTGTATTGTTATGTCAAGGCCAGCAGAGCATATCACTTTAAAAAACTGGCAATAGAAACTTCTCTTTAAAAATTGTAAAAGTAAGTAAAGTTTAGAAACCAACCAAGTACGAGCAATGCAATGTTAGCATCTCATTGGTTCACACCAGTGAAAAGTATTTAAGAACAAAGAAATAGTATACTGTACCACACAGAAACTTGCATGCAAATGTTTATTGCATGTGCAGCTATATTCTTACTTACTAAAACTTAGAAGCACCCAGCTTATCCTTTAATAGGTAATCATTCCTTAATTAGATAAACAAACTCTGCTATATCCTTACAATGACATAATTATCAGGGGTAAAAAAATAAGCCATCCAGTCATGATTAGACATGGAGGAAATTTGAATGCATATTTCTATGTGAAAGAAGCCAGTCTGAAAAGTCTACATATTGTATGAGTCCAAGTATATAATCTTCTAGAAAAGATGAAACTATAGAGCTAGTGCAAAGTTTAGTCATTACCAGGAGTTGGGCATGTGGGGGATAAGTAGGTGGAGCACAGGGAATTTTTAGGGCAGTGAAATTATTATCTATGATTCTGTAATGGTGGATACATGACATCATGCAATTAGCAAACCCCATAGAACTGTATAATACAAAGAGTGAACCCTAATGTAAACTCTGGTCTTTAGTCAATAAATGCATCAATGTTGGCTTCTTAATGCAATTTCATTTTAAAATATAAATTTTCTTATTTTTTCCACATATTTCTTAGGGGAAAATTTTAAATAATTTCTAGCTTCACTGTTTTCTAATGGATAAAAGCATAAATTAAATATGCTTTTATTACTGAGAGGATATGACATTGTAGTAACAGATTTATTAATAATCAAGAATGTATTAACATATTTATATAAGGTAACATTCTGTGGATTTTTGTTTCCAAATAACTCAGAATTGACAAAATAAAAATATAATTATTCAATGATGAATATCACAATGAGCAATATTGATCTATTTCATAAACATTTCATCCTGTCAATCACAGGGATACTCAATTCAAATACATCAAAAGAAAACATTCTTCAGGTAAATTGAAATTACAATAGTTTCAATTTTTACAAAAGTTTAGATGTTGATAACAGTTTCAGAGCCACTTCTCTGTATAGAAAAGCTTTCTGGGGATGTCATGGTTGTAACTAAAAACAAAAATACAGATTTATAGATAACAAAATGAAGAGAAATCTGTTATAAATATTGATTGTATGATTATGAGGTCTTTAGAAATTACAAATTATTTTATCAGTATATTTTAAGTGTAGGATATACTTAATTTGAATACTAATATTTATTACATATGAGCTTAATTGTGTCTCTTCAAAAGATACAATGAAGTGCTAAACTCCAGTACCTTAAAATGTGAACTTATTTGATAATAGAGCTATTGCAGATGTCACTAGTTAAGATGAGGTCAGGTGAGTGCTGTCCTTATAAGAATTGGGCACAGAGATACATACATATAGGGAGAATGTCCTGTGATGACAGAGTCACAAACTGATGCAGTTGCCTGCCAAAAAATGTGCCAAGAATTGATAACTGGCACCTGAAAACAAGAGGTAAAGAAAGATTCTCTCCTTCAGGTTTCAGAGGGAGCATGGTATTGCTAACATCTTGATTTTGAATTTCTGACCTCCAAAACTGAGAGAATAAGCTTTTGATGTTTTAAGCTACCCAGTTTGTGGTATTTTGTATGACAGTCCTAAAAAATGAATACAAATAGTAAACCATAAGCAAAACTACAAGCATGGAAATTTACCCTAATTCACTTTCTGCGTAACACTTATGATTCAAAAATTGATATTATATTTTGTATTTTTAATTATCTTTCTCACGTAGGAGAACATAAACATCCTGAGGGCAAAATCTTTATTCAGTTTTTATTTTACTCATAACACTTAGAACATTGAGTGGCAATTGATGTGTTTGCTAGTCAGGATATTATTCTGGTGAATACTGTTCATTCTATGTAACAAGAAACCACTGATGTATCAGTAGTTTATGAAAGGTTTAGTTTAACTGATGCCACCTATCCAAAACAGGCAAAGCAGTGGGACTTCCCCTTCCTGCGAGTCAGGTAAAATATTTGATACATGTTTTCATAGCCACAGAGATGGGGGGAAACAGAACATGGCAAAGAATGACTGGACTCTATAAAGTTTTATATTCTGGATTAGTCAGAATTTCAACAGAAAACAGTTGGTAAATACAACTAAGAATAATTTGAGGAATGCTTCCATACAAAGGAAGGAGCATGAAAGAATTGTAAGCAATAAATCTGGAACTGGCGCTCAGTGAGGATAAAAACAAAACCTGGAAAAAGAAGGAGTAGAAGATCAGACCACCTGGAGAACAAAAGTAACCTTCTGTAAAGAGACACATGTAGGGAAGACAGCCTCATGGAGAAGAGACCAACAGAATAAACACGAATAAACACCGTGACCCTTTTCTCCTCTTCCTTTCTGCCTTCTTACAGGGTTCTCCACAGGCTGAACCTAACCTGAAGCCAGAGGGTGAGGGAGCCTCCTAATGTACTCGTGAGAAGTCAAAAAAAAAAAAAAAAAAGGCCAATGAGTCAGGAAGAGTGGAAAGGGTTGCATTAGAAGATATTTTACACATTACTTTCCTTTTTTTATGTTACCATTATAAAGTGATATATCTAGAAGCAATCTTGCACAACAATCTTTATCTACATCTCAGATTGTGTAAACTTTATAGCTTACTGTTTCCCTCATGAAAAGTAAAGTATCCCATTGTAAGAGTAAGACAATATACAACTATGTTATATAGTGTTAACTTCTGTTAATTGTTTGTAAGACAAATTATTGGGGTGATTACATGAAATAAGGAGGTCTAAATTAAACTTTCAATGACAGAAAACCAGCAATATATAAGAAACAGAACAAACATTCTTAATGTATTTAATGTATTTCAATCTGTGTATTTAGCATCTACTTATAATTTTTTAAACAATTTAACTCTAGTTTTTAATATAGAGACCATTACACCATTTCTTCTTATATTTTTAAATTACATTTTATATCATCTTTATCATTAGGATAAGCAGGGGAGAAATGTTGAATATATTGATTGATGTATCTGATATATACACTCATGTGCCACATAATTATGTTTTGGTCAATGACAGACCATATATGTATGATGTTGTCCTCATAAGATTCTAATGGCCCTGAAAAATTTCTATCATCCAGTGATATTGTAAGCCACCTAACATTGTAGCAAAATGTATTGCTAGTGTTTGTGGTGATGACGGTGTAAACAAATTTGCTTTTCTTTCAGTGATACTAAAGTACACATGCAATTGTGTGCAGTACATAGTATTAGATAATGATAAACTCTGTTACTGGTTTATGTGTTTTATATATTACAATTTTTATCATTAGAATTACCCCTTCTACTTATGGAAAAACAGTTAAATCTGTACAATAGCCTCAAGCAAATCTTTCAGGAAGTATTACAGAAAGAAGCATCATTACCATAGGAAATAACAACTCCATGAGTGTAATTATCTCTGAAGCCTTTTCAGTGGGACAAGATGTGGAGGTTCAGACAGTAATATTGATTATCCTGACCTCATGTTGACATAGTCTAATGTGTTTGTTTGTCTTTTTTTTGTTTTTTGTTTATTTTTACAAGAAAGGTTTACAACATAAAAGAAAAAAAAAGAAATACCGAAGTGGTTCCCCAAGACACCAATTTAAAGTGTATATGTGCAGTGCAGGGTTACTGGACCAAGGCACAGTGTAAACAGCGAAATTTTATTTTTTGTTTTCTTTTTCCTAAGATGTTCCTTACTCCCAGTTACATAAAAATGTGTATTACAAGCAAACAAAAATTAACAGGAATAGAAATAACTATAAAGTATATTCACATTAAAATCAGCTTTGCTTTATCTATTAAAGGATGTAACACAGTTGTGGTTTTCAGGACCTTGTAACTCCTGGTGAATTGGAAAGCACAGAAATTCTTCAGAGCCTCAAGAGTTGTGTTTAATGCATTATTTAAATAGTGTCCAACCACTAGTTAGATAGCTTAGCACTCAAATAGCTTTTGAAATCTCTGTAGACTCACCTCAATTGAAGAGTCCTGATAATTTACAGAAGTGTGTAGTGCACTAAGAGATCCCTGCTGTACGATGTCTGCCTGTGGAGTGTTTTATGTGTTGATCCACTGGAGTGTGTGTGTGTGTCTGTGTGTACGTGGGTGAGTATGGGTGGGTGTGATTGTGTGTGTGTGTATGTGTTTACATTGTGGTATGTGTCTGTTGGGGTGCCGCCATTAGGGATTTGGAAGAGTGAGGACCATAAACTTGTCAACATTCCTACATGCCTGCTTCATAACAAGTGTACTGAACATGGCCAAAATAACTAAACCAAGTAAACAAATTAGACATTAATTAAATTTAATGCTGGGCAGGAAAGAAGTAGTCAAGGCCAGGTAAAATGAAGAAATATAACCAAGTGAATGAAATTTTTAGATTGATTCGTAGAATGAGACAGGAATATTTTTTAAAATTTGTAATTTCTAATGACTATCAGTATATAAAACTAAGAATTATATGGCTGTCAATTGACTAAAAACTGTACATAAGATTTGAGCTAGTGAAACAACCATATATGAACTTCTATTTCCACTTTTCTGTCTCAAGAATGACTTGTGAAAATGATGTTTTTTTTGAAATTTTACATTCTCATTTTGAAAGAGCTTCACAAAACTTACATGAGAATCTGGATGCTCATAAGAGGTCTGATTTTTTAATGGCATGTTTGTATTTCTGTTATGTTCATCAATGTCAAGCATTCGTTTCCTGAGCTGTTCTCTACAACACAATTTAACTTGTAATGGACACTCAATAAATGGTCGGTTGGATATTCAAATCAACACCTTAGTTCCATCAATTTTCATTTCATATAAAAATGCCTGATCTTCTATACTCACCAATGAAACAGAGAGCGATGAAGGAGGGAGAGCAGTTGAGACTGAGAGGATGACAAGCAGACCTCATTCTGCAGTGGATTTCCTACACTCTCCACTTCTGAATGCTTGGAAACACTTGCCATGCTTAGAAAATATTGGTATTTCCTAGGCAGCAAATGGGAGTTAAAGAAAGTCCATATTTCTATATTGCAATAACTTACACTATAATACACAGACAACATACATTTCTAAGCTATTTCAATTCATAGAAAATGTAGATAAATTTAGGTGAGCAAGGTGTAGGAGAAGGGTTAGTAATCAAGCTGAGTGTGATTGTGAGATTAAATCTAATATTATGCAATTATTGTATAATTGTATCAGTTGACATATCTGTTGAAACAGAAGGTGGGAGAGTTTTGCATGCGCTTCCGAAATGTACTGGATGATGTTAGGAGAGAGGCGGGTCAACGTGGCTAGGCCATAAGTGTTTACTAATTGAGGCTTAGGAAAGTTAAGTTCCTAACCAGAGACTGGGAGATAGAGGCGCTAAATTGTATAACATTTATATTTAATATATATTTAATAATATATAGTAAAGTCTTAAAATGCCAATTTTAAGTCTTTTCATTTTCTTCTTAAAAACAGAGGTTTTATTGCGTTTGGTCCACAGTCGGTATTTCACATTATCTCATAGCGCAGGGCCCCTGGGTGGAGGGCTCTGTGCAGTACTTGGCGTGGCCTGGAGCCGGGAGAGATAGAGCAGTAGACCTGGTCAGGCCCGGAAGGGGAGAAGGAGGGCCGGGGCTCCTTAAGACCTACTGAGGGGCTGGGCGCGGTGGCTCACGCCTGTCATCCCAACACTTTGGGAGGACGAAACAGGCGGATCACATGAGGGAAAGAGTTCCAAACCAGCCTGGCCAACATGGTGAAATCCCGTCTCTACTAAAAATACAAAAAATTAGGCAGGCGTGGTGGTGGGCGCCTGTAGTCTCAGCTACTCTGGAGGCTGAGGCAGGAGAATCGCTTGAGCCCGGTAGGCCGAGGTGCAGTGAGGCGAGATTACTCCAGTGCGCTTCAGCCTGGGCAACAGAGTGAGACTACATCTCAACAAAAACAAAAACAAACAAAAAACCCTACTGAGGGCCACGGAGGTCGGGGAGCAGGATGGAGATGGGTCAGGCTTAACCCTGACAACTCAAAATTCCAGTACCTTGTATGGGCCTCAGTTTCCTCACGGGGCCCCAGCGTAGGTCTGAGGTCTGTTGGTCTGAGGGTCCTAGGGAAATCCAGCCACTCAGGAGCCTGAGATATTTTAGCATCATGGCTGAGCCCCCTCTCCCAGGGGACACACTTCCTAGCACCCTCTCCACTGTCCCCGCCCCATTCCTCGGGGAAAAAAATTTTTTTTTATTTTGTTAATACTTCCTGAAACTTTTGCAGGTACAGAAACCACTTACTGATAGGCTGAGAAAAGGGGAAGAGGAGAGGCAACCAGAAACCTTCAGGGACCGGTTCCCTCCATGTCCAGGTCTCTTCTCTCCAGCACAGCTCAGCCTACAGCCTGGAAGTGCCAGCGGGCACCTTCACCCTACACGCATCAGGATACGGCCTTGATCCCTTCCCCCACAGCCCGGTGGCTCAGTCCTGAGAAGGAACCAAAGCAGGGGGAGGTGGGGAAAAAACCCTGCTGCCTGATCCCACGCTGCCACTCACAGACCCTCGGTTGACTGGCAGCACTGAACAGGTTAAAAAAAAAAAAGATGAAAACACAGAAAAACCCAAACACCCAGAGGGGAGATCATGTGTGGAGAGAGCGTGCTGGGAGCCTCAGTAGCCGGTCTCCTCCTGGTAGTAAGGGAGATATTCCGGGGCCGGAGCCCGAGGGAGCGCCGTGGGCCACTGGGCTTCCCCAGTAGTACCTGGGGTCGTATATCTGTGGGCCCATGCCGAAGGCCTGGCCGCTCTGATGAGCGCCCTGTGTGTATCCCATCTTCAGGGACGTGGAGGAGTTGTCACACTTGTCGATTCCCAGCTTGGTGTCATAGGTGTGCTCATTACTCCTATCTAGCTGTAAGTTTGTATTTGTTAACCAACCTCTCCCTGTGCTCTTCTCCCTGTTGCTCTCCCCAGCCTGTAATAACCAGAATTCTACTCTCCACTTCCATGAGCTCAGTTCGTTTTTTTTTAACTCCCACATATGAGTGAGAACATGCAAGATTTATAATTCTGTGCCTAGGTTATTTCACTTAATGTAGTGTTCCAGGCTGATCCATGTTGCAGCCAAGGACAGGATTTCATTATTTTTACGGTTAAATAGTACTCCACTGTGAATAGATACTACATTTTTAATCTATTATGTTTTTGGACATTTAGGTTGATTCTAATCTTGGCTACTGTGAATAGTGGCTGCTATAAACATGAGGGTGCAGGTATCTCCTAAATATGCTGATTTCCTTTCCTGTAGATAAATGCCCCATAGTAGGACTGCTGGAAAAAAAAAAAATTCTTTTTCTTTAAACCTGATCATGTCTGTCCTCATAAATGCATGTTACACCCATCTCTCGCCATCAATGCAACCCGACCCCGAGCAGTTGTTCACTCTTCTCTTCCCTCGTTCTCGGCACACCGTGTGCCTCCATACCCCAGCCTCAGGCCTTTCTATACCACTTCCCATTTGAGGCACTGTGTTTTTATTCAACTTTGGTACTGTCCTTTGAGAATCTTCAACGTGATTTGGATATGGCACTTTTTATCAGGATGTTACGTCAGAGTTGATAAATTCAAAGTAATATCGTTCTTTTTCCTGCCAAAGTCAGCTCCTCCTTTCCACTGCACTTTCCTGCCGATGCCACCACTCTTTCTCCTGTTGTGTAGGGAGAACACAGGTCACCTCCCTGGCATGAAATGTGCAGGTGCTCAATAAAGATTTTTTGAATACATGAATGAATGTTCTTAGAGGACACCCTTGTACCTGGACTGGTCATTACATAGGTGTAAGTTTTATTCTCTAAAAGGGGTGAGTGAGAGTTTATACTAAGGTTGTAAGCATCCCTCAGGGCAGACTCTGGATGTATATTACAGAACTGCTGAACTTGTGGAATGTGCATGTTTAATACTGAAAATATTTAATGCCACATGTGTAAGACTTTTGCCAACTGGAATCTGAACATCAACAATTTTGAAGGGCTTATTCTACCTTCTCAGCACAAAAATACTTTCTACGAATGCACATATTTATGTGCAAATGTATAGAAAATTAACTTTAAAGTGTACAACAAATTTATTTTAGCAATTGGGCCTGGGGGACCTAGAAGGAGAATGAGATTGGAGTGGTAGGGGTGGAACATTAGCTAATAATGATTTATTTTATTAAAGTAATTACTGAAAAACAATGCAATAAAATATTAACATGTTAATTGAAGGGGTTGGGAGTATAGTGCTTATATTCTTCTTTACATGTTTTAATATCTTTAAAATTCCTTTTTTTGCTTTTGCTAAGGAAGTCACAGTTTAATTGGCAGTATATCTCTAATGGTACATGAAATAATGTCTGATTTCTAAACATTGACATTCTACATTAGATGAAATATATTAACTATTAAGCTTTGATATTACACTATAAAATTAATTGAAGAAAGCCACTCCTCTTTGTTTCTTTTTTTTTTTAGTTATTATGTGCCCCATGTGATCTGCGGGAGTTTTTTTTCTAGGCTTTGATCATTTTAAATAAAATCAGAATTTGTTCAAGTTCAGTTAACACTCAGCTGTGAACCCTATGGTACTGGGGTCTTTTTCAATGGGAGATCTCTAAGCATTATTCCAAACTATTCTATGCTAATTGATCTATTGATAATTTATAATTTATTATGAAATACATTAAATTTCTTAAAAAGAAAAAGGAAAGAAGTAAAGGGAAACATTTATTACAATTTAAATAAAGGAATTAGCAGTTGAAAACAAGAAAACCTATTCTGAGCATCCATACTTCTCGGCAACCAAAACAATCAATGAAATCAATGCATTGGGTTAAACAGTTCCCAATTGCCCACTATGTTACCAGGAGGAAAAAACCCTTTATCATAGGGTTAAACTTTGGGAAGGATTTTCCATAAGGATCTTAATATAAAGGTTCTTGAATGACATAATGTATAAGGTCTTTGATAGCAACGCTACCCACAGTGCAAAGATGTTTTACTAGTCCTGTTGGTGTCTCAAATTGGCTCTCGGTAAGTAATCTGGACATATCGTGAAATTATAATTCTGTGTAGACAATTCGACTTACCAGGTTAGAGTGATGCAATCCAAATAGATGGCTTTCTTCTGATCTGGCTTAACAGAAATCTTGAAAAATCTGGAGGAGTAAATGTTTAATATACCCTCACTTGTCAACCATTCTTCTTCCCCTGAAAGACAACACCACAGGCAGGACTTCCTCCCAAGTGTACACGCAATATTATGTACAGTTCCCACGTGAGAAAGCACATCATAATCTTAGTGAGAATGATGTTCTCATAAGGTCAGTTATACTCAGTGTGCATAGTTGTCCAAGTGTGAGTATGAAACCAAGTCATTCACAAGTACCACTAGTCTGATTATTAGTAATAATAATCCACTTGTGACATAGTTTTTCTTTGCTGAAATAAAATATTGTTTTGACACCATGGTTGAAATGTTGGTCTTAGGTCAATGCTCTCTATTATCTGTTGTTGTTGCAAAGCCTCTGAGAGGTGTTTTATGTGGGGCAAAAGGTCCCTTCCTGTGTCTTTGGTCAAAGCAAAGGAGGAGTACAGATGACTGAGAGAGTGATCACGCTGCTGTGCCCACCTATGCGGTAGACCTTGTTCCTGGGTTGGGAGATGTTTTATGATCAGGGTGCAGTAGAAAGAGCACACTAGTAGCAGTAAAGAGAGGTGACCCTGGCTGCAGTTCTGCCTCTAACTTCCTGAGTGACCTAGGCTAGTCACACAGTGACTGCTCCCCACATTTCTTTTTGTAAGCTGCAAGGATTGAATCAGACAATAGCCTCTAAGTTTCTTCTGAACTCTCATACTCAGGGATGCCAACGATGTTGGTAATAAAATAGTATGAACATGCCAAAAAAATAAAAATAAGGAAGAGAAATAGGTATGTAACTTTACTCTGGGACTCCTGTGGTATCTCACAACACCATGTTTCATGAACCCCAAAGAAAGCAAAAAATCCAGCTAGTGTTATAAATCCTGATCAGCTGAATTCTTTCACATGTTGCAGCCTGACTCAAGTTATTCATCACAGAGGCTAGCAGCTCCCTGATGCATCCTTCCTTGTCTCTGGACAGGGTAAAAATAAGAAATTGGCCATTGTGAGACACTCTGAGTTTCATGGGATTGAGCAGAGCATATTTTATATTCTTCTCTTGGAACTGCCTCTTGTTGGTAGTAAATCGTTGCCAGCACTGTTGTTTCTCAATAGACAAGTCCTAGAAATAAAGATAATTCAATTTTCATTCACTCTTAGCTCTTCTGCTACCAGTGTTCTTCTTTGACACTGACAGGGCTGCACCTGTCTCCCTGGCCTGACATAGCACTTGTATGGTTTGCCACTTGCCAGAAAATCCACGAGTCATTCTAAAGACCTTTTGCCCAGCAGAGACCACTCCAGTGAGCACAAATTGTCTAGTGGTTTTTTTAGATGGTCTTCCTCCTTGGCTCATTTCTCTCCAAGAACGAAGATATCAAGGTGTTCATTTAACAGCAGCTCCTGAAAGACAATCCAGCTTGGTTTAAATCTTTAACGGTTTTCATTATAATAGAAAATATAATAGCAACAGTAGCATCCTCTGTTACATTGAAATTAAATTGCAATTCTTTCACTGTTGGGGTGGCAAGTATAATTCCTATCACTTCTTTGGAAAGCAATACAATTTACTAAAGATCACCAAAATGTTTATACTTTTTGGAACCAAAAACCTCACTGAAAAATTTTATTCCAAGAGTATGATTCAACAGAAAAAAAAAAAGTAATATACATGTGCATGTTTCTCCCTGTGAAAACAACAGCACAGAATTTACTAGACAAGTTTTGAAACAGTTGGCTATGTGGTAACGTGGAACAACATTCTCCTATAATGTTGAAGGATAAAAGCTTAGAGAATAGAATATATTCTATGACTGCAACTATGAAAGAAAACATAGATCTACATAGGGACAAAGATGATAAACATGCGAAAACAGGTGTTAGATTCATGGATTATGTGTATTTTTCCTGCATTCAAATTTATCTTTATTATTGCTTTTTTATGTTCCCCTCTCCTCCCCCGAAAAAATCCTAAAGATCTTGAATATGCCCCTGTCAGTATTTAACATTTCTTCTGAAACTGAGTCTAGATACTCAATCTGCTCCAGTTTTTTGAACAAGATGAGTAGCAAGGTTATTCTTTCCATTTTTTTGTTTGTTTGTGTTTTTTGTTTGTTTGTTTTTTGTTTTTTTTACAGCCAGACACAGGTCTTGAATTGTACAGCTGACTGCTTTGTTTGGGATACGTTACTTTCAATCATTTTCCTGATCCTCTGCATGATTTACAGAAGCCGAGTGGGTAGCTTTAGCATTTCCATGGTCCTCCCTCTCCACTATCATGACATTCTTAGGTGAACTTTTTTTAGAGCCATTATTCTCCATTTACAAAGGCAGAATGCAGTGGCAGGAGCTGGGACTCTGGGAAACCAACAGCCAAGAATTCAAACTACAGCATACTATGAAACACTCAGATAAGATGTCCCCATCATATTCTATTATTGGGCAAAATAAAAGGTAAACCATGTGCTCAAAACAGCAAATATTGTGGGTGACAGTGACACTGGTATTCGGAAAGATGAAGAGATGCAATTAAGAAACCTGGCAAAGAAGTAAACATGCCATGTAGCTTACAAAAGACCAGCCACATTGTGTGTATTTTAATATTGTTTAACAGTAACACCTAATAAAGAGAGCATCATGATTGTGTGAACTACATTTTCGGTCATAATGAATGCTACAAAATTAACCTCCCAAGTTTAAACAGGCTACAACGTCTTGGGAAATATGCAAGAAGAATTATTTGATAAAGGTGACAGTTTTTCACACCTGAAAATGATTTTCTCCCAGCCTATCTTGATCAACAGCCAGCAGCAACACATTGCAGATATAATCTCAAGACCTTGTGGCATGTACTTCTCACTACATGCATAACTTACTATGGACAGAGGATCATGGAGATTTTGAATATAATTTCCCACATGACAGGAGATTAAATAGACCACATTGGAAGAAGCTAGGTCTCTGGAGAACCAAAAAGTAAACTTCAGTCAGTTCTGGAAGCAGATAAACAGTAGGAAATATACTTTCAGATGGGCTACTTTCTCAATAGTTCTTTCTTGCAAGAGCTCTAGGGAAAGTATGAGTTACTGGGTAAGAATGTAATAGAAAAGGGGCCAGCCTTGGAAAACTTTGCAATGGAAGAAAATCAGTGTCTCCTCATTTACATCTTTCTTTCTCCTCTTCCTTTGTAATGCCACCTTTCTTGGGATATTCCTTCCCCTAGAATACCCTGCCTGTCACCCCACGAGAACCTGCTCTTGAGACTGCATTTCTAATACCTATAATGAGATGTTATGTCAATGCCTTATCTCTCAGTGTGTGTATATACATATTAAGCTTTCTGTCTATGTTGTGCTTTCTCATGCAGGAATATCAGACATTAATGAACCAGTAAAGAAGATACTGAGGAGCAGAAGAGTTTTCCCAGTGTCCCGGGAGCCATTCTACACAGCATCCTACAGAATGACTGTGGATCTGCTGTGCTTAGTTTCTTTACTTGTGAAAACAGAGTAATAGTAGCACCTACCTCACAGGGTTGTTCTGAAGATTAGAGGGGTTCTTTCATGGGAAGCTCTAGAGCAGTGCTTGAGACATGGTAAGTGTTCAACATGTGTTCATTATTATTATCATTATCAATATTTGATGTAAAAGCCTTTCTGAAAGAAATCACACAAGAACATGATCAGTTAAAAGATATATATGAATGAAAGTATGTTTGGCGCTGTCACAACACAGAGTGGCATAATGGTTAGGAACATAGGCTTTGGAAGTCAACCATCTGTGCTCAAAGCCTAGTGTCACCACACAGCCATTGTGGGACACTGGGCCTCAGATTTCTAGCCTGAAAAATGGGGGAACAATGTCTGTCATATAAAGTTGCTGTAAAGATCAAACTAGATAAGAAATGTAAAATACTCAACAGTGCCTGACACAAAATAAACACCAATTAATGGTAGCAGGAAGAAAAGAGCACTCTTCACCAACATTTTACCTTCAGAAATTGGTTAAGAAGAAATGAGTGCTTAGGAACCTTCCTGTTAGAGCTGGGAACACAAATAACCCCAAGATATGACCCAACTGAGAAAAGAGATACGAGAGTCAGCAGGTCTCAGGACTCGAGAACATATCATAGATCTGGGGCCAAGGGGACCTCCCAATACCTCAGTCTTGAATTAGCCAGATGTGCCTTTCAGTCCTTGGCTGAGCTGGACTGAGGCCTCCTCCAAAGGGAGAAATAAATGCGCATCCTGAAGAGAGCTGACTCTGAAAGAGAGAGAAACCCACAGAGGATGAGTTTCACCAGTACAGCACATTCCTCAGTTAAGTCATTTCTCTTCCCAAGGGGAGGACTGAATGAGCTTATGGTGAGAGGCCAAAAGCTTTTCTCCTTTGTTTTTCCCTCATGGGAGAGGATGGAAGTGCTATCCTTTCTGTGGGAACCTGCAGACTATGGTCGTTTCCCCCAGCAGTTGGCATTGACTGATTTATCTGCATGTTTCTCTGTTCACATCCTCTATATGAAGAATCGAAGTGGGAATAGCCCCCAAGTAATCTGATAGTACCAAAGCACTATTCTAGTTTTGTATAATTTTTAAGTCTCTTCTTTAAATTTTTTTTTGCAGACTCCATCCCAGACACAGCATACCAGAGTCTCCAAAGGGCTAAGCTCAGCAATCTGTTCTCAAGCTCCCAACAGGAGTCTTATATAGTCAGGCAGGCAATGATCATATATGGGGACCATTAGAAATAATCTAATGCATACCCTCTGAACTTCAAATTTTTAGTATTCTCATTTTCTGCTCAAGCTCAATTTCAACACAGTTCACAGTTTCTCATATCCACCATGGCATTCTGCCAAGGAACTACAACTCGTGTTCTCTAAACCCATCTGTTCTAAGAATGCTGGGCTGGTTATCAATTTCTAATGTACCTGCTTAAACTTTCCTCTCTCAATATGTCCCTGACTGAACTGCAGAAGACAGAACAACTGTACTAGCCATCTCTTTCTGCATATCCCATGTCCCCACAGAGGCCACTGTGTCTTCATAAAGCTAACTGACACGATTTTCACAAGTGATATTTTTCCTTCATGATTTTCCATTTTCTACTTGAGCATTAAAATACCAGGGAGAAAAGGAAGATAATCGTTTAGCAGCTGGGAAAATAAGATATGTGCCCCAGCACAGTACATGCTAAGTATTCAGAATGTATAGTTATAGTAGATAACTATAAATTAGATAACTATTAAAATAGTTATATTAGATAAGTAATATTTTTCTCATCTTCAAGACTTAAAAAGTTAACTGTTTTAAGTGGTATTCAAAAAAGGAAGGTACTCACTCACATCAACCCTATTGAAACCACATTTCTATAGCTGGATGTAACAATCTTAATCCAAATCATTCACCAAAGTTGTTTAACTTTCTTAAAGTAAGGCTCTAGACATTTGCTTCTTTACAAGTATCTTGCAAAGCCATTATGAGGTAGAAGAAATGTTTAAATGCGCCACATTTTCCTACTGCATTGTAACTAAAATTACTACTCACAGGACGTGTATAGCTTCTGCATTTTGGTCCATCACATTTTCCGCCATCAAATGAGTGTATTCTTAAGGTTCTCACTTTATCATCAGCATAACATATTTTGCTTCCAGAATGCCCAGTAAAGCTGAAATTTTTCATTTAAAGTGATAAAAAAGTTCCCCAAATATCTACTTAACAATCTTAGATCTGAGTTTTAGCAAGACAGTTTAATGCATACACAATGAAAACACTATATTTCTCATTCTCTCTCACATGCACAGATTAAAACCCCAAAGTTTTCACTATATTTCCTCTTTCTTATACAGCTCAATTTTTAACATGCAGCTTCCTTATAATCTAAAAACAATTTTAAATATGATTATCATAAAAATATTTTAAAACAGAGATGAAATGTGTAAAGGCAGATATAGATCATCCATGGTTACATTGGTTACATCACATTTCTTTAGAAACAGAACTGTTTCTACTCCTGTAGACAAACCTCTCTCACACATTTAAAGTGAGGTTAGTGCTGACATAAAATTATTGCTCTACTCACCATCTGAGTGTTTGCACTGTGTTTGAGGTACATTTTCTTCATTTTCACAGCTCCACCACTCTTGAGAGTATGAGTCAACAGAAGTTTGCAGGCTAAAACCATTCAATAATATTTTCATCAATACTGGAATGATAGTAAGTAACATTACACAACATCAGAGGCCAAAAATTTTTCTTTGTTGAAGCCCAAGATTTTAACTTATTCTTCATTACCTGAAAATACTGCTCATTTAACCTCTTCAGGAAAAAAAAAAATTCTGTAGATGAATAATTCCTGCCTTAATGCTTCACCCAAGACAGTTCCTTCATACTTATCCTCCGATGCTTTGTTCTTTTCATCCATTTGATGTAGCAGGCAACAAGAATCACCTTTCCTTTGGTGATCTGACATAGCGATCTCTTATGTTTTTGCTAATTGTTTGATAAATATTTAGTAAATTTTTCCACGGTATGTATGCACTATTTTTTGTAGTTCCAATTCTAAAGGTTTTATTAATGAATGAATATTGTCATCTTAAAAGAACAATTTCTGAGTGCTTCAAAAACAGCTCTAAATGCTGGTTGCTTATCATCATGGTAAACACCTCTGTTCCCGTGAAAAATAAAGATTCCTTCTTCTGCTTCTTGGCAACTGCTTCCATATAGACAATGATCTGGACGACACTTCCATTGACACAGAAAGACAAAAAGGCTTTCTGGATTATGAAAAAACAGGATATCCAACAGATCTTGATCGCCCATGTAATGTTTAACTTGTATATTTTAAGCCATGTCATAAGTATATCTCCTCATTGTAGTCATACAGTTGTCATATTATTCTTGAAATACTTCCTTCTCATTCAAGTCATGTTTGTCAACATAACTCCAGAGTTTACTCCAGCTTTTCCACACTATGGATGCCTAGCAAAGCGACTATACCATCCTATTTGACATTCCTTGTGTTCTGGGGCCATTTCAGAATTTGTGTGGAATTAAATTTCTTTAGTAAAGACCAAATATTATCAGCTGGTCTTTTAAAAAGGCTATCAGTGTGAGAGTCAACTTCTTTCAGGAATAACGGCAAGGACAATCTCTGCAAACTACATGGTTTAAAGAGTTTTTCCACTCTGCTGCATTCTCACTTGGAAAGGTTATGGAGTATACTGTATAATTAAATATTTGTAGGAATGACCCCTGTCAAGCCTTCCTTTAAAGCTATGATGTAGTTGATCTTCAGCAAAAATCTGGAATTGAAGAGGTTTGATCCTGAAAATAATAGCTGACTTCAACATGGTCATAGTTTCTTCCAGTCTTTCACTTAGATACATTTTCTCAACGGGCTGTATTTTCAGACTACACCTGTCCCACCTGCGGGGATGCGCAGCGGGACAAGCGCTGTTCGCGCCTCTCACCGCACCGCATCCGCCTCCCGCCAGCCACGAAGCCACTGCGGCCTGCGGCTTCCAGCCACCACTGCCCGCTCCTTCCTCCGGGGACACGGGGAGCTGGCTGAAGGCGTAAAGGAGCGAGCAGAAGCCTCAGGCCAGACACAGAGCCACCACGCACGGTAGCGCCGCATGGCCCCAGCGGCGTTCCTCGGTCTCCGTCTCCGCCGCGCCCGCCTGGCGAACTGGAGCACAGGGACCATAGTTCTGGAAATTTATCCTTTTTCTCTCCAAGGATTCAGCAGCAGTGTCTAAAAGAAAAAAATTCATCAATCAATCATTTATATATGTTTTAATATAAAGATATAAAACAGTGGAACCAGTGGAACTGGATAGAAAGTAATTCAGTTTTACAGAACACATCTGTTTTTCAGGCTCTTACTTTTCTTAAACATAAAAGAGCCATATATATTTCTATGGAATTCCCCTTTTACTTAAGAATTCATTATCAGCGAATTAGTGTAACGAGGCTGTTTTGTTAGAGGCTGTGGTTGCATTCAAAAATTAGAATAGGAACAACGACTTGTAAAAATTCAACACTTTATTTTATTTTTGAGACAGTCTCACTGTGTTGTCCAGGCTGGAGTGCAGTGGCTTGATCTCAGCTCACTGCAACCTCCCCCTCCAGGATTCAAGACATTCTCCTGCCTCAGCCTCCTGAGTAGCTGGGATTACAGATTTGTGCCACCATACCTGGCTAATTTTTGTATTTTTAGTAGAGAAGGGGTTTCACCATGTTGGCCAGGCTGGTCTTGAACTGCCAACCTCAGGCGATACTCCCCCCTCAGCCTCCCAAAGTGCTGGGAGTACAGGCGTGATTTAACATTTTAACATTTTAAACTACCACTTACTACATTCACTGTGTCTGTGATTTAATATACCTTTTTCAGTGGCCACAAAATTATAAAATGGATACAGAATAGTCTCTTCAAAAAATTAAGGAAGTTCTTTCTTTTTTCTTTTTCTTTTTCTTTTTTTTTCTTTTTTTTTTTTTTTGGTTTGAGACGGAGTCTTGCTCTGTCGCCCAGGCTAGAGTGCAGTGGCACAATCTTGGCTCACTGCAACCTCCGCCTCCCGGGTTTAAGGAATTCTCTGCTTCAGCCTCCCAAGTAGCTGGGATTACAGGCGCCCGCCACCAAGCCCAGCTAATTTTTTTGTATTTTTAGTAGAGACGAAGTTTCACCATCTTGGCCAGGCTGGTCTTGAATTCCTGACCTCATGATCAGCCCGCCTCGGCCTCCCAAAGTGCTGGGATTACAGGCGTGAGCCACAGCGCCCGGCCGGAAGTTCTTTCTTCTTGAAAGGATTATAAATATAATTCATACTGGCATGACACTTTTACTAATATAGATTGACTTTTCGCTTCAAATAACCCATTCGTATATTGAAATTAATTTTGGTCAGTATGTGTGTGTGTGGATGTATGTGTGTGTGGATGTGTGGATGTAAATGGCAGTAAAGGGTAAAAGGGAAGGTGGAAAAAAGGGAGATGGTCTAACATTTTCCACACATTTTTAAATACACAAAATGTATATTTAACACAATACACATACAATAAAATATGTAGTAAAACAATGGTGTGGTGAAAACAAAACATTGCGAACTAGAAAAAAGACTTAGCCGCTGGTCCTGTCGGATCCGCCCCGCGGCGGCGCCCTCCAGCCATAAGCTCCACGCAGTTCAACAAGGGCCCCTCCTACAGGCTCTTGGCGGACGTCCAGAACAGGCTTCTGCCCAAATATGACTCCCAGAAGGAGGCAGAGCTCCGCAGCTGGATCAAGGGATTCACTGGCCTCTCCATCCTCCCCGACTTCCAGAAGGGCCTGAAGGACGGGATTATTTTATGCACACTCGTGAACAAACTGCAGCCGGGCTCAGTCCCCAAGATCAACGGCTTCCGTGTAGAACTGGCACTAGCTAGAAAACCTCTCCAACTTCCTCAAGGCAATGGTCAGCTACGGCATGATCCCGTGGACCTATTTGAGGCCAACGACCTGTTTGAGAGTGGGAACAATATGCAAGTGCGGGTGTCTCTTCTCGCCCTGGCAGGGAAGGCCAAGACTAAGGGGCTGCGGAGCGGGGTGGACATCCGTGACAAGTACTCAGAGAAGCAGAACTTCCACGACACCACCATGAAGGCCAGCCAGTGTGTCATCCGGCTGCAGATTACCAACAAATGTGCCAGCCAGTCAGGCATGACCGCATATGGCACGAGGAGGCATCTCTACGACCCCAAGAACCGCATCCTGCCCCCCATGGACAATTCGACCATCAGCCTCCAGATGGGTACAAACAAGTGCGCCAGCCAGGTGGGCATGAAGGCTCCCGGGACCCAGCGGCACATCTATGACACCAAGTTGGGAATCGACAAGTGTGAGAACTCCTCCATGTCCCTGAAGATGGGCTACACGCAGGTTGCCAATCACAGCGGCCAGGTCTTTGGCCTAGGCCGGCAAATATACGAACCCAAGTACTAGCCGGGTGGCCCAGTGGCCCACGGGGCTCCCTCCGCCGGCAACTGCCCAGGGCCAGGGGAGGCCCCTTACTACCAGGAGGAGACCGGCTACTGAGGCTCCCAGCACGCTCTCTCCACACATGGTCTCCCCGTCTGGGTGTTGGGTTTTTCTGTGTTTTCATCTTTTTTTTTTTTAACCTGTTCAGTGCTGCCAGTCAACCGAGGGTCTGTGAGTGGCAGCGTGGGATCAGGCAGCAGGGTTTTTTCCCCACCTCCCCTTGCTTTGGTTCCTTGGCAGGACTGAGACACCGGGCTGTGGGGGAAGGGATCAAGGCCGTATCCTGATGCGTGTAGGGTGAAGGTCCCCGCTGGCACTTCCAGGCTGTGGGCTGAGCTGTGCTGGGGAGAAGAGACCTGGGCATGGAGGGAACCAGTCCCCGAAGGTTTCTGGTTGCCTCTCCTCTTCCCCTTTTTGTCAGCCGATCAGTTTGTGGTTTCTGTACCTGCAAAAGTTTCAGGAAGTATTAACAAAAGAAAGAAATTTTTTTCTTCTCCGAGGAATGGGGCGGAGACAGTGGAGAGGGTGCTGGGAAATGAGTCCCCTGGGAGAGGGGGCCCAGCCACGATGCTAAAATATCTCAGGCTCCTGAGTGGCTGGATTTCCCTAGGACCCTCAGACCAACAGACCTCAGACCCTCAAACCTATGCTGGGGCCCGGTGAGGAAACTGAGACCCGTACAAGTTAGTGGAATTCTGAGTTGCCAGGATTAAGTCTGACCCCTCTCCATCCTAGTTCCTCCACCCCCGTGGCCCTCAGTAGGGTTTTTTGTTTGTTTTTGTTTTTGTTTTTTTTGAGATGCAGTCTCACTCTGTCGCCCAGGCTGAAGCACAGTGGAGTAATCTCGCCTCACTGCACCTCAGCCTCCCAGCTTAAGCGATTCTCCTGCCTCAGCCTCCAGAGTAGCTGAGACTACAGGCGCCCACCACCACGCCTACCTAATTTTTTGTATTTTTAGTAGAGACGGGATTTCACCATGTTGGCCAGGCTGGTCGGGAACTCTTTCCCTCATGTGATCCGCCTGTTTCGTCCTCCCAAAGTGTTGGGTTGACAGACGAGAGCCACCGCGCCCAGCCCCTCAGTAGGTCTTAAGGAGCCCCGGCCCTCCTTCTCCCCTTCCGGGCCTGACCAGGTCTACTGCTCTATCTCTCCTGGCTCCAGGCCACGCCAAGTACTGCACAGAGCCCTCCACCCAGGCGCCCTGCGCTATGAGATAATGTGAAATACCGACTGTGGACCAAACGCAATAAAACCTCTGTTTTTAAGAAGAAAATGAAAAGACTTAAAATTGGCATTTTAAGACTTTATTATATATTATTAAATATATATTAAATATAAATGTTATACACTTTAGCGCCTCTATCTCCCAGTCTCTGGTTAGGAGCTTAACTTTCCTAAGCCTCAATTAGTAAACACTTATGGCCTAGCCACGTTGACCTGTCTCTCTCCTAACATCATCCAGTACATTTCGGAAGCGCATGCAAAACTCTCCCACCTTCTGTTTCAACAGATATGTCAACTGATACAATTATACAATAATTGTATAAGATAATATTAGATTTAATCTCACAATCACACTCAGCTTGATTACTAACCCTTCCCTTACATCTTGCTCACCTAAATTTATCTACATTTTCTGTGAACTGAAATTGCTTAGAAATGTATGCCATCTGTGTATTATAGTGTAAGTTATTGTAATATAGAAATATGGACTTTCTTTAACTCCCATTTGCTGCCTAGGAAATACCAATATTTTTTGAGCATGGCAAGTGTTTCCAAGCATTCAGAAGTGGAGAGTGTAGGAAATCCACTGCAGAATGAGGTCTGCTTGTCATCCTCTCAGTCTCAACTGCTCTCCCTCCTTCATCTCTCTGTTTCATTGATGAGTATAGAAGATCAGGCATTTTTATATGAAGTGAAAATTGATGGAACTAAGGTGTTGATTTGAATATCCAACCGACCATTTACTGAGTGTCCATTACAAGTTAAATTGTGTTGTAGAGAACAGCTCAGGAAACGAATGCTTGACATTGATGTACATAACAAAAATACAAACATACCATTAAAAAATCAGACCTCTTATGACAATCCAGATTCTCATGTGAGTTTTGTGAAGCTCTTTCAAGATGAGAATGTAAAATTTCAAAAAAAATCATTTTAACAAGTCATTCTTGAGATAGAAAAGTGGAATTAGAAGATCATATATGGTTGTTTCACTAGCTCAAATCTTATGTACAGTTTTTAGTCAATTGACAGCCATATGATTCTTATTTTATATGCTGTTATTCATTAGAAACTACAAATTTTAAAAAATATTCCTGTCTCATTCTATGAATCAATCTAAAAATTTCATTCATTTGGTTATATTTCTTCATTTTACCTGGCCTTGACTACTTCTTTCCTGCCCAGCATTAAATTTAATTAATGTCTAATTTGTTTACTTGGTTTAGTTACTTTTGGCCATGTTCAGTACACTTCTTATGAAGCAGGCATGTAGGAATGTTGACAAGTTTATGGTCCTCACTTTTCCAAATCCCAAATGGCGGCACCCCAACAGACACATACCACAGTGTAAACACATACACACACAATCCACGCCCACCCATACTCACCCACCTACACACAGACACACACACACACACACTCCAGTGGATCAACACATAAAACACTCCACAGGCAAAGACATTATCCATCAGGGATCTCTTAGTGCACTACACACTTCTGTAAATTATCAGGACTCTTCAATTGAGGTGAGTCTACAGAGATTTCAAAGGCTATTTGAGTGCTAAGCTATCTAACTAGTGGTTGGACACTATTTAAATAATGCGTTAAACACAACTCTTGAGGCTCTGAAGAATTTCTGTGCTTTCCAATGAACCAGGAGTTACAAGGTCCTGAAAACCACAAGTGTGTTACATCCCTTAATAGATAAAGCAAAGCTGATATTAATGTGAATATACTTTATATTTACTTCTATTCGTGTTAATTTTTCTTTGCCTGTAATATACATTTTTATATAATGGGGAATAAGAAACATCTTAGGAAAAAGAAAACAAAAAATAAAATTTCGCTGTTTACACTGTGCCTTGGTCCAGTAACCCTGCACTGCACATATACACTTTAAATTGGTGTCTTGGGGAACCACCTCGGTATTTCATTTTAATAGCGCATCCTGGAGAATATATTTGAGTGGATCACATATTACAACTGATTTAAATTTTGACCCATATAGAAATGTTTTCAAAAATATGTCTGAAGCCTGGATACTGTAAAAATGTTTATCATCATAGAATAATAAAAGGCTAGCCATTAGTTACTCAGAAATTGTTCAGTAAATCTAAGATGACTTAGACACAAATAGTTATGAGTGAATATAGTTCATCATTAATGTTTGTAAAAATTAATGCTGTCTTTTATGGTTGAGAAAAACTAGAAATGTAACTTAACTTGATAGAGATAAATGACATAAACTTTACATAAAGCAAGAGAATAATAGATGTGTAAAAATGTTTTGTAGATAAGATTTTAAGATGAAATTGTGCTGAACGACATGAATCAAATGTGTTTTGCATACTACATCTGCAGCTACAACATCACAGCCTTTTAAGTATTTCGTTAACTTCAAAATGTAACTTATTGCTGAAACAATCTGATTTAATGAATTGGGATAACGGGTAATGATTGGTGTCAGCTGAAAGCAATGCTACACTTTTAAAGTTAGATTTCTTTGTGTATTAATACAAACACCAGAGAAGATGGTCAATAAAGTAATTACTGTACAATGCCTATCATAATACTTAAACCTGGAAGAAAATCAGTAAATGTTAAGTGAATAGAATTGGTGAATTGCTTCCATTTTATACAATTTTTTGTTCATTTTAGGGCTTACCAAAACTTGCAGCTCTGAATAAGGCCCAATTATTTACTCCTTCAAATAAAACAAGACTGCAAGAATAAGGGTGAATGCTTTGTTTTGTTTTGTTTTTCACTGAAATATTCCAGTCTGTAGCAGCTCCAAATCACACTGATCTTTCTAGAGTCTGATACAGGTCCTGGTCTCAAGGCCAGTGTTACCATAATCACCATCTTTTGTGCTTCAAGGTTGAGCCCTCCTAATTTACCTGCATGAAATTGGAAAAGTCCCGTTTCATACTTTAAGCAACCTAGATGTCTCTTTCACTGAAAGTGGTATTCTTCTTGTGTGTCTTTTTTTTTGCAGCAAATGATGTCAACTTCTACCTACACCTGACATCTCAATTAATTTTTGACATTTTGTTCTTCACATTTCCATTTCAAATCACCAAGTATTGTCAGATTTTACCTTCTCTCTATTTCTTGAATGAATTTTTCTCTTTCTATCTTCATTGCCATCATGGATTCCAGCCCATCACTCTCTCACCTGGGCTATGGTGAGCACCTCTAAAGTGCTCTCCCTGATTCTCTCTCCAAAAATGGTTCTGTGTTATATCTGGAATGATTACTTGAAATGTAAATACAATTTGCATTGTAAATTGCTTTGCTTAAAAACTCCCAAAGACTTCACATTAGTACAGGATAAATAGCAAGAGTCCAAAAATGGGTTCAAGCAGTACAAAATTTGTTTCCTTTCTCTTTCCCCCCTCTTGTGGCATGAACATTGTTGAACTAAATGATTCAGATGTATTTCTTCTTGTCTCCTGGACTTTGGTCTTCTTACTCATATGCTTTTCCCACTACCATCCCAGATTTATATAATTAGCTCTTACTGGGTTTTTTTTGTTTGTTTTTTTTGAGATGGAGTCTTGCTCTGTTGCCCAGGCTGGAGTGCAGTGGTGTGATCTCAGCTCACTACAAGCTCCACCTCCCAGGTTCATGCCATTCTCCTGCCTTAGCCTCCAAAGTAGCTGGGACTACAGGCGCCTGCCACCTCACCTGGCTAATTTTTTTTTTTTTTTTTGTATTTTTAGTAGAGACAGGGTTTCACAGTGTTAGCCAGGATGGTCTCGATCTCCTGACCTCGTGATTCACCTGCCTCAGCCTCCCAAAGTGCTGGGATTACAGGCGTAAGCCACCACACCCAGCCAGCTCTTACTCTTATTTTGGTTTGCTCTTCATCTTCCCCACCAAGGGAAACCTTACCTGATATCCCTAAATATGAAAGGCTTTCATAACAGTGCATAGCTTTTCTCTGTTATTTATAATATTGTTTTTAGGTTTTTATATTTTTATTACTATTTATAATAGATACATCTGAGCATGCTCTTTGATAATAAGTCTAATAAAGTTTTGATGCATTTAGTAATTCAGTACAAAATTGTTTTCTATAAGCCATGATTCTAGAGATTGAGGGGAAAGTGCAGTGGTAATCTGTCCCAAATGGAAGGACAAATAGCCAAGCAATGTTGACCTACCCATTCATCTCTCAAAAACAGGGTTAAGATATTGATTCTCCTGTTTTCAGGATGAAGCAGGGACAGGGAGTTTCTTGTTATCCTCTCAACTCACTCTTTTTATGGAAAAAGTAATTAATCTGATAAATGACACAAAAGATTTTGATGTTCATTAACAAGGTGGTGATTCCAAGAAGTTGAAATAAAAAGACTTCAGAGCCCGTCTCTCTCAATCACTATCTTTGGTCTCTTGAGGATGCTTGTGCACAAAATAGGGAACACCTGTGTAAGAACTGCATAGGCAGGCTCAGTCCAGCGACTGGTTTCATAAATCCAACTTTTCCAAGCATGATGGAATGTCAGAATCCCGTGAGCCAAAAGTTTTATGATGAGAGAGGAAGAATGATATTTTACTCCCCAATCTAATTTTTAAATTAAATTTTAAACAAAGTTAATAAAGTTAACAAACCTGAATACACACACACACATGCATATATACCCACGCACATGCACACAGGCTTCTTGCATTCTTTTTTTTGTTTAATCATTCATGAGAAATGGTTGGATTTTGTATTTTCTATCTACCAATACTTGCACAAACTCTGGCTGCAAAACTTTTGTTGGTCAAATATTAGCATTTGGGAAACCACATCCCTGCTGAGAGATAGAAGATCTTGATACAACCTTAACTACATCATCAGTAGACATGGGACTGTTTTTAACCAGAAGGAGGCAAATGTCTTCCAGATGGTTGTGTAGCTGGTTTTAACAGTAGCCTGCAGTGGCTTTTTGACAGACATAAACCTTACTAGTTATTATTAGGCTTCAGAGCATTAGTATGAAGTTTTAATTTGGCTTATGTTAGGGATGAGAAGGTAGCACTATCCTAGATGCCCTAAATATTGCTCCTTGTCACTTTTTCCCCACTGAATTCAGAGGTAATCTGGGGACTGTGTCTAAAATGGCCTTATATTCATGTGTTTGCCATGAGTTTCTGAAGCTTTCATTCTGAACATGGTCTCAAGTTGGCTCTTGAGGGCTAATTTCATTACACATGATCATAGGCATAAATTTAAATTTGTGGAGGATTGTTTTGTACATCCCACATGAAGGGGTGACCTGCCCCTCCACACCTGTGGGTGTTTCTTATTGGGTGGGATGAGAGACTGAGAAAAGAAAGAGACACAGAGACAAAGTATAGAGAAAGAAACATGGGCCCAGGGTACCGGCACTCAGCATATGGAGGATCCACGCTGGCACCGGTCTCTGAGTTCCCTCAGTATTTATTGATCATTATCTCTACCATCTCAGAGAGGGGGATGTGGCAGGGCAATAGGGTAATAGTGGGGAGAGGGTCAGCAGGAAAACATGTGAACAAATGTCTGTGTGCCATAAACAAGGTTAGAAAAGGTGCTGTGCTTTGAGGTGCACATACATAAACATCTCGGTGCATTAAAGGGCAGTACTGCAGCCAGCATGTCTCACCTCCAGCCTTAAGGCAGTTTTCTCCTTATCTCAGTTGATGGAACATACAATCGGGTTTTACACCGAGATATTCCATTGCCCAGGGACAGCAGGAGACAGATGCCTTCCTCTTATCTCAACTGCAAAGAGGCCTTCCTCTTTTACTAATCCTCCTCAGCACAGACCCTTTATGGGTGTCTGGCTGGGGGATGGTCAGGTCTTTCCCTTCCCACAAGGCCATATCTCAGACTATCACTTGGGGAGAAACCTTGGACAATACCTGGCTTTCCTAGGCAGAGGTCCCTGCAGCCTTCCGTAGTGTGTAGTGTATTGTGTCCCTGGGTACTTGAGATTAGAGAGTGGTGATGACTTTTAACAAGCAAACTGCCTTCAAGCACTTGTTTAACAAAGCACATCCTGCATAGCCCTAAATCCATTAAACCTTGAGTCAACACAGTGCATGTCTCTGCCAGCACAGGGTTGGGGGTAGGGTTACAGATTAACAGCATCTCAAGGCAGAAGAATTTTTCTTAGTACAGAACAAAATGGAGTCTCTTATGTCTACTTCTTTCTACATAGACACAGTAACAGTCTGATCTCTCTTTCTTTTCCCCACACCACAGAATCTGGATTCACTACCAAGAGACTGTAGCATTTATCAAAAAGAAGATAAAGAGAAATAAGAGTTCTTGTTGTCTAGGGAATATATCATCTTCTTTAGGTAATGCTTATTAATGCTCCTCAAAATAGCTAGAGCATTCAAGCTTTGTAACGAGTTCACAATGAGAGAAGTAGCTTCTACTAGAAATTAAATGTTACTTCTTTCATTAACTATTGCTACAAGAATACGTTTGCTGAATAAATTAGCACATTTATTGATATAATTGATTTGCATACTGTGGCAGCACTTCATGGACCAAACCCTAAATCCCATGAAAAATTGAATAGAATTATTTGACAGTTAAGTATCATTGGAAAAGCCTGGCTCTAGTTCTCAGGAAGCAATCTGGTTGATTATGTGTTTTCGGTGTGTAGTCATAATACAACTGTATATCACTAGTGTACATTAGACACTTTGTGCACTCTACATATATTTTCTCATTTGATCCTTCAATACATGCATAACAGAAGAAATAGATGTGGATTTAATTGCTCCACTAGGGTCAAAGACCAAAAACCTCATTACAATGCCAATGTTAGAAATTCTTCTTCCAATTAAAATAAAGTTACCAAAGACAATTGCTCCTGCCATAATGAGAAAATATCGGATGAACTTTAAAAAATTATTTTTTTTTTTGTTTAAAGCCATCAAAAAATTGTGGGTCTAAAGTGTCAATGAACTAAATTTCAGAGAAAAACAAGCCCTTCCTTGGTGATCACAGATTAGCAGCAGAGCCCATCTCTGAGGACATTTGCTGGATCTGGGGCCTTGAGTAGGTAGAAGAACAAGCCTACAATGTGCAGACAGCTGGAACATTGGGAATAAGCAAAATAATCTACAGGGAACTGCAAGAGGGACTGAAAACTAGAAAGATCACGTGTTCTCCTCACACTTACTTATTTCCACTTAAGAGACAGGGTCTCATTCTGTCACCCAGGCTATGGTGCAGTGGAATAATCATTGCTCACTGCAGCCTCAAACTCCTCCCTCAGGTGATCCTCCTGCTTCAGCCTCTCCAGTACATGGAACTACAGGTGCATGGCATCATGCTTGGCTAATTTTTAATTTTTTTGTGTGTGGACACAAAAACCGACTAGGTTTCCCAGGCTGGTCTAGAACTCTTGGCCTCAAGTGTTCTTCCTGCCTTGACCCCACCCTCTCCAACCAAGCACTGGGATTACAGGTGTGAGTCATCACATCTGGCCTTCCCTAGCATTTAGATATTAAACTGTTGGAAAAATGAGTAAAAAATAAATATAAGTAGCATTTTGAGTATTTTCTTCCCATACACCCATGGATTGTTTAGTGTATCTTACTACTTCACATAGGAGACCATTCCTGCATCAAACTATATAAACTAAGTATTTAAATTTGATTTTTTCCCTACAATAAGCTCTATGCTAAAGCTCATTACATTTGATTTTGACAATCTGTTTTTATACCACAGTTGCAAAAAATTAATCACATTCTTTACTTCATGAGACATTATCATTATTGTTTCCTACAAGTTTCTCTGGTTTTACTTGTTTCATTTTTTTATTCCTTATCCCTTGTCACAGACAGGCATGCTAATGTGTTTGATATAGGTTCTTTACTCTTAAAGAATTCTTACAAGATAAGAAGGTTGTTTTCTGAGTGTGTGTATGTGTATATACGTGAGTGTATACATTTTGCTTAAAGAGTATTGTGCTATAAATCTAATTTTATTTCTAATTTTTTCACAGAGCATAACATCCTTCATACATTCCCACATTGCTGTAGGTTATTTTTGGTTGTTTATTCCCCTGTAGCTGCTGCATAGTTTTCAATAAAATGAATCAACCACATTTTCCCTATCCAGTCTTGCAGTAGAATTCACACTGATATCCTGCTACTGAAATATTCACTTCCTTATGGTATCCTTATGAAAACACTTTTTGGTCATGTGTTACAATTTGTCAGGGGCTGTGTTAGTCTCTTTATATTGCTATGAAGACATACCCAATGCTGGGTAATTTATTTATTATTTTTTAATAAAAGAGGTTTATCTTGGTTCGGGGTTCTGCAGACTGCACAGGAAGCAATGCTATCTGCTCTGGGTGAGGCCTCAAGAAGCTTACAATCATGGCAGAAGGTGAAGGGGAGCCAGTGTGTCACATGGTCAGAGAGGGAGTAAGAGAGACAAGGGGGCAGTCCCAGGCTGTTTCTAACAATCAGATCTCTATGAACTCACTGAGAAGAACTCACTCAAGTGGATTGTGCTAAACCAAGCTTGTCCAACCCACAGCTTGTGGGCTGAATGCAGGTCAGAACAGCTTTGAATGTGGCCCAAATTTGTCAACTTTGTTAAAACAAAAGAGAGTTTGTGTATGTGTGTGTGTGTGTGTGTGTGTGTGTGTGTGTGTGTTTATTTTTATTTATTTATGTATTTATTTATTTTAGCTCATCAGCTATTTTTAGTGTATTTTATGTGTGGCTCAAGAAAATTCTTCTTCCAATGCTGTCCAGGGAAGCCAAAAGTTGGACATTCCTGTGCTAAGCTATTCATAAGGCATCCACCCCATGATCCAATACCTCTCACTGGGCCCCACCTCCAACATTGGGGATCATATTTTAACATGAGATTTGGAGGGGACACACATCCAAACTATATCAGGGATATGTACCCATCATCGAGACAGGTTGTAGAGTATGCATACTTTCAAATGGGTCCTGTCATGTTATTTTCTGAAATGGTTAAAACCATTTAATTTCCCATCCATTGCCCATAAAGGTTGTTTTCCTCATATCCTCATCACTCAATGTTATCTAGGATTCTTATATTTTCTAAGCAAGTGGTGAAAATACAGATCTCATTTTATTTGTGTACATTTGCATTTGTCAGATTGTTAACAATGTATTGAATTTTTTGGCCCATTTTTCTATTGAGTTTACTATCTTCTTTGTTCATCTGAATATCAATCATATTCACTTTGCCCTAAGCAGTGTCAACATTTTCTATTACTCTGTCATACATCTGATAACTTTGTATGCCAACCTTTACTGAAATGAGCCTTTATGATTTTTATACTTCTAGAGTTTATGTATTTAATTAAATTTATTGGTTTAGTATATATTTTATTAAACTGTAACAACAGTCCCAAATCTATGTTTTGCTGGGTTCATTCAGATTTAGAACTCAGATAACTTTTTGGAGGATAAATTCTTTTTATCATAATGAAGAATGGCTATCATAATGCAATATGATTACTTCTGCCAATGCTTATTGTTTTATAGTCTACTTTGTTTCTGTGGTCAGGAGGACAAGACCTGAATGGCCTTGACCAACTCAGCTTTCTGTACCTCCTAGTTCTCAGAATAACTTTAGAATGTTCCAAGAAGACAATATCCTGAGATGAGTAGAAACCATCTGGGACAGTCTGGGCTCTGTCCTTGTTGTTCCTAGAACAGGATATTACTGCAGCCCTTAAACTCAGAGAGCCAATGTGCACGTGGGGTGTGAAACCTAGGGCGGAGCACTCAGGGGTTCCTCAGCACAGTACACAGTGGGGCATGTGCAGAGGAGACTCCACCAACGCTGGGCAACTTTTCTGACCTCAAGGGTCAGGCTTGCCATAGAACTTAACGGTTTTGCTGATTCTTCCTGCTCCTCTGTGAGTAATAAATTTGGTTTGTCTGACTTACTGTGCGAGCATTCTTCTGTTCCTGGCAGCTTGGTTTATATAAAAAACCTCCTACTAGACCTATGAATCTATGCAATGTGGAAGTGTCATAGAGGTAAATAAGAAGCAACTTAACTGAGTTGAAAACTAACATACATAACATGGGGCCACTGCACCAAGGGGCAAAATGATCCTGCCAAAAAGTCCCATGTGACCATTCCAGACATACTGTGGAAGAAGGATGCTGAAACTCACAGAGATCTGAAGATCTTACCCAAGCCAACAGGAGGCTAATAAAGCAAGAGAACTCCACTGTACTCTGATGCGAGAGTACAAGCTTCATCTCAGAGAATAGCAATGCAATGGCCCCAGCGATCAGACCAGAGAGACCCTGTGCCACAGAGAAAGCAGAGGTCTAGAGAACAGCATGAAGACAATAAGAGACTTCAGATTCACTTTCCCTTTGCCTTGAGGCCACAGAAAGCCCAAAGCATCTGAACATCTTCCTGGAGGCATTTAACTAAAAGAGAGCTATTGAAACTTGAAGAAAAATGTGAATCAAGAAGCTAAATTTAAAGATATGTTACTTTCTCCAACCCTCCCCCACCAATTAACCATAGGATGAGTCTAGTGAGATAAAGCATATCATTTATACAAAATACAAAAGTTATATGTCCTTTATGTGGGCAGAAATATGTTCAAGCTTTACTCAATAAAGGTAACTTGTTTTACTACTAGAAATGGTAATTTTCACTTGGTCATTACTTTATTTTATAATTATCTCTATTTAAATTAGTATCAGCTCACTCCTGGGTATCCACCTAGAGGAAAAGAAGTCATATGAAAAAGACACATGTATGCACATTCATAGCAGCACAACTCACAGTTGCAAAAATGTGTAACAAGGTTAAATGTCTATCAGCCAATGAGTGGACAAAGAAAATGTGTTATAGATACACCATGGAATACTACTCAGCCCTAAAAATGAATCAAATAATGACACTTGCAGCAACCTGGATGGAGTTAGAGATGATTATTGTAAGTGAAGTAACTCAGGAATAAAAAACAAATATTGTATGTTCTCACTTATAAGTGGGAGCTAAGCTATGAGAGAGTGAAGGCATAAGAATGATTTAATAGACTTTGGGGACTCAGAGGGAAGGTTAGGGGGGTGAGGGATAAAAGACTACACATTGGGTACAATGTACACTACTTGAGTAATGCGTACACCAAAATCTCAGAAATCACCACTAAATAACTTTTCCATGTAACCAAAAACCACCTGTTTCCCAAAAACTATTGCAATAAAGTAATATATATGAAAACAATCAACATGATAGTCTTGAAGTGCAACATTCACTGGGTTTCATATGGGAGAAAAACAGCTAAAATCAAACACATGGACAGGCAGTCAGAACAATGTCCATCATATACATAGTAAAATTAATACAAGGACAAACATTCATGAGTGGAGTCCATTTGAATTAGCCTGTAGTGAAGACATGTGCCTTAGGGCACACATAACTCATGTTAGGGAGAAAATGTATAATTTTACTCAATGTGAAAACATCTTCAGAAATAACTCAGTCCATGCTGTCCAGATGCAGTTCTGTTCTGTAGAGATGAAGAATAAGAATCATCAAAGTGGAAAAACCTCTGTCCTGCTCCAAATTCTGGTCCACACAGGAGTAGTACTACTGGAGAGAAAAGCCATACATGTCCCAAATGAAGGAAAGCCTTTACGTTATCAGTCATTTCTTATGAGACATTATGAAACTTCACACTGGAGAGAAACCTTATGAATGTAACAAAAGTGAGAAAGGCTTTAGATATTCCCTACACCTTAATAAACATTTAAGAAAGAACATTCTGGAGAAGCCCTATGGATGTAAGGAATGTGGGAAAGCCTTCAGCAAGGCTCAAAACATGCACATATAAGGAGTCACACTGGAAGAAACCCTATAAATGTGATAAATGTGAAAAAGACTTTGCAAAGTCACCAGAATTAAAAGCCATCTTAAGATTCACAATAGTGAGAAGCCCTGTGAGTGGCAGGGAAATCATCATTAATTTTTCACCGTACTGAACATGTGAGGAGGACATACTGGAAGGGAGCTCAATGAGTTAACATGCATGAGAACATCTTTCCTGAACTCTCCTATCTTACAGAAGTGTGAAAAGAAACCCTCTGAAGGTAAAGTCTATGGAAAGCCTTTCATCTTCATTCATCGTGAGTAGATATTTGTTCTCACACTGGAGAGAAGCTATGAAAGTAAGGAATATAAAAAAAGCCTCAGTGTTGTCTCAGACTCATAGTTCATACAAGAACTCACACAGCAGAGACTGCTTATGGAAGTAAAAAATGCAGAAAATACCTCTTTAAACACTATCCCTCCTTTATACATGATTCCACACCCTGGAGGGAGACTACAATTGAATAAATATAAGAAAGCTTTCAGTTCCAGCTCTTCACTTATTGGGCATGAATGAGCACAGGGTAGGACTGAAGCACAGTAAACGTTAACAATTATTGACTTTATCATTGTCTTATCCCTCAATTAGAACTCAAATTCATAATTTTGTAGTTTTTCCTTTCTTAAAAAATGGTACAAGATGACAGATATCTGTCTTAGCAACCTTTCCGCTCTGCCACATTAATGTTGCTATGTAGTAGCTTTGTTACAATTCATTTACATACACATGGTTTCATTTTCAGTGAGAAGCCCTTCTGAGCTCCATTCAATTTAGATTTAGAATTCGTATGCTCCATGATACCTTTTTTGTCAGTTTGTTTTTCGTTGGTCACAATTTGACTGCATTATGGTCACATTATGTGGTTTTAATGGTACTGATTTGGGGTACCTGTTATGACTTTCATTTTGGTCTAATGTGGCCAATGCTGTCCATTTCCCTGCTATATCCATTATTCTCATCTTCTTCACTAAGGGAACATAGATTCACTTTTTCCAAGGAGCACTGTTTAAATGTCTTTATTTATTTATTTATGCATATTTTATTATTTTACAATTTTTTTTTTGAAAAATGGTCTCACTCTGTCTCCCAGGCTGGAGTGCAGTGGCATGATCAGAGCTCACTGCAGCCTTGAACTCCTGGGCTCATGTGATCTCCCAGCTCAGACTCCTGAGTAGGTAGGACTGCAGGCATAACAGGTGTGCACCGCCACACCCAGCTTTTGTTTTGTTTTGTTTTTGTAGAGACTGGGTCTCGTTATGTTGCCTGGACTGGTTTCAAATTCCTGTGCTCAAGTGATTCTCCCACCTTGGCCTCCCAAATTGCTGGAATTACAGGCATGAGCCACCATGCCTGGCCCTGGTTAACGTCTTTAAATGAGTTTCCCAGTTTTTCTTGTAACTGTAGTGAGCGAATCTTATAGTCCTGGCCAATGTGAAATGCAGAATTCACTGCTTTGGATTTCTGAAAATCTGTTTGGAAAGGGGAGAGTTATTGTTCCTCTTTTTTGTTGACCAATTTCCCTTTGCTTTCTCTGCTTGCTCCTCTCTGGAAATAGGATGAAATGCCCTGAGTTGGGTTTAGCAACTTGAAGACCATTGGAAAGATTGTCCCTACAACAAAACCTTCAATCTACAAGATTTCTCCCTCCCCAATGGCATGTTGTGTATCCCTGGCTGCCGTGGACTATTTCTGGACTTGTTTCATGAAACTAACCCCTAGTAGAACTAAGAAACATTTTAGGAGAGAAGTTTACAACAGATTAAATGATAAACCTAAAAAATGAATAAAACATATTATAAAAATAAAGAGGATAGACAAAACGGGCTTGCAGATGCTGACTGGCCACACTCATCCTTGGTGCTTGCCCCCATGGATGCCTCACTGACTGTGACACTTGGAGAGCTGGCAGCCATCACTCAAAAATCAGAACACAGTGGCCTCTACTGCAGCATCAGGGAACAAAAACTAAGCTTGTCAGCTCTCAAGAAACATACTTATGTGTGTGTGTGTGTGTGTGTGTGTGTGTGTATATATATATATATATGACATAAATTTATTCAGGGACTTTGAGGTATCTCATGCTAAACAGATAAAATGAATTAAAACTAGTGCAAAGTTATGGCAACAGTACTCCCCATTATTTATGCAGGGCATTGAAAATTGGCACACATCACAGATCCTTAAGTCAATCTCTGAATCAGGAGGAGAAAAGAGAACAGAGAGAGCTCACTGTATGTGCCAGTCACTGGACTGAGTACTGCGCCTACAGGATCCCACTTGATGCTTGCAATAACCCTGCAAGATAAAGGTAAAAACTCACACACACACACACACACAAACTCACACACACACTCTCACGCATACATACACACACATACATACACACACATAAACTCACACATACACACGCATCCTCAAGCACACACTAGAAACTACAGAACAAAAAAGCATTGACAACTAATAGAAGTATACTGCTGGCCAAAGTGGCTCATGCCTATAATCTTGGCACTTTAGGCCAGGAATTCAAGACAAGCCTGGGCAACATAGCAAGACACCATCTACACAAAACATTTTCTTAAATAAACATCATTTTTAAAAAGAGGTATAATGCCTACAGGCTCAGGGAAGCAATACCCCTATGGCTGTATGGTAAGCAGCAGGCAAGGCTATTTTTCAGACCAAAGTGGTAGTGACTCCAGGGTTCCTTTGCACACTTAGCCAGGAGATTGGCTAGCTCAGCACTGCCTGGGTTCACTTTACCCTTCTACAGTTCTAAAGCTCTGGCAGGTGGGACCTAAGCATCACAGAAAGTGCTATTATGCAGGACTCTCTTGACTGCAAGTGACTGAAACCTAACTGGATCCAGCGGAACATTGAATTATTTGGCTTTACTTACTAAAAATGTACATGAGTAGATGGGCTTCTGTCTCAGTGGGATCAGGGGTCAACTAATATCAACCAAGGCTCATTCTGTCCCTTCATTTCCTATGTCAGCTCTGCTTTTCAGGCAAGCTGTTTTGAGAGAGCAGCAAAAATGGCTCCATAAAGTTCACATCACTTACTTCCTTACAAATAGATATGCCAATAAAAAGAAAGCACCTCATTCCCAGCAGTTTCATCAAAAGTTCAGGGATGACTTCCATGAGCCCAGCTTGGATCACATGACCACTCCTGAATCAATTACCCTGCTGATCTGATTGCCCAGGGTGGGTCAGCCTTCCCAAATCACATGGACTAGTATTGAAAGACAGGTCCTCCCATGAAAAAAAAAAAAAAAAAAAAAAAGGAAGGGTAGTGGCAGAGGAATATGAGTGGGGGGGGCCTCATCTCTATATAAAAAGTATGAGCGTATTTGTGCTCTTTTGTACATTCATTTGTATAGTCACTGGGAAAAAAATGAGAAAAACCCAAACACGGCTTTCTATATGCCTCTGTGCTTTGTTTTCAACACTGAGCTGTGAGAAATCTAGTTACTAAAATGAAACTTTGAAAAAATATAACAATTTGGGACAATGGGGACACTTAGCTGATGCAGCACAGGTGAACAGTTCTTCTTTTGTGCCCAAGAGGACACAATTCCCAGGAGGCTGCATGTGGTCTCCTAGGACAAGCCTGTGGGCACCCACTGGCTGCAGTTCCACCTTTCCTTCCCTGGACTCTCAGGAAGACATGAGTTCTGGATTCAGCTGAACTGAGCTCAAGTTCAGGTTCTGTGACTCACTGGCTCTGTAATTCTGGGTAAGTCTCTTGCTCTCCTTGAGTCTCATATCCTCCTTGGTAAAATGGAGAGGTAGAGCTATTGTTAGATTTTGAAGGCAAGGCAAGGGTTAAAGAAAGACACAGAAAGACAGTTGACGGCTTCAACAGCAACACCTTTATTACTAGCAAAACCCTGCAGAGGAGGAAACCAGCTTACTGCCAGCACCAACTGCCTCTCACAGGCTGGGGTGATCATGGGACTGGGAAGGAGGGGTGTGGGCGGTAGAGCTTGCTGCCCGGCAGGATATGGCAAGGATGTTCCTGCAGTCAGGCTGTTGGGCCTTTGCCCGGGAGGGTGCGATAAGGATGTTTCTACAGTCAGGTGATCAGGAAGGATGCTTCTCACGGCCCGAGTTCCCAAGGAATGTTTCATTCTGACCAGGGTGTGCAAAACGGCTGCAGGTTTACAAAATGGTACAGGTTAGACTAACAGCAACATCTCCCAGGTAGACAGTTCTATAAAGTAAACTTCCCTTGAGCACCTACACTGTACCAGACATGGTGCTAGGACCCAGGCCACAGGAGGAACAGGACAGATGAGGCCCCTGCCATCCTGGTGCTCATGCCTGATGAAGGAAGCTAACAGGTCGTAAGACCAGGTCACGTGGTGGTGGTAATGAAAGACATTACCAGCCACTTCGAGGTCCCTGCCAGAACCTGACTGCCACATTCCCCAAAGGGACCAGATTCCTCGGCACACTAGCTGAGGTTTCTATAGGCACAGAGAAAACACTGTCCCAACTGTTGCAATGGAGCTGGGAAAAATAATGTTTGTTCTCAATGCTTAGACTTACCAATTGCTTCATTTTATCACATGAAGGCTGTGTGGCACTTTGAAGTAGAATTAGTAATTTACATAATTACAAATCATGTTTTTTTCTTTTTTTTTAGATGGAGTCTTGCTCTCTCGCCCAGGCTGGAGTGCAGTCGCGCCATCTCGGCTCACTGCAAGTTCCACCTCCCGGGTTCATGCCAGTCTCCTGCCTCAGCCTCCCAAGTAGCTGGGACTATAGGCGCCAACCATCATGCCCAGCTAATTTTTTGTGTTTTTATTAGAGACGGGGTTTCACCAAGTTAGCCAGGATGGTCTGGATCTCCTGACCTCGTGATCTGCCCGCCTCGGCCTCCCAAAGTGCTGGGATTACAGGCATAAGCCACTGCGCCTGGCTACAAATTATGTTCTTAAAAGAAGCTGCTCAGTGCCATGCCTAACACAAGATGGAACTCCACGATGAGATATGTGTGAAGACAGGGTGCCATGGTTACAAACAAGGACTCCAGGTGCAGACTGTTTGGTTCAAACCTGGACCAGCGGTATGAATTTTTGCAACTCTCTGTATTGCTCTTTGCCTCAGTTCTTTCATATAACAACCAGAAGTAAAAACAAGGTTATTGTGAAAATTAAATGAATTAAAGTAAGTGGAGTGCCTACAACACCCCCAGGCACACGGTCAGCACTGAGCATGTTTTTCATTACTACTCTTAATGAGGTAAGAATGAGAAAACAGGCGCCAGCCATGAGCCTGGGGTTTATCTGGCAAAGGCATCAGAGACCCCACTTTTAACATCCTCCATTCATTCATTTGACCCTGATAAGGAAGGAGTCCCATGGGAGAGGAGCAAGCCTCCACCTTGGGGCCAGACATCTCATGATCAAAGTTGAACTCTACCACTGTTCAGCTGGGTGACTTTGGGCAAGTGACTTTCCCTCTCTGATCCTCATGTTCCTTTTTGATAAAAACAGCAAAATGTCAGGCCTATGGGGATTCAAGGAGCCAAAAGAAAAATGTGTGTCTTAGTCTGAATTTCCTGGAAGTAGATCCCGAGGCAAAGATTCAAATACAAAAATTTTGTTTGGAGATAACGCTAGGATATTAATTCGACTGCCAGTTCTTCCTTAGGGTGTTAATCCCAGGAAACATCAGTGGAGGAGTGGGGAACTGAGACAGGAAAGGAATGCAGCAGTTAAAGGGACCTTCATCAAGAAAGTTTCCACTGTGGCAGCCAGGACTCAGCCCTGCCAGGTACCTCTGAGAGACAGCACAGAACATGTGCTTCAGAGTCATCATACCCAGAGCAAGGGACCAGGGGTATTTATCCACCAATACCCACCAGTCACTCCTCAGGGATCCTCCCAAGGGCATGATTCCTCCAGAATGTCCTGCCTGCGCTGCAAGGGTCAGACCTGGGGTTGAGGGCAGGACCCCTGACAGCGCTTCCAGCAATGAGCAGAACCACAGCCTGATGTGTACAGTTTCAGTCACCCAGTAACTCCAACACACACACACACACACACACACACACACATTCACACACCACACTCCAACACCAACAAAGTATATACGTACATACACATACATGCATACATGACTGTTACCCACTTAGATCCTAGTGACTCCATGGGATAGACGATAAGGTGGGAATCAGAGGAAAGAGTAAAATTAAGGCGAGTGAAAGTCTTAAGAACAAAATGCAAATTTAGGCTGAAAATGAAGGGGGAGGAGGTGTGGTCTCGACACCAAATGCCTGCTGGGTGGCACATGCTCTACACACACTGTCACTAATTCTCCAAGCAGCCTCGTGGAGTAAAAGAAATTCCTCTCAATGTACAGATGACAGAAACATAGTTCAGAAAAGAAAACTGATTTTACTAATGTCTCAGCAAGTTGGTGGGTGACATGGAGTCCCAGATCTTTCTGTCCACAAAGCCTACAAATTCTCCCTTGTTAGGCAGGCTGGGTACCAGGCCCTGCTTCTGGGCTCTGCTTCTTTTCCTGCTAGGCTAAAACAGCAGAACTGACAGAGACATCATCCCCCTTCTCCACCTGGAGCAGAGCTAATGAGAGGGGCTGGAGAACAGCCATGAGGCCCAGCACCCACCATTCAATGTCTTCAGAATTGCCGTCCCTCAGAACTCTTGCACCACGAGGTGGCAGCACTCCCAGTGTCTGGGTGTCTTCTGAGGGGTACCAGGATCCAGTAGAGGCCACTGGCTGTGCTGTCATATCCTAAGTGGCAGCAAGGCAGGCTTGGGTCTCTTGGCTGCTTCAGCACCAGAGGTTGGACAGTGCCCATGCATTGAGTCCCTCAGGAGAATGGGACGGAAAGGAAGGGCAGAATGGAGTGATGTAGGGTCCACCCACCATGTCCCTGGATGGAGAGACCCCTGCTCCCACAGTAGTCCACACCAGGACCACGATTGGCACTCATGAAGATGCCAGCCTCCATGTATATGTCCTTGTCTGACAACTCCTCCTTATTTTCATCCTGGAGACAAGAACCCTGAACACAGTAGCTCTGAGGGCACCTGAGTGTAACCTGAGACAGTCCCTGAAGACCTTTCATCCAAGCAGGATCCCTCCCTTGCCATCTCCAGACCTGCCCCACAAACTCCCTCCCTGGTCTCCTGGCTCTTGTTCACTCCTTCCAGGCAGCCTTCCACAGTCATCTCTAAAACATATATGACTGTCCCTCCTTTATCCAGCACCTTCCATGGCTCCCCAGAGCCCTCCAGGTCAAGTTTAAGTTCTTTGATCAGACACTAGATCTCAAGCTGCATTCTACCTCCTGAATTAAGATCCCGGAGAAGCCCACCTTGCTCAGCACAAACGCATCACTGAAGTCGAAAATCTTGAACGTGGCCTTGGCATTGAGGAAGTCATCAACACCCTGGCTAGTGAGGGTGCAGTGCCGCTCCAGGATGATGGTGTCTAAAGTTGTGCACCAGGTCGCAGGCCCTGCAGAAGCATCTCCCCTCAGGAGTGAGGTAGTACAGGAAGTCTGTGCACAGGCAGATCTGCTGGTGCTGTTACACTATGAGGGCACTGAGCTCCAAGATGGTGGCAATATATTCACTGGGATTCCTGCACGGTGAGGTTGGAGAGAGGAAGCATCTCCATAACACATATGAAACCCTGGAAGCACTTCCCAGCCAGAAATTCAGGACCACGTTATATGCAGATATGGGTGCCCTCTGAGCACACTTGTCTCTCTGTCTCCCACTCTGAGCTGCCTCCTGGCCCCACATGCCCCAGCCTGGCCCAGGGCTTAGCCCAGTGGGTGTTCAGTCCATGGTGTTGACTGCTCCCTGGGCCAGGAGAGCCCTTGGTGGCTCTGTGACTCCTCCTGTGGAACCCCTACCTCTGCCTTGGGACCTCCCAATTCCCATGGAAGCCCCCACAGCTCTGGATTGCCCCACCTGCCCTGTGATCCTCCAGCCCCATAGGCCTTACTCGATGCCTTAGCCCTCCCAGAACATGACACGTTTCTCTGAATGTGGCTGATGTCCAGGGCCATCTGTAGATGTTTGCTGGGGACCTCTTGCTGTTTTCCTTTATGGTCTGTAGGCCAGGGCCAAGAGGAGAAACCAGCCCAATCTCAGAATGGACAAAAGGCTCACTGCCCTAACAGCAACCACCAAACAGTCAGCAGTGCTTCTGGATGGAAAAGAGGTTTCATTCTGCAGAAAGCTCCTTGTTTGGCTTCTTTCTGAAGCCAGGAAGGGGTACCAAACCCAGCTTACCTGCGGTGCCTACGTTAGCATCTGTGCCTAGGATGCATGATGGGCTCCCACTGCAGGGTTGACATTCCCTCCAGCTGGAGACCTGGGCTCCTGACACCACCTGGCGTGTTTGTCCTGCTCTGGATGACGGTGGAAAGGCTGTATCTGGTATTTTCCTAGGTCCTTGGTTTTCACCTTCTAGACATCCAGCAGGAGTGACCATACCCAGCCCCACACCTGAAATGGGACTCCCTTGTAGAGCACCTGAGACCTCTACAGACAGAAGAGTGCTCTGGTGAGACAGGCCACAGAGGTCCCCGGGGGGGGGTGGGATCAGGGGCTGGAGGATTCTGGAGGTTTCCAGCCTTGGGCTCTGTGGTTCCTCAAAGAGTTTAGGTTTACCTAGGACTAGGCCTCCCCTCCCATGCTTCAAAGAGTGGGTGAGTGCTATGCATCACGAACTCTGATCTGGACCTATTTTTTCATTTAGGTCACCAAGAGACAACCCCTAACCCCCAAGCTAGGGATGGTCCAAGCTCTGGCATGAGATTCTCTTCCAGCAATGTGATGCTTGCAGGGACAGGGAGAAAAGCCGGTGACCAGGCCTGCTGTCCCCCAGGTAAGGACAGTGTGCTACCCACCCTCTGAGAGGCAGGTGGTGCCAGCTCACTGCACTGGGTGCCTGTACCCCTGGCTCTGCAGACACCGGTCATGGAGGTCCTCCCCTCTCCACATTACCTTCTTGCTGCTCCCAGATTTCTTCTGGTCATTAAGCACTTTGAGCCATTTTTCTGTGCAGCCGATCTGATATTTTTGCTATCAGATGAAACATGACAAAGTAAGCCGAGCCACCAGGATTCCTGGAGGGAACCTTGGATGCTGCGTCTTGGGATCCAGAGCCCTGATGGGACTGAACCAGAAGGAGCCAGGGAAGGACAAACACTGGGGCTCAGGCCCTATGACCCAACGGCCATTGGTGGCCTGTCCTCATGGCCCCAAGACACCCTGTCCTCAGGCCACAGACACCATGGGCTTTGGTCAGGTCCCAGCCTCCCAGTAGTGCCCTGGCACTGGTGGGTGCTGACCTCCAAACCACAATAGCAGTTCTGGGTTATGGGTTTGGTAAAACCACCTCAGGGAGAATTCTGGGGTTGGGTTTGGCAGGAACCACGGGGCCTCCCAGGAATGATGTGTCACTCCTACTTGCCACAAAATGTGCACAGAGGCTATCCCACTGACCAGCCCATCCTGCTGGACAGGATGGAGGAAATCAGGGAAAAAGCAGGGTGGACATCTGGGGTGCAGGGAGAGGCAGGTGCATGCTGGGAGGTCAGACCCTGCGAGGGCTGTGGGGGCATCAGGTGGGGTGGGCTCCAGGTGCACCCTCAATGCACTGGGTGGGTCTCAGGCCAGGCTCCCTGGACCCTGGTTGGCTGATGTGGTCACTCCCTGGGGGACTGCTGTCAAGCCCTGGCCACCCACCCTGGGCAGCACCATTCCATCCCAAGACCGGATTTTCTGAGTCCTGAGACAGGACAGTGCTGTCCAGGCCTGACAGACTGGGAGGACCTGCCAAGTCCTCCATCCCTAGACCAGCCTCCCACACAGCAGGGACAGTCTCTTCCATTTACCTTCAGGGCACTGACTGATCCATGTCACTCTAAGGCAACCAAGGCAGAGCTGAGGACCTGTGCCAGGCTGGGAGCCAGTCCCCTCCCTAAATGGGCCTGAGGAAAGCACCATCCCTGTCCCAATGCGCCCCAAGTTTTAGCCCAGGAGACACAAAGGGAAGGGAGGACGGAGCCTCTCTGCTGGCTGACACTTGAAAAGCGGGACCTGGGAGTAGAGGGAGCGCAGGGCTGGCAGGGATGCTCCAGGCCCATGGAGAGCTTGGGCTGCACCAAGGGGCTGCCCCTCCTGGGCTGGAGGCTGTGCCCTCTGCAGGATCTGAGAAAGTCCAGTCCTGAGATGGGACAGTGCTGCCAAGGGTGGGTGGCTAGGCCTGACAGCAGTCCCCCAGGGAGTGACCACATCACCCGACCAGGGTCCAGAGAGCCTGGACCGAGACCTGCCCAGTGCACACTGAGAGTGCACCTGGAGCCCACCCCACCTGACGCCCCCACAGCCCTCACAGGGTCCGACCTCCCAGCATGCACCTGCCTCTCCCTGCACCCCTACTGCCCACCCTGCCTGTTCCCTGGCTTCCTCCATCCTGTGCAGCCCATAGACTGTGACCATCTCTCTACCCACTCTGGCCCTTCCTTTACCTTTGTTCTTTCAGAATCTCTGAGCAAGATCTCCCAGGTCCATCCAAACACCTGCTTTGTCCACTTTTGACTGGGCCACTGGACACCACTGGGCCATCCCAGCTGTCCATAGGGCCCCTGATAACATGCATTTCCCCTGACACCTCCCAGCAGTGCTCAGCAGCCCCACTGACCAGGTCCCTGCTGACCAGATCCCGCACATCAGGTCCTCCCTGACCACACTCTCACTGATTAGGCCCCCATCACCAGGCCCCACTAACTAGATTCCCGCTGCCAGGCCCACAGTGTCCAGGACCCCACTGACAAGGATTTCACTGACAAGGCCTCACTGACCAGGGCCTCACTGACAAGACCTCCCTGACCACATTCCACCAATCATGACCCCATTGCCTGGCCCCACAGATGAAGCCCCACTGACCAGGTCTCCAGGGAACAGGCTGCCAGTGACCAGGTCCCTACTAACCAGGCCTGCGGTGACCAGATGCCCCGACCAGGAACCTAGTGACTAGGCACCACTGAACAGGCATGTACCGCTCAGACCCCCGTTGACCAGGTCACCCCATAGACCAGTGCTACAAAAGCCACCACTGATCAAGTCCTCTCTGACCAGGCCCCCACTGATTAGGTTCCACTGACCTGACCAGGCTGCCATGACCAGGGTCCCACTGACAACGGCCTCACTGATGAGGACATGCCCTGCTGACTAGGTGCCATGTGACCAGGCCTCCACTGAATAGCACCCCTTGACCGGGTCACCAGTGACCCAGCCCATTCTGACAAGGCTACCACTAAGCCACAGCTGACCAGGTCTCCACTCACCAAGCCCTGCAGCCCAGGTTTGCACTGACCAGACACCAAACATTTGTCTGCCACTAGGTCCCCACTCACCAAGACCTGCACTACTCGATCCCTCTAATGAGACCCTCTCTAAGCAGACCCTGGCTGACCATTCCCCCAGTAAATAGGCCTCACTGACCAAGTCCCAACTGACTAGTTCACTGACCAGGCCCACACTGACCAGGCCCTTCCTAATCATACCAGAAGGCCAAGTGGCAATGAGATGTTTCATATGGCAGGGGTAGGAGCAAGACAGAGAGAGGAAAGAGGTACCACACCCTGTTAGACAACCAGATCACATGAGGTCTCACTATCAGGAGATCAGCATCAAGAAGATCCTGCACCCACACCACCACCCACTGTTTCCAGGCAGAAGCCTCCTGCAGAGGCCAAGCCTCTTGAGAAACTTCCACTATGGCAGTGCAGAAGGAAAATATGGGCTTGGAGCCCCCAAAAAGGAGGCCACCATCCTCCAGATCCCGGATTCATAGGCCCACCAACAGCTCACACCCTCAGTATGGAAAAGCTACAGGCACTCAACACCAGCCCAGCCCATGAGAGCAGCCATGGGGCTAAAGCCTGCAAAGCCACAGGTGCACTGCCCTAGTAGAGGTTTTCCATGAGCCTCTGCCTCTGCAGAAGGCTACTCCCCCTTCCTACTACCCCCTATCCTCCTACCACCCTACTGACAACCTACTCCTCCCCACCCTACCCCTCCTTTTCCTACCACCCCGAACCCCCTCCCATTCAAGATTAAATCGCCTACCACCAGGCCCCAAAATTAAGGATTACAATTCCATATGAGTTTTATATGGACACACAGTCAATCCATATTATTTGACCCAGATACCCCAGAACCTCATGTCCTTCTCACACAGCAAAACACAGTCATGCATGTTCAAAAGTTTCCAAAATTCTTAACTCATTCCAAATATAAAAAATTCAAAGTCTCATCTGAGACAAGGCTACAGTCCCTTCGGCCTATCAGTCCCTGAGTTCAAAAGGCATTTCTTTTCTTTCAAGATACAATGATAGTACAAGCATTAAGTAAGGTTTCTCAATCCAAAGGGAAGAAATTCCCCAGAAAAATGACAAAAATGTCAGTCCAAACCCCAGCAGGACAATATTCACTCAATCTTTAAGCTCCATAATCATCAAGAGAACTCACTATCACGCAGACAGTATTAAGGAGATAGTGTTTCACCAGTTGTGAAGAATCCGTCCCCCCTCATTTTTCACCCCCACCCACAAAATAATCTCTCCTATTCTCCCCACTCCCCCACCTCCAACCCCCACTCTTCTCCATGATTAAATCATCTCCCACCAGGCCCCACCTTTAACATTCCCCATTACAATTTCACGAGAGTATTGGTAGTGACACAGGGCCAAATCATATTATTCTCACCCAGGTCCCCCCACATCTCATATCGTTGTCACACTGCAAAATACAATGATGCCTTCTCTACAGTCCCCCAAAGTCTTAACTCATTCCAGCATTTACTGAAATGTCCAAAGCCCAGTCTCATCTGAGACAACGCTGCCATCCCTTCTGCTCGAGCCTCTGAAATACAAAGCAAGTTAACTACTTCCAAGGTACAATGATTGTAGAGACATTGGGTAAGCATTCCCAGCCAAAAGGAAGAAATTTGTCAGAGGGAAGCACAAAACACAGATGGGACTTGCAGACCCCATGCAAGTCAAAAACCCAGCAGGAAAGTCATTCCATCCTACAGCTCCAAATCATCTTTCCTGAAAGGATCTACATCCCACATCTAGAGCACAAGAGTGGATGGCGGGGCTCCCAAGGCCTTGGGCAGCTCAGCTTCTGTGGCTGTGCAGGGTCTTTCCCCACAGCTGCCCTCGTGGGCTGGGCTGGTGGTCAGTGCCTGTGGCTTTCCCACACTGAGGGTGCAAGCAGTTGGTGGGTCTATGAATCTGGGGTCTGGAAAATGGTTCCTCCCTGTATGGGGGCATCAACCCTGTATGTTCCTTCTGCACTGCCCTAGTAAAGGTTTCCCATGAGGCTCTGCCTCTTGGAAAAGCTTCTGCCCAGCTGGACACTGAGGTTTTTCCTTACATACTCTTGAGTCTAGACAAAGGCTCCCAAGCCTGTGCACCTGCTGGCTTAACACTATGTGGAAGCCACCAAGGCTTGCAGCTTGCACCCTCTGAAGCAGTGACCCAAGCTGTACCTGTGCATCTTTCAGCCATGGCTGGAGCTGGAGCTGGAGCTGCAGGGATGCAGGCGGCACTGTCCTGAGGATGGACACAGCAGCGCGATCATGGGACTGACCCAGGAAACCATTCTTTGGTCCTAGAACTCAGGGCCTTTGACAGCAAGCTCTGCTGCAAAGGTCTCTGAAATGCCTTCAAGGCCTTTTTAACATTGTCTTAGCTATTAGCACTGGGCTCCATTTTATGCACATTTCTGAAGCCTTCTTGAATTTTCCCACTAAAAATCAGCTTTTCTTTTTGACCTCTTGGGCAGGCTGCAAATCAAACTTCAAAGCTCTGCTTCTCATTTAAATATAAGTTTCAACTTGAGGTCATTTATTTGGTCACACAGAACACCACAGGCTGTTCAATACAGACAAGATACCTCTTGAGCTTTGCTGCCTAGAAGTTCATTTCACCAGATATACCCTAAATCATCACCCTCAAGTTCAAAGTTTCACAGGTCACCAGGGCAGGGGCACCATCCAGCCAAGTTCTTTGCTAAGGCAAAAGAAAAGTTACCTTGGCTTCTGCTCTCAGTAAGTTGTTCATTTTCATCTGAGACCTTCTAAGCCTGGCCTTCACTATCCATCCTTCAGTCACCCTTTTAATTATAACTATTTAACACGTCTCTACAATAGTCAAAACTTTCATTCATCTTTCTGTCTTCTTCCAAGCCCTCCAAACTGTGCAGCCTGTGGTCGTTACCCAGCTTCTGAACCTGCTTCTGAACTTGCTTCTACACTTTCAGCTATCGTTGTGACAGCCTGGCAGTGTGGTAAAAGAAAAAAAGTCCATTTTCAGGGGGAAAATTCAAGAAGGCTTCAGATATTTGCATATAAAAGAAGCCAAATGTTAATAGTAAAAAATCAGGAAAAAAACCTTGAGGGCATTTCATAGCTCCACTCTACAGTACAAATTTTCTGTAGTATTATTTTAAAAAGAGGTTTAATTGGCTCACGGTTCTGCAGGCTGTAAAGGGAACATAGTGGCTTCTGCTTCTGGGAGGACTCAGGAAGTCTCCTACCATACCAGAAGGCCAAGCGACAATGAGATGTTCCATATGGCAGGTGTAGGAGGAAGACAGAGAGAGGAAAGAGGTGCCACACTTGTTATACAACCAGATCTCATGAGAACTCAGTATCAGGAGATCAGCATCAAGAAGATTAACCATTGGTGAAGGATCCACCCACACCACCCCCCACTGTTTCCACGTAGAAGCCTCCTGCAGAGGCAGAGCCTCTTGGAGAACCTCTACCAGGGCAGTGCAGAAGGAAAATGTAGGCTTGGAGCCCACATACAGGAGGCCACCATCCTCCAGACTGCAGATTCATAGACCCACCAACAGCTTGCACTCTCAGAGCAGAAAAGCTACAGGCACTCCACACGAGCCCAGCCCATGACAGCAGCCATGGGGGCTACACCCTGCAAAGCCACAGGTGCCCTGCCCTAGTAGAGACTTTCCATGAGCCTCTGCTTCTGAAGCAGGTTACTCCCCCCTCCTAGTACCCACCACCTTACTAACAACCTACTCCTCACCCTACCCACCCCTTTCCTTCCAACCCCGGTCCCCCTCCCATCCATGATTAAATCACCTCCAGCCAGGTCCCACCTCCAACATTAAGGATTACAATTCACATCAGTTTTGGTAAAGAAACACAGCCAAATCATATTATTCTGACCTGATACCCTGCAGTCTCTTGTCCTTCTCACAGAGCAAAATATATTCATGCCTTTTCAAAATTTTCCAAAAGTCTTAACTCATTCCAACAATAACTCAAATGTAAAAAATTCAACATCTCATCTGAGACAAGTCTACAGTACCTTTTGCCTATGAGTCCCTGAATTTAAAAGGATGTTCTTTCTTTCAAGGTACAATAATGGTACAGGCATTGGGTAAGCTTTTTCAATCCAAAGGGCAGAAATTTCCCAGGAAAATAACACAAATGGGACCACAGGCCCAATGCAAGTCCAAAACCCAGGAGGCCAGTATCCATTTAATTTTACAGTTCTAAAATCATGAAAAGAACTCACCGTCACAAGGACAGCAATAAGGAGATAGTGTTTAATGATTTGTGAAGGATCTGACCCCCCACCCCAATTTTCACCCCTCACCCCCACCATAATTCCCCCATTTTCCCTACACCCCCATCTTCCAACCCCCACTCTGCACCGTGATTAAATCATCTTCCACCAGGCCCCACCTTTAACATTCCAATTACAATCCCACATGAGTTTTGGTAGGGACACAGCGCTGAATTTTATTATTCTTTCCCTCACTCCCCAAATCTCATGTCCTTCTCACATTGCAAAATACAATGATGCCTTCCCTAAAGTCTCATAAAATCTTATATCATTCCAGCATTTATACAAATGTCCAAAGCCTAAAGTCTCATCTGACACAAGGCTACAGTCCCTTAGGCCCATGAGCCTCTGAAATATAAAGCAAGTTAACTACTTCCAAGGTACAATGCTTGTACAGGCATTGGGTAAGCATTCCCAGCCAAAAGGAAGAATTTTGCCAGAAAAAAAACAAAACACAGATAGGACTTACTGGCCCCATGAAACTCCAAACCCAGAAGGCCAGTCATTCAATCCTACAGCTCCAAAATCACCCTTTTTGAAACCCTGTCCCACATCCAGGACACAGGGGTGTGAGGGCTGGGCTCCCAAGGCCTCGGGCAGCTTGGCACCTGTGGCTTTGCAGGGTATATGCCCCAAGGGTGCCCTCATGGGCTGGGCTGGTGATGAGTGCCTGTGACTTTTCCACATTGAGGAAACAAGTTTTGGGGGGGGGTCTATGAATCTGGGGTCTGCATGATGGTGGTCTCCAGTGTGGGAGTTCCAACCCCATATTTTCCTTCTGCACTGCCCTAGTAGAAGTTTCATATAAGGCTCTGCCTTTTTGGGATGTTTTGCCTGGACACCCAGGAATTTCCATACATCTTCCAAAATCTATAGAGAGGTTTCCAAGCCTCTAGTCTCACACTCCGTCCACCAGTGGCTTAACACTATGAGGATGTTACCAAGGCTTCTAGCCTGCATCCTCTGAAGCAGTGACCTGAGCTGTACCTGTGCATCTTTCAGCCATGGCTGGAGCTTGAGCTGCAGGGATGCAGGCAGCAGTGTTCTGAGGCTGCACATAGAGGAGGCTCATGGAACTGGCCAAGGAAACCATGCTTCTCTCCTAGGCCCCAGGGCCTACAATAGCAAGGGCTGCTGCAAAGGTCTCTGAAATGCCTTCAAGGCCTTTTTCCCTATTATCTTGTCTATTAGCACCGGGCTCCTTTTCATGCAAGTTTCTGAAGCCTTCCTCAATTTTCCCCCTGAAAATCAGCTTTTCTTTTTGACCACTTGGCCAGGCTCCAAATTTTCCTAAATTTGAGTTCTGAGAGACGGGACTCATTTAATGTAAGTCCCATCCAGAGGTCATTTCCTCCATCACACATAAGAGCACAGGCTGTTCCATGGGGACAGGACACCTCTTGAGATTTGCTGCCCAGTTCATTCCACCAGATACTCAGTAAGTCATCACCCTCAAGTTCAGTTTCACAGATCTCCAGGGCAGGGTCACCGTGCAGCCACATTCTTTGTTAAGGCAAAACAAAAGTCACTTTGGCTTCTGTTCCCAGTAAGTTCCTCATTTTCATTTGAGACCTTCTAAGTCTGGCTTTCACTCACCATTTTCCTGTGAGCCTTCTGGTCACAAGTATGTAACAATTCTTTACAAAGATCCAAACTTTCCCTCAACTTCTTGTCTGCAAAGCCCTCCAAACTCTCTGAACTCTGTCTGCTACCCCCTTCTGAACCTGCTTCTACATTATCAGCTATCTTTGCTGCAGCCTGACAATGTAGTAAGGGAAGACAAGTCCATTTTCAGGGGGAAAATTCAAGAAGGGTTCAGAGACTTCAATGAAAAGAAGCTGAGTGCTCACTCCCAAGACAATAGGGAAAAGGCCTTGAAGACATTTAATAGACCCACTTTGCAGTACTAATTTTCTCTATGATCATAAAGAAGAGGTTTACTTGGCTCATGATTCTGCAGGCTATAAGGAAGTATAGTGGCTTCTACATCTAAGAGGAATCAGGAAGCCTCCCAGTCATACCAGAATGTCAAGGGGCAATGAGATGATTCATGTGGCAGGAGGAGGAGCAAGACAGGGAGAGGAGAGAGGTCCCACACCCGATTATACAACCAGATCTCATGAGAACTCACTATCACAAGGTCAGCATCACAAAGATGGTGCTTAACCACTGGTGAAGGATTCACCCCCTACCCCCAACTCCCACTATTTCCAGGCAGAAGCCTGAGGCAGAGGCAGAGCCTCTTGGAAAACTCTACTAGGGAAGTGTGGAAGGGAAATATGGGCTTGGAGCACCCACACAGATGGCCACCAACCTCCAGACCCCAGATTCATAGACCCACCAACAGCTCACACCTTGTGTGGAAAAGCTACAGGCACTCAACACCAGCCCAGCCCATGAGAGCTGCGGCAGGGGCTAAACCCTGCAAAGCCACAGGTGCATTGCCCTAGTAGAGGGTTTCCCATGAGCCTCTGCCTCTGCAGCAGGCTGCTCCCCCTTCCTCCCACCCACCACCCTCCCACCACCCTACTGCCAGCCTACTCCTCCCCACCCTAACCAACCCTTTTCCTTCCACTCCAACCCCTTCCAGTCCATGATTAAATCATCTCCCCCAGGCCCCAACTTCAACATTTGGAATTAAAATTCCACATGAATTTTTATAGGGACACACAGCCAAACCATATTATTCTGACCCTGCTATCCCAGAATCTCATGTCCTTATCACAGAGTAAAATACAATCATGCCTTTTCAAAAGTTCCAACAGCCTTAACTCATTCCAAATGTAAAAAGTTCAAAGTCTCACCTGAGACAAGGCTACTGTCCCTTCTGCATATGAGTCCCTGAATTTAAAAGGGATTTCTTTTCTTTCAAGGTACAATGATGGTACAGGCATTGTGTAAGCTTTCCCAATCCAAAGGGAAGAAATTTCCCATAAAAATAACACATATGGGACCACAGGCCTAATGCAAGTCCAAAACCCAGCAGGACAGTATTCACTCAATCTTTAAGCTCCATAATCATCAAGAGAACTCACTATCATGCAGACAGCATTAAGGAGATAGTGATTAACCATTTGTGAAGAATCCACCCCCCTATCCTCATCTTTCACCCCCACCCACAAAATAATCTCCCCCATTCTCCCCAAACCCCTACCTCCAACCCCCACTCTTCTCCATGATTAAGTCACCTTCAACCAGGCCCCAACTTTAACATTCCCCATTACGATTCCACATGAGTATTGGTAGGGACACAGAACCAAATCATATTATTCTGGCCTTTGGTCCCCAAATCTTGTATCCTTGTCACACTGCAAAATACAATGATGACTTCTCTACTGTCCCCCAATGACTTAACTCATTCCAGCATTTACTGAAAAGTCCAAGGACTTACAGACCCCATGAAGTCAAAAACCCAGCAGGCCAGTCATTGAATCCTGCAGCTCCAAATCATCTTTTCTGAATCTACATCTCACATCTAGAGCACAGGCATGTGATGGCTGGGCTCCCAAGGCCTTGGGCAACTCTGCACCTGTGGATTTGCATGATATATCCCCCACAGCTGCCCTCATGGGCTGGGCTGTGTTGAGTGCCTGTGGCTTTTCCACACTAAGGGTGCCAGCTGTTGGTGCATCTATGAATCTAAGGTCTGGAGAATGGTGTCTCCATATTTAGGGACTCCAACCCCATTTTCTCCTTCTGTACTGCCCTGGTAAAGGTGTGCCATGAGGCTCTGCCTCTTGGAAAAGCTTCTGCCTGAACACCCAGGTTTTTCCGTACATACTCTGGAGTCTAGACACAGGCCCCCAAGCCTCTAGTTTTGTGCTCTGTGCAGCTGCTGGCTTAACACTATGTGAAAGACACCAAGGCTTGGAACTTGCACCCCTGAAGCAGGGATGCAAACTCTACCTGTGCATCTTTCAGCCATGACTGGAGTTGGAAATGGAACTGCAGGGATGCAGGCAGCAGTGTCCTGAGGCTGCACATAGAGGGGGCTCATGGAACTGGCCCAGGAAACGATGCTTCTCTCCTAGGCCCCAGGGCCTGTGACAGCAAGGGCTGCTGCAAAGGTCTCTGAAATGCCTTCAAGGTCTTTTCCTTATTGTCTTGGCTATTAGCACCGGGCTCCTTTTCGTGCAAATTCCTGAAGCCTTCTTGAATTTTCCCACTGAAAATCAGCTTTTCTTTCTGACCACTTGGCAAGGCTGCAAGTTTTCCAGACTTTTGAGTTCTGTTTCTCATTTAATATAAGAGTTGTGACTCATTTAATGTAAGACCCATCCAGAGGTCACTTCCTCAGTCACACAAAAGGGCACAGGCTGTTTGATGCAGACAGGACACCTCTTGAGCTTTGCTGCCCAGAAGTTCATTCCACCAGATACTCACTAAGTCATCACCCTCAAGTTCAAAGTTTCACATATCTCCAGGGCAGGGTCAATGTGCAGCCACATTCTTTGCTACAGCAAAACAAAACTAACCTTGGCTCCTATTCCCAGTAAGTTCCTCATCTTCATCTGAGACCTTCTAAGTCTGATCTTTACTGTCTATTTTCCTGTGAGCCTTCTGATCACAAGTATTTAACAATTCTTTACAAAGATCCAAATTTCCCCTCAATTTCTTGTCTTGGAAGCCCTCCAAACTCTCCTGAACTCAATCTGCTACCCTCTTCTGAACCTGTTCCTGCATTATCACCTATCTTTGTCAAAGCCTGGCAATGTGGTATGGAAGACAATTCCATTTTCAGGGGGAAAATTCAAGGAGGATTCAGAGACTTGAATGAAAAGAAGCTGAGTACTGATAGCCAAGACATGGGGGAAAAGGCCTTGAAGACACCTAATAGATCTTCTTTGCATTAAAAATGCTCTCAATGATCAAAAAGAAAAGAAGTTTAATTGTTAATGATTCTGCAGGCTGTAAGGAGGCATACTAGTTTCTGCATCTCAGAGGACTCAGGAAGCCTCCCAATCACACCAGAATGTCAAGGGGAAATGAGATATCTCATATGCCAGGAGCAGGAGCAAGCATGAGAGAGGAAAAAGGTGTCATGCCCTATTATACAACCAGATCTCATGAAAACTCACTATCACCACGTCACCATCATGAAGATGGTGCCTAAACATTGGTGAAGGATCTGACTCACACCCCAACTCCCACTGTTTCCAGGCAGAAGCCTCCTGCAGATGCAGAGACTCTAGGAAAACCACTATTATGGAAGTAAAGAAAGAAAATATGGGCTTGGAGCCCCCACGCAGGTGGCTACCAACCTCCAGACCCCAGATTCACAGACCCACCAACAGCTGGCACCCTCAGTGAGGAAAAGCTACAGGCCCTCAATACCAGTCCAGCGCATGAGAACAGCTGAGGAGCTAAACCCTGAAAACCACAGGTGCACTGCCCTAGTAGAGGGTTTTCCATGAGTCCCTCACTCTGCAGCAGGCTACTCCTCCTTCCTACTACCACCCACCCTCCCACCACTCTACTACCGACCCACTCCTCCCAATCCTACCCATCCCTTTTACCTTCCACCACCACCAACCTCCCGTCCATAATTAAGTCACCCGCTTCAACATTAGGGATTACGATTCCGCATGAGATTCACAGGGACACACAGCCAAACCATATTATTCTGACCCTGATATCCCAGAATCTCATGTCCTTATCACAGAGCAAAATGCAACCATGACTTTTCAAAAATCTCCAAAAGTCTTAACTCATTCCAAATGTAAAAAAATTCAAAGTCTCTCCTGAGACAAGGCTACAGTCTCTTCTGCCTATGAGTCCCTGAATTTAAAATGGAGTTCTTTTCTTTCCAGGTACAATGATGGTATGGGCATTGGGTAAGCTTTCTCAGTCCAAAGGGAAGAAATTTCCCATAAAAATAGCACAAACGGGCCCACAGGCCCAACACAAGTCCAAAACTCAGCGGGACAGTATTCACTCAATCTCACAGCTGCAAATATCATCAAGAGAACTCACTATCATGCAGGCGGCATTAAGGAGATAGTGTTTAAACATTTGTGAAGGATCTGCCCCCCTACCCTTACCTTTTACCCACACCCACAAAATAATCTCCCCTATTCTCCCCACACCCCTACCTCCAACCCCCAACTCTTCTCCATGAATAAATCACCTCCCACCAGGCCCCACGTTTAACATTCACCATTACAATTCCAAATGAGTTTGGTAGGGATGCAGACCCAAATCGTATTATTCTGACCCTGACCCCCCATATCTCATGTTGTTCTCACACTGCAAAATACAATGATGCCTACTCTACAGTTTCCCAATGTCTTAGCTCATTCCAGCATTTACTGAAATGTCCAAAGCCCAAAGTCTCTTCTGAGACAAGACTGCCATCCCTTCTGCCCCTGAGCCTCTGAAATACAAAGCAAGTTAATTACCTCCAAGGTATGACTGTCCAGGCATTGAGTAAGAACCTCCACCCGAAAGGAAGATTTTTTGCCAGAGAGAAGAACAAAACACAAACGGGACTTACAGGTTCCCATGACATTCCAAAACCCAGCAGGCCAGTTATTCAAACCTACAGCTCCAAAATCATCCTTTTTAAGTCCTTGTCCCATATCCAGGGCACAAGGGCGTGAGGGCTGGGCTCCCAAGGCCTTGGGCAGCTCTGCACCTGTGGCTTTGCAGTGTTCAGCCCCCGCAGCTGCCCTCATGGGCTGGGCTAGTGTTGAGCACCTGTAGCTTTTCCACAATGAAGATGCAAGATGTTAGTGAGTCTATGAATCTGACGTTTCAGAATGGTGCTCCCTGTGTGGTGGTTCCAACCCTATATGTTCCTTCCATACTGCCCTAGTAAAGGATTCCCATGAGGCTCTGCCTCTTTGAATAGTTTCGACCTGGACACCCAGGTTTTTCTGTAAATCCTCTGTAGTCTACATGAAGGATTCTGAGCCTCTAGTCTTGGCCTTTTTGCACCTGCTGGCTCAACACTATGTGGAAGCCACCAAGGCTTGCAGCTTGCACCCTCTGAAGCAGTAACCCAAGATGTACCTTTGTATCTGTCAGCCATGGTTGGAGCTGGAGCTTCAGGTATGCAGCCAGCAGTGTCCTGAGGATGGACACAGCAGCAGGGCCATGGGACTGGATAAGGAAATCATTCTTTTCTCCCAGGCCTGGGGGCCTGTGACAGCAAGGGTTGCTGCAAAAGTCTCTGAAGTGCCTTCAAGGCCTTTTTATCCTTGTCTTGGCTATTAGCACTCAATTCCATTTTATGCACATTTCTGAAATCTTCTTGAACTTTCCCACGGAAAATCAGCTTTTCTTTTTGACCACTTGGCCAGCCTGCAAATTTTCCAAACTTTTAAGCTCTCCATCTCATTTAAATATAAGTTTCACCTTGAGGTCATTTCTTTGGTCACATATAAGACACCTCAGGGTGTTTGGCACAGACCAGACACCTCTTGAGCTTTGCTGCCTAAAAGTTCATTCCACCAGATACACTCTAAATCATCACTCTCAAGTTCAAAGTTTCACAGATCTCCAGGTTAATGGCATCGTGCAGTAACGTTCTTTGCTAAGGGAAAACAAAAGTGACCTTGGCTCCTCATCCCAGCAAGCTCCTCATTTTCATGTGAGACCTTCTAAGCCTGGCCATCACTGTCCATCATTCTGTCATCTTTTTAATTATAACTATTTAACAAGTCTCTACACTGGTCCAAACTTTTCCACATCTTCCTGTCTTCTTCCAACACCTCCAAACTCTCCAACCTCTGGCCGTTACACACTTCTCAACCTGCTTCTACATTTTCAGCTATGTTTGTTGCAGCCTGGCAATGTGGTAAAAGAAGCAAAGTCTGTTTCAGGAGAAAAATTCAGGCAGGCTTCAGATATTTGCCGGAAAAGAAGCTGAGTGCTCATTGCCAAGAAAATAAGGAAAAGGCCTTGAAGGCATTTCATAGCTCCATTTCACAGCACTAATTTTCTGTATAATCAGAAAGAAAAGAGGTTGAACTGGCTCATGGTTCTGCACGCTTTAAATAAATCATAGAGGCTACTGCATCTGGGAGGACTCAGGAAGCCTCCCAATCATTCCAGAAGACCAAGCACCAATAGTATGTTTTATATGGCAGAAGTAGAAACAAGACAGAAAGAGGAAAAAGGTGCCACACCCTGTTATACAACCAGATTTCCTGAGAACTCTCTAACACAAGGTCAGCATCAAGAATGCTTAACCATTGGTGGAGCCATTGGTGAAAGATCTGCCCCGTACCACCCACAACCCCCACTGTTTCCAAGCAGAAGCCTGAGGCAGAGGCAGAGCCACTAGGAAAACCTCTACTAGGACAGAGCAGAAAAAAAAACAAAAAACAAAAAAAAAGGCTTGGTGGCCCCACACAAGAGGTTACCATCCTCCAGACTCTCTAACCTCTGGCCGTCACCCAATTCAGAACTGGCTTCTACATTGTCAGCTATCTGTGTCACAGCCTGGCAATGTGGTAAAAGAAGAAGGGTCCATTATCAAGGGAAAAATCAAGAAGGCCTCCAATATTTGCATTAAAAAAAACAGTGCTAACAGCCAAGAGATTGCGGGAAAGGCCTAGAAGGCATTTCATATCTTCACCTTGCAGCATTAATTTTCTGTATATACATAAAGAAAAGAGGTTTAATTGACTCACAGTTCTTCGGGCTGTAAAGAAAGCATAGTTGTTTCTGCTTCTAGGAGGACTCAGGAAGCCTCACAACCATACCAGAAGGCCAAGCGGCAATGAAGTGTTTCATATAGCAGGAGCAGAAGCACGACAGCGAGAGGAAAGAGGTGCCATATCCTGTTATGCAACTTGATCTCATGAGAGCTCACTATGAGGAGATCAGCATCACAAAGACGATGCTTAACTATTGGTGAAGGATCTGCCCCCCACCCCATATCCACCCCTCACTGTCTCCATGCAGAAGCCTGAGACAGAGGCAGAGCCTCTTGGAAAACCTCTACTAGGGCAGCGCAGAAGGAAAATATGGGTTTGGAGCCCCTATGCAGGAGGCCACCATCCTCCAGACCCCAGATTCATAGATGCACCAACAGCCCGCACCCTCAGTATGGAAAAGCTACACACACTAAACACCAGCCTAGCCCATGAGAGCAGCCATGGGGGCTAAAGCCACAGGTGCACTGCCCTAGTAGAGGTTTCCCATGAGCCTCTGCCTCTGCAGCAGGCTACTCCCCTCCCACAACATGCCACCCTCACACCACCCTACAGCCAACCTACTCCTCCCCACCTAACCCACCTCTTTGTACTTCCAACCCCACCCCTCTCCCATCCATGAATAAATCACCTCCCACCAGGCCCCACCTGCAACATTCAGGATTACAATTCCACATGAGTTTAGGTAGGGATACACAGCTAAACCATATTATTCTGACCCTGATCCCCTGAATATCATATCCTTCTCACAGAGTAAAATACAATCATGCCTTTTCAAAAGTTGCTGAAAGTCTTAAGTCATTTCAACATTAACTCAAATGTAAAAAGTTCAACGTCTCACCTGAGAAAAGGCTACAGTCCCTTTTGCCTATGAGTCCCTGAATTTAAAAGGGAGTTCTTTTCTTTCAAGGTATGATGATGGTACAGGCATTGGGCAAGTTTTCTCAATCCAAAGGGTAGAGGTTTGCCAGGAAAATAACACAAATGAGATGACAGGGCCAACGCAAGTCCAAACCCAGAAGGCCAGTATCCATTCAATCTCACAGCTCCAAAACCATCACGAGAACTCACCATCGTGAGGAAAACATTAAGGAGACAGTGTTTAACCATTTGTGAGGGATCCTGCCTCCAACCCTACCTTTCACCCCTCACCTCCACCAAAATCCACCCATTCTCCCCAATCCCCACCTTCCAACACCCACTGCCCTCCATGATTAAATCACCTTCAACTTGGCCCCACTTTTAAGATTTCCAATTAAAATTCCAGATAAGTTTCTGTAACACACAGCCAAATCTTATCATTCTGTCCCTGCCTACCCAGATTTCATGTCCTTCTCACTTTGCAAAATGAAATGATACATTACCTGCCATTTCCCCAAGCCACTATGCTTTTTTTACAGCCTGCAGAACTATAAGCCAATTAAACCCCTTTTTGTTATGAACACACAAAAAATTAGTACTGTGAAGTTAAGCTATGAAATGCCTTCAGTGACTTTTCCCCATCGTCTTGGATAAGACCCCCAAGGTCTTAACTCATTCCAGCATTTACTCAAATGTCTGAAGCCCAAAGTCTCAACTGAGACAAAGCTGCAGTCTCTTCTGCCCCTGAGCCTCTGAAATACAAAGCAGGTTAACCACTTCCAAGGTACGATTGTCCAGGCATTTAGTAAGAATCTCCACCCAAAAGGAAGATTTTTGCCAGAGAGAAGAACAAAACACAAACAGGACTTACAAGTCCCACGAAATTCTGAAACTCAGCAGGCCACTTATTCAAACCTACAGCTCCAAAGTCATCCTTTTTAAATCCTTGTCCCACATCCAGGGCACAAGGGCATGAGGGTGGGCTCCCAAGGCCTTGGGCAGCTCTGCACCTGTGGCTTTGCAGTGTTCAGCCCCCGCAGCTGCCCACATGGGCTGTGCTGGTGTTGAGTGCCTGGAGTTTTTAACCCATGGAGGGTAAGAAGCTTTTGATGGGTCTATGAATCTGGGGTCTGCACGATGGTGGCCTCCAGTGTGGGGGCTCCAACCTCATATTTTCCTTCTGCACTGCCCAAGTAGAGGTTTCCCATGAGACTCTGCTTTTTTGGCAGCCTTCTGTCTGGACACCAGGCATTTCCATACATCTTCTGAAATATATATGGAGGCTCCCAAGTCTCTAGACTAGTGCTCCGTGCACCCACTGGCTTAACACTATGTAGAAGCAACCAAGGCCTATAGCTTGCACCTTCTGAGGCAGTGACCCAAGCTGTACCTGTACATCTTTCAGCCAAGGTCGGAGCAGGAGCTGGGGCTGCTGGGATGCAGGCAGCAGTGTCCTGAGGCTACACACAGCAGCAGGGCCATGGGGCTGGCCCAGGAAACCATTCTTCTCTCCTAGGTCCCAAGGCCCGTGACAGCAAGGGCTGTTGCAAACATCTCTGAAATGCCTCCAAGCCTTTTCCCCACAATTGTCTTGGCTATTAGCACTGGCCTCCATTTTATGCAAATTTCTGGAGACTTCATGAATTTTCCCCCTGAAAATCAGCTTTTCTCTTTGACCACCTGGCCAGGCTGCAAATGTTCCAAACTTTTGAGCTCTGCTTATCATTTAAATATAAGTTCCAACTTGAAGTCATTTCCTTGGTCACACATAACAGCACAGACTGTTTGATGCAGACAGGATCCCTCTTGTGTTATGGTGCCTAGAAGTTCATTTCACCAGATATGCACTAAATCATCACCCTCAAGTTCAAAGTTTCACAGATCTCAAGGGCAAGGTCGCCCTGCAGCCACGTTCTTTGCTACAGCAAAACAAAAGTAACCGTGGCTCCTGTTCCCAGTAAGTTCCTCATTTTCATCTGAGACCTTGTAAGCCTGGCCTTCCCTGACCTTCCCTGGCCTTCCTTCTGTCAGCATTTTAATCAAAACTATTTAACAAGTCTCTACAATGGTCCCAACTTTCCCTCATCTTCCTGTCTTTTTTCAAGCTCTCCAAACTCTCCAACTTCTGGTGTTACCGACTTCTGAACCGCTTTACATTTTCAGCTATCTTTGTTGCAGCCTGGCACTCCTGCCTTTCACCTGTAACCCCAAACACAATCCCCCGAAACTCTCCCCACCCTCCCAATACCCTCCAACTGTCCCCTTCCCACACATCCAACTTCCACTCTCCACCAGGGGAAACTTCAAGAAGGCTTCAGATATTTGCATTAAAAAGAAACCCAGTGCTAACAGCCAAGACAATCGGGAAAAGTCATTGAAGATATTTCATAGCTCCACTTTGCAGTACTTATTTTCTGTGTGGTCATAATGAAAAGGGGATTCATTGGCTCATGGGTCTTCAGGCTGTAAAGAAAGCATGGTGGCTTCTACTTCTGGGAAGACTCAGGAAGCCTCCCAATCATACCAGAAGGAAAGCAGCAATGAAATGTTTCATACGGCAGGAGTAGGAGCAAGACTCACAGAGGAAAGAGGTGCCACCGCCTGTTATACAACCAGATCTCATGAGAACTCACTATCACTAAGTCAGCATCAAGAAGATGGTGCTTAACCATTGGTGAAGGATCCACCCCCCAACACACCTCCACCCCCTACTGTTTCCAGACAGAAGCCTGCTGCAGAGGCAGAGCCTCTTGGAAATCCTGTTCTGTGGCAGTGCAGAAGGAAAACAAGGGCTTTGAGTCGCTCTGCAGGAGGCCGCCATCCTCTAGACCCCAGATTCGTAGACCTACCAACAGTTCACACCCTCAGTTTGGAAAAGCGATAGACACTCAATACCAGCCCAGCTCATAAAGGCAGCCATGGGGGCTAAAGCCTGCAAAGCCACAGGTGCACTGCCCTGGTAGAGGTTTTCCATGAGCCTCTGCCTCTGCAGCAGGCTACTCCCCCTTCCTACTACCCACCACCCTCCGACCACCCTACAGCCAGCATACTGTTCCCCACCCTACCCACCCCTTTTTTCTTCCACCCCCACACCTCCCATCCATGATTAAATAATCTCCCACCAGGCCCCACCTCCAACATTTGGGATTAAAATTCCATGTGAGTTTTTCTAGAGGCACACAGCCAAATCATATTATGCTGACCTTGACCCCCCCAAATCCCATGTCCTTCTCACACAGTAAAATACAATCACATCTTTTCAAAAGTTTCCAAAAGCCTTAACTCATTTCCACACTAACTCAAATGTGAAAAGTTAAAAGTCTCATCTGAGATCACGCTACAGTCTCTTCTGCCTATGAGGCCCTGAAGTTAAAAGGGCATTCATTTCTTTCTAGGTACAATGATGGTACAGATATTGGGTAAGTTTTCTCAATCCAAAGGGAAGAAATTTCCAAGAAAAATAACACAAGTGGGACCACAGGCCCAATGCACATCCAAAACCCAGCAGGACACTGTTCATTCAATCTCACAGCTCCAAAATCATGAATAGAACTCACTCTCAGAAGGGCAGCATTAAGGAGATGGTGCTTACCCATTTGTGAAGGATCCACCCCCACTCCTGCCTTTTACCCATAAACCCAAACACAATCCCCCCCAACTCTCCCCACCCCCACAATACCCTCCAACTCTCCCCATCCCTCCCATCCAACCTCCACTCTCCACCATGATTAAATCACCTTCCACCAGCCCCCACCTTTAACATTCCCCATTAAAATTCCACATGAGTTTTGGGAGAGGTACAGAGCCAAATCATATTACTCTGTCCCGGGTCCCCCAAATCTCATGTCTTTCTCACATTGCAAAATACAATGATGCCTTCCCTACAGTCCCCCAAATCTTAACTCATTACAGCATTTACTCAAATATCCAAAGCCCAAAGTCTTATCTGAGACAAGTCTACAGTCCCTTCTGCCATGAGTCTGTGAATTATAAAGCAACTTAACTACTTCCAAGCTACAATGATTGTACAGGCAATGGGTAAGCATTCTCAACCAATAGAAAAAAAAATTGCTGGAAAGCAGCACAAAACACAGATGGGATTCATAGGATACATAAATGTCCAAAACCCAGCAGGCCAGTCACTCAATCCTACAGCTCCAGAATCATCCTTTTTGAATCCCTGTCCCACATCCATGGCACAGGTGTATGAGGGCTGGTCTTCCTAGGCCTTGGGCAGATCTGCACCTGTGGCTTTGCAGTGTTCAGCCCCTGTAGCTGCCGTCATGGACAGGGCTGGTGTTGAGTGCCTGTAGCTTTTCCATACTGAGGGTGCAAGCTGTTTGTGGGTCTATGAATCTGGGGTTTGGAGAATGATGCCTCCCTGTATGGGGGCCTGTGACAGCAAGGGCTGCTGCAGAGGACTGTGAAATGCCTTCGAGGCCTCTTTCCCATTGTCTTGGCTATTTGCACTGGGCTTCTTTTTATGCAGATACTCTAAGCCTCCTTGAATTTTCCCCCGGAAAATCATCTTTTCTTTTTGACCACTTGGCCAGGCTGCAGATTTTCCAAACTTTAGGTCTCCACTTCTCATTTCAATAGAAGTTCCAACTTGAAGTCATTTCTTAGGTCACGCATAAGAACACAGGCTATTCAATGCAGACAGGACACCTCGCTATGCTGCCTAGATGTTCATTCCACCAGATACATCCTAAATCATCACCCCCAAATTCATAGTTTCATAGATGTCCAGGGCAGGGTCACCGTGCAGCCACGTTCTTTGCTAAGGCCAATCAAATGTAACCATGGCTCCTGTTCACAGGAAATTCCTAATCTTCATCTGAGACCTTTTAAGTCTGAACTTCAGTGTTTATCCTTCTGTCAGCCTTCTGATTGCAAGTATTTAACAATTCTCTACAGTGGTCAAATTTTCCTCATCTTGCTGTCTTCCAAGCTTTCCCAATTCTCCTGACCTCTGTCTTTTACCCACTTCTGAACCTGGTTCTACATTGTCAGCTATCTTTATCACAACCTGGCTGTGTGGTAAAAGAAGAAAAGTCCACTTTCAGGGGGAAAATTCATGAAGGCTCCAGATATTTGCATGAAAAGAAGCTGAGTGCTGGTTGCCAAGAAAAGGGGAAAGGGCCTTGAAGGCACTTCATAGCTCCACTTCATAGCACTAATTTTCTGTATGATCATAAAGAAAAGAGGTTTAATTGGCTCATGGTTCAGCAGGCTGTAAAGGAGGCAGAGTGGCTTCTGCTTCTGGGACGTCTCAGGGAGCCTCACAACCATACCAGAAGGCCAAGGGGCAAGGAGATGTTTCATATGGCTGGAATAGAAGCAAGACTGAGAGAGGAAAGAGGTGCCACACCTTGTTATATAACCAGATCTCATAAGAACTCACTGTTACTAGGTCAGCATCAAGAAGATGGTGCTTAACCATTGGTGAAGGATCTGCCTCCCACCCCCATCTCCCACTGTTTCCAGGCAGCAGCCTGCTGCAGACGCAGAGTTCTTGGGAAACCTCTACTAGGGCAGTGCAGAAGGAAAATACGGACTTGGAGCCCCCACACAGGGCTACCACCCTACAGACCCCAGATTTAGAGACCCACCAACAGCTTGCACCCTCAGTGTGGAAAAGCTACAGGCACTGAACACTAGTCCAGTCCATGAGAGCATCCATGGGGGCTCAAACCTGCAAAGCCACAGGTGCACTGCCCTAGTAATGGTTTTACATGAGGCTCTGCCTCTGCAGCACGCTACTCCCCCTTCCTACTACCCACGACCCTCCCACCACCCTACAGCCAGCCTACTCATTCCCACCCTAACCACCCCTTTTTCCATCCACACCCACCCCTGCCCATCCATGATTAAATCACTTCCTCCCTCTCCCTCATCTTTCTGTCATGCTCTAATCCCTCCAAACCCTCCCAATCTTTGTTTGCTACCCACTACTGAGCCTGCTTCTACTTTTTCAGGTATCTCTATAGCAGGTTGGCTATGTAGCAATAACACAAAACCCCATTTAAGGGGAAAAATTCAAGAAGACTTCAGAAATTTGCATATAAAGAAGCCCTGTGCTAATAGCCAAGACAAAGGGAAAAAGGCCTTGAAGACATGCACAGCTCTCTCGGCAGTTCTAATTTTCTCTGTTATTGTAAATGAAAGAGGTTTAATTGAATCATGGTTTTGCAAGCTGTGAAGGAAGCATAGTGTCTTCCATTTCTGGGAGGAATCAAGAAGCCTCCTAATTATACCAAAAGCCAAGACAATGAGATACCTCCTAAGGCAGGAGTAGGAGGAAGACAGAGTGAGGAAAGAGGTTCCACAGCCTTTTAAACAACCAGATCTCATGAGAACTCACTCGCTATCAGGAGGACAGCATCAAGGTGATGGTCCTTTATCATTCGTGGAGAACCTACCCGCACCCTTTTATAACTAAATCTTTTTCCACCTAGGCCCCACCTCTAACATTAGGGAGTATAATTCCACATGGGTTTTGATACGGACACAGAGACAAACCATATTATTCTGTCCCTGATCCCATGAATATCATGTCCTTCTCACATTGCAAAATACAATCATGCCTTGCCAGAATGAGTCTTAACTCATTTCAGCATTAACTCAAACTTACAAAGTCCAAAATCTCATCTGAGTCAAGGCTACGGTCTCTTTTTCCTATGAGTCTCTGAAATAAAAAGCAAGTTCACAGCTTCTAACGTATAATGATGGTACAGGCATTGTGTAAGCTTTCCATATTCAAAAGGAAGACCTTTTCCAGAAAGCTTCTTATTTCTATCTGAGACCTCCTCAGCCTGGCCTTCACTATCCATGTTTGTGCCAGGATTTTTATCACAACCATTTAACCAGTCTCTAAGATAGTCCAAAAATTTTCTCATCTGTCTTCTTTTGAGCCTTCCAAACTCTTCCAACCTCTGCCCATTACCTAGTTCCAAAGCTGCTTCCACATTTTCAGGTATCTTTATAGCAATGCTGCAATCGTCATTTGCCATTTTCTGTTTGATTCATTTTGAAAAAGAGGTTTAATTGGCTCATGGTTCTGCAGGGTGGACAGGAAGCACAGGGCTTCTGATTCTGGGAGGCCTCAGAAATCTTTCAATCTTTGTACAAGGCAAAGAAAGAGTGAGTTGTCTCACATGGCAAGAGGAAAACACGCAGAGTAGGGAGGTGACATAGCTTTCAGTGGCCAGATCTCACGAGAAGTCACTCATGATTGTGAGGATGGTACAAGGGGATGGTGCTGAACCATTCATGAGAAATTTGCCTTCATAAATCAATTGCCTTATACCAGGATCCACCTTCCACATTAGGAAATATAATTAAATAGGAGATTTGGTGGGGACACATATTCGAATTGCATCATCAGACTTTGAGTATAAAGACATGCACAGCAGGCTTTATCCAGCCAACTTATTTGGGACTCTTTATAGGGTTTGTGGTCTACAGCATATACACTAAAATATTCACACTTCAAAGAGCAGTAAAGTGGTATTATCATTCTTCCAAAAGTCCCAATGGTAGTTTAGGCATTCATGGCATGATTTAGTTCATGTTTGCTACTGTTTCTATTCTGTCAACATATTAACTGTTTCCTACACAATTCTGTATTCAGCTGGATTTCAGTTGAGCACAAAACCATCCTTGTGCTACCACGGATAGCTGGCACTAGCTCCTTGCTAGTGTTATTATTCTGTGTAGAAAGTATCCTTGAACTGGAAACAGTCCACAATCAAATATCTAGTCATTCAACATTATCAATTCCTGGATGATTTTTGAAAAAATAGTATCTCTTATTGCAAGAAATGCTGCATCTGTGATTTCATGTCTCTCATTCAAATTGGATGGAAGTGGTGAATTTCCACTGAAGTGGTGAAAGAATTCCTGTTCCTGTGATTCTGATGTCATCAGCCTCTGCATCTCTATCTTCCCTTCTGCCACATGTTGCCTGCCCTCCGCGACTTTGGTAAGAACTTGCTTGTGTATGTGGATGATGTTCAGGATGTTGGTCTGGTGTCCCTGAGACAGCACTAATAGGTCCATGACTGGGTCCAGGTTCTGCCTGGGATGATTGGCAAAGAGCTCACTGACAGTGTTGAAGGCATCTGTGGTGAAGTGGATGGGCTGGTCCAGCTCCAAGGCCTGGCTGAGGCTGAAGAACTGGCAGCCTTCTGATGCTCCTTCTTAAAGCCTGTCACCATCACCTGCTTGCATGTCAACTCATTGGCTGTGAAGTTGAGCCGAGTGCCCTGTTGTTCATCTTCTTGGTGAAGCATTTGAAGCTGTTGATCTCGCTCTCCCACTCCTAAAGTTTGAGTGTCACCCTGGAGGTGGGCTCAGAGCCAGGGAGAATCTGGCACTCACCATCTCATCCTTCTCAGCCTTCCTCTTGCCCTGTCTCCAGGCTGTCTCTTCAGTGCTGGTGTGGCACATCAGGAAGTGATGGAAGATGTGGCACTGTGCCTGCACCCAGAAGCTGGCCGTGTGGTTCATCCACCAGATTGGACCCTTTCTGCACTTGAACATAGAATCCTCCTCAAGAGGGCCTGTGGTCTGCCTCTTGGCACCCAAGAAGCCCACAGTGCTGTAGGAGCCCTGATGCATGGATTGGAGCCCAAAGGCAGCGCAAACCCTGCTCCTGAGGCTGCTGCTCATTTCCTCTATGTGGCTCCATTTGCAGCACAGTTGAACTGAGGCTTGTGCATGCCAGGCAAGGCCAAGTTGGCTCAAAGAGCAACCAGCCACCTCTGCAAGGGTGTGCCAGGAGCAGGTGGACCAGCCACCAACCTCACTTGCTGCCAGTCGGGGTAAATCAGTTATTCTGCCCTGGAGGTAGGGCCCCAGTGCCATCTGCTTTTCCTCAGGCCTCCACTCCATCAGCTGTCAGGTGGTGGTCACTCGGGGTGTGGGAACCTGGCCATCCCTGTTTCCTTGAGTGGGTGAGGTTGGTGGCTGGTCCACCTGCTCCTGGCACACCCTTGCAGAGGTGGCTGGTTGCTCTTTGAGCCAGCTTGGACTTACTTGGCATGCACAGGCCCCGGGTACTGACAAGCTGCTCCGAGTGAGCTTGTCTTGTCTTGGGCCAAATTCTAAGTCTGGCCAGGGCCACAGAAGGCTGAGTCCCCTGGGTGGTAATCCTGGCTGCTGCAGGGAGGCCCATGGTGCTCCTCCCCTCCCAGGGCTCAGGATGAGGTTCAACTGGGACAGGACCCTTTAGGTATGGGACTTGTGCCCCAGGAGGGGGCCTCTGTCACACAGGTTGGGTAAGATGTATGGCATGCTGCTGGCTTCCAGGGCTGTTGGGATGACACATTCACCCTTCCCTCCAGGGACCTCAAAATGACCAGCTTCCCCTTTGAGAATGACTTCCCAAGGCCTAGGAGCCATCTGGGGCTGCAGGGCAGCTGCCTGCATGCTGCCCTGGCTTCTTCCATGTTGTGCTGGTCACTACCCACCAAGGGGGGTCAGATGCAGGCACCATGCAGGGCAGTTGTCTCTGGACCTGTGTCTTTGTTATCATGGAGCTGGACTGGGCCTGGGTGAGAGGGCCTGATGGGGTTGTCCTGGGTAATCACGGGGGTGATCAGAAAAGATGCAGAATGGAATTGCTGCGAGGATGAACGAGATGACTGTCAGCACAGAATAGGCATCCGGTGAGTGTTCAGGGATTACCCTCAGTAGCTGCTCAGAGGCCAAAACCACCCAACTGATAGCGACTGTCCCCAAGCTAGGAGGAAGAGAAGAGAGCAGGTCCCACTCACCTGAGTCTGATCAGTCAGCTGTGTTGAGATGTGCCTCTCACCTAGAAAACGGTCCTTCACACAGAGCCACTCAGACACCACAGTGTGTCTCTAACTGCTCCACAACACAGAGGCGATGGGGGCTCAGCAACAGTGACATTGTGGGGTGACACAACCCACCACAATGGGAGCCTGCATGGGTCAACAGGGCCCAGAGTCAGTGTCCTCTATCCCCTGAACTGACATGTGTGGATGAAGTGTGTTTGTGCATGCGTGTGTGTGTGCACATATGTGTGTGTGTGTTTCTCTTGCTTCTCTGGCCAGGCCTAGCTTCTCCACTCACAGGTGCACCCAGGTCATCACCGAGGGCTCATGGCCAGCATTAGAGCTTCTACAGGTGCTCCCCAATCTCTGCCTTCCCCACCCATGGTGGTCCTGGGGATGCAGAGAGAGGAGGGGCACCAAGGCACAGCAGAGAGGGCTGGCACCCCCTCTAGGTGGCACACAGGTCATGTGTAAAGTTGTAGGTCTGCCAAGTGGTGCTGGATTCAACACATCTTCTCACCTTCTCTTTCCAGCCACCCTCCAAGGTGCCCTGACTCACCTTCCCTGCAGATGGAGGCAAGGAGACTCCACAGACAAACCCCCTGCCTGAGGTCACACAGTGGCCAGCTGGCCAGGTTCCTACTGACCAGCCGCCCAGGACCAGTTTCCCACTGATGAGGCCTCTAATGACCACTCCTCCATTTACCAGTTCCCACTGACCAAGTCCCCACTGACCATGTCTTCCTAACCAGGCTCACACTTAATAGGCCTCATAGGCCAGACCTCACTGACCAATTTCCCACTGACCTGGTCCCCACTGACCAGGTTCCCACTGACAAGACCACAGTTGACCAGGTCGCTGCTCACCTGACCCCCACTAAACAATTTTCCATGGATCAGTCCCCAGCTGACCAAGCCCCCTCTGACCAGGCCCTCACTGACGAGGCTCCAAGCCACTAAGGCCCCACACTGACCAGGCCCCTAGTATACTGCATAGGCCCCACCAACCAGTTTTTCATTGTTTATGTTCCAGCCCATCAGGCCTCACTAAGAAGACCATCAGTGACCAGGTCCCCATGAACCGGGCTTCCAATGACTAGGTCACCAGGTCCCCACTGAGGAGGCGTTTACTGAGGAGGCCACCACTAACCAGGTCCCAACTGACTAGGTCCTGATGACCAGGTCATCTCTGAGCATGGTCCACTGACCAGGCCCCTGAGCAGCGTGCTCAAAGTCTCATTACAATGCCCCCCTCAGCCCACAGACCCTCCCTCCCTGTATGTGTGTCCAGAGGTCAGGCCCTGGGGTTTTTTTTGGGACATGGCTTTTCCTCCAAGACAGAGGGAGAGACAGCTGGCCTCAGGCTCCAGGTGCCCAGCTCCACACTCACCCCAAAAGCCCTCTGGGCCAATCTCAAAGGAGATAGTGAGGTGGCCTGGCACTGCCTGGACATGCCATGTAGCCTATTCCTGAGTGTCAGAGTGGGAGGAAGGCAGGGACATTTGGCAGATGAGACATCTTGTGCTGTTGGGCATCCCAGGGCCCTTCCCACAGAGTCCCGATCTACAGACACAGCACAGAGGCTACAGGAAGACTAATGCAGGACCCTTGAGGCTGAGCCAGGGACCACATGAGGACTGTGCCCAGACAGCCAGAAGGCCCTTTGCTAGTTTCTTGATACCTCATGGATGCGGCAGCGGTTGTTCTGTTGGGGACCAGTGATCACGTGCTGGGGAGGGCTCGCCTGTGCTTCCTCAGTGGCTCCACCTCTGCTTCTAAGAAAAATCACTCATTCCATGGCTGGAGCAGAGAAAATACAACATTAGCTTAGAACATCTTGTTCCTGAAACTAAAAAAGTGCTGACAGAGTAACGAAGACAAATAAAAAAGACAAGAAGTCAGCTTGAAATGTCTACCACTGGCCTAATCTTGGGGAATTGGAGCACCAGAATCATGAGCTTTCCCTTCTCAGTTATTTATTGGTTTTACTTCTCCATGTACAGCAAAGAAGAGAAGAAAATAATCATCTGGAAACCATCATAGTAATAATTGTTCAAACACAAGTCATCCATGAAATGCTAAATCTAGTGGGTTCTGGGAGTAACTGGATATTTACAGAGCCTCAAAGTATCTCCCCACAAAATACGGTTCAACTACAAAAAGAAAATTGTCACATTAGCATGGACAAGCCTGGCAGGTACTCCTTAACTCCCCTAAGTAGTAAAAGCTGTAAAATGCAAAGAAGCCTTCGATGACCTTTACTAAAGTATCAATGATGACTTGGTTCTTTGGCTGTTTAAACAGCTGGCATTTGGGCAATTTGAGTACGTCAAACTCAATAATACTGGTGTTCATTTGCAAGATCCACTTAAAACTTAAGGAGGCTAAAAAACATCATTTAAATTACCCTATAAATTATCATCACACATGTGATACAAAAACATCCTACTTCAGTAAAGATTGTAATGTTATATATTTTATGAGAAACAATTAAAATGTTGTGTAAACAGCCCAGTAATAAAGTTTTATAATCTTTTAAATAATAAAATTTTTCCTTAAGACTTTATGGTTAAACATTCTCTTCATTAGATGTGGCTTACCAGTGGATTATAGAGAAGTAAGTAGACGGGAGCAAGTGTTCAACACAGCAACAACTGGAAAGAGAAAGAATTATGTTCTTTACCTAAAACATTTCAGTTAACTAAATGTGAGTTTAAATACTAAAGAGTTGAGAACTTTATCAGAGTTAGTAAGAATGAGAAATATCTATGTACATTTACAATACAAAATTACTATTAAATAATTTACACATGGCATTAATTCCATTGTGTTTAAATATCAGAGGTTTTTCATTCTTCATTCATGTAATCAACAGCCACGTGCTAAGGTACTAGAACCAGCACTGGAATTCCAAGATGAAGATGGCATGGTCCACCTCCCAATAGTCATATGCTATAACCTAAAAACACAGACAGGTAGGCAATGTCCACATAGTGTCATAGATACCATGACAGGTATACAGCAGGGCACTACTGGAACACACAAAAGGGACATCTATCCCACTTTTATGTCAATATCATGGGCTTTCTGGTGGAGGAGATAACATAGGTTGATACCTGAAGGACAAGGAAAAGCTTGCCAGATAGAGGGAAGAGGCGAAGGCAAAGAGCCTGAGGTGAGGAAGAGCCCTGCGGAGTTCTACTCTCCTCCACTTTGGTGCTAGAGCAAAGGGTAGAGTGCGGTAAGTGGCAAAAAACAAGGCTGAGTAACTTGACAAGAATCACATTGACGTGGGTGTTTTTATTTCATGGTGAAAATTTTGGAACTTTTCCTGAGAACAGATGTAAGCCAATGACACAGTAAATGATAGGAGATTTAAAATGTCACCTGTCAAGTGACTGCTTATGAAGGGTTATTGCCCAGCTAAGGATTTCAAAATGAGTCTGAGGTCTGTTGGCCTTCAATCTGTACCAAAACCCTGAGAACTTGGTGATGCCTTTGTTTTCTGAGAATTGTTTCAGTGTGCTGGCTGACAGTTCCATGATGATGGCAAAACTTAAGAAAGTGTAGAGCCAGTAAAAAACAGATGCACAGACTTCTTGGGAATTTTTTAAGCTATGGAACATGATGAATTTATGGTGCATAAGTACAGTCTTCTCTGTGAAAGTTTTTGTTTTCACATCTTGCATTAAATGTGTCTAAGAAAAAAAATACTTGACATAGTATCTACTAACCAAACAATGAAAAGGAATGCCATTTGTTATTTACACTTAATTTCTAAAATAAACCTAAATGTAATTAATAAATTTTGGCAACATACTTCTCTTTGTTTCTCTAGTTATTTGTTCTACACAGTCCAGCTCCATCTAAAATAAGTAAAAATAATAATAATGTTTAAGTTAAACAAGAAACATTATCATGCAAATAATGTATCACTTACAAAATGTGACCTTTAGTATTTTTAGTGACTAGACATAACTTGAAGTTTGCTTAAATAGAAAAATAATCACATAAATAAAGTAAAATTTCTACTTATTTTAAGTTTAGATAACAGAGGACACACCTGTGTAATGCTGTTTAGAGTAATCAGACAAAAATACAGTTAATATTGGTCTACTGCATATACATGATTTTAGAAAGGTAGTGTTTTATTAGTACAAAGGTTAAACAATGGCCAGGTGTGGTGACTCATGCCTGTAATCCCAGCACTTGGGGAGGCCAAGGCAGGCAGATCATGAGGTCAGGAGATCGAGACCATCCTGGCCAACATGGGGAAACCCTGTCTCTATTAAAAATACAAAAATTAGCTGGGCATGGTGGTGCACAATTGTAGTCCCAGCTACTCAGGAGGCTAAGGCAGGAGAATTGCTTGAAGCCAGGAGGTGGAGGTTGCAGTGAGCCAAGATTGCACCACTGCACTCCAGCCTGGTGATACAGTGAGACCTTGTCTCAAAAAAAAAAAAAAAAAAATTAAATAATTAAAGTCATCTTTTCAATGAATGCATTGCTTTGAAATTCTTAGCAAAACTCTGCCCTTTATACAAGTTTAATCCAATTTTTTTACATCAATAAATTTTATCTTAAAATTTCTATTCTCTACTTATAGTAAACTTTTTTAATAGTAAATTTTTCTTGTTTTTTTTTTTGTTTGTTTGTTTTTTTCTAGTTTGTATTCTAAATTAAGGTGGTACCTGTGTAGGCTTCTTCCAAGAGAATATTGAGGGATGCCAAGGTTTGGAGTACAGTGGAACCCATCACACAGGTAGTAAGCATAGGACCCAATAAGTAGTTTTCCAACCCTGGCCCACTCTGTCCCTCCCTGTTCTTATTTCCCAGTGTCTATTGTTCCCAGGTTTATGACAATGTGCACCCAATGTGTAGCTCCCACATAAGTGAAAACATGAGATATTTGGTTTCTGTTTCTGTGTTAGTTTGCTTAGGATAGTGGATTCCAGCTGTATCCATGTTGCTGCAAAGGACATGATTTTGTTCTTTTCTTGGCTGCATAGTATTCCATGGTATGTATGGAACATTCCAATCTACCTTGGATTTTCAATCTGCTTTGGATGCACCTGGATTGACTCCATGTCTTTGCTGCTTTGAATAGTGCTGCAATGAACACACATGTGCAAGCATCTTTTTATTAAAATGATTTATTGTCCTTTAGGTATACCCCTAGTATAGTAATGGGATTGCTGCATCCAACGGTCATCCTTAGTTCTTAATTTCCAAACTGCTCTCCATAGTAGCTGAATTAATTTACATTGCCACAAACGGTGTGTGTTCCCTTTTCTCCACTGCTTCCCCAACATCTTTTTTTTTTTCTTTTTACTTTTCAACAAAAGTTATTCTGACTGGTGTGAAATAGTATCTCACTGATGTTTTGTTTGGCACTTTTCTGATGATTAACAATGGTAAGCATTTGTTAATATGTTTGTTGGCCACTTACATGTGTTATTTTGAGAAGTGTCTGTTCATGTCCTTTTCCCATTTTTAATGGTGTTATTTATTTTTTGCTTGTTGATTTGTTTAGATCTCCTATGGATTCTGGATAATAGGTGTTTGCTGTATCCATAGTTTGTGAATATTTTCTTCCATTCTCTACGCTGTCTGTTTAATCCTGTGATAGTTTCTCATGCTGTGCAGAAGCTCTTTAGCTTAATTAGATCATACTTGTCAATTTTTGTTATTCTTGCAATTGCTTTTGAGGACTTTGCCATAAATTAATTGAGAAGTATGAAGTCCAGAAGAGTATTTCCTAGGTTTTCTTCCAGGATTTTTATAGTCAGAGGATGTACTCTTATGTAAGAAAAGCACAAACCTTTTTTTTTTTTTTTTTTTTTTGAGACAGAGTCTCCATCACATAGGCTATAGTGCAGTGGTATGATCTTGGTTCACTGCAACCTCTGTCTCCTGGGTTCAAGTGACTCTCCCGCCTCAGCCTCCCAAGTATCTGAGATTACACATGCCTGCCAACATGCCTTGCTAATTTTTGTATTTTTAGTAGAGATGGGTTTCATCATGTTGGCCAGGCTGGTCTCAAACTCCTGACCTCAGGTGATCCACCTGCCTCGGCCTCCCAAAATGTTGGGATTGTAAGTGTGAGCCACGGCACCTGGCCAAGCACAAAGCTTTGAACATAAAAATGGAAATGAACATTTTAGTGTTTTGTTTAATTCATAAAATGCAATTATTTTGGATTCTACTAAATAATAAACATCTATATGTGGCAAACTGTTTGGATGCCAATCATTCAGTTGTGATTATGGGTGGGAAGAGTTGAGATGGTGCAAATAAACTTTTTTTTAAATTTTTTATATTCAAGATGAAGTCTCACCCTGTCACTCAGGCTGGAGTTCAGTGGCACGATCTCGGCTCACTGCAACCTCCGCCTCCTGGGTTCAAGCAATTCTCTGCCTCAGCCTCCCTAGTAGCTGGGATTACAGGTGCTCTCCACCACACCTGGCTAATTTTTTTTTTCTACTTTTTGTACTTTCACCATCTTGGCCAGGCTGGTCTTGAACTCCTGACATTGTGACACACCTGCCTCAGCCTCCCGAAGTGCTGGGATTACAGACATGAGCCACCACACCTGGCTGGTGCAAAGAAACTTTAAAAGTGACATGGGCTGGACGTGGTAGCTCATGCCTGTTATCCCAGCACTTTGGGAGGCTGAGGCAGGCAGATCACAAGGTCAGGAGTTTGAGAACAGCCTGGCCAATATGGTGAAACCCTGTCTCTACTAAAAATACAAACATTAGCTGGGTGTAATGGCAGGTGCCTGTAGTCTCAGCTACTTGGGAGGCTGAGGCAGGAAAATCGCTTGAACCTGGGAGGTGGAGGTTGCAGTGAGCCAAGATGGTGCCACAACACTCCAGCCTGGGCAATAGAGTGAAACACTGTCTCAATTAAAAAAAAAGGGGGGCAGTATGAACCACAGCTAAACTATAATCAATTAGAGAGTAAGCCAAAGCATCTCAAACTATATCATCAGTTATCAGGCAATAATATGCAATTTCTAAAACCTAACTTAAATGCAGCTTTTAAAGACATTTTAAATGTGTCAGTTTAGTCACATTTATGGAATAAAGTTAGTAAACGGGTATCTCTTGAAAATGAGAGCTCCAGGGAATTAAAAAATGTAAAGTTCCCATTTCCTTTCTGTGTTAACACAGCTAATTATGATCTTTACTAAACATGCATAAGTCAACAGAATTCAGTATTTCACCAAATTAAAAACAAGAATTATATTAGAGAAATGAAACCCAAAAGAGAAATGGTCATGTAACTAACCACAGTCTAGGAGTTCTTGCAGTTATTTGAAGTCTGTGGGCTTGAAATAGGAATTCTTATGGGTGTTTGGGGAATATATTTTCTGTTGAGTCCTATACTAGTAAGATTTTCAACACAAGGTGACTCTGGGTCTCGCCTTGTAGGAAGAGCACTGAGAAAATATTTCATCTGCTCTTTCTCCATGAGGAGCTTCATGCTAATCACTGCTATTTTCTTATTTGATCTGTAAAGATAGCAAAAACACACGCTTAGTATTTCATTTTTCCTCTAATGATTCTTAATGACTTACAGTTTTTAAAAACTTGCCCTGAGAGCAAACCAAATTATCCACTAAACAGTGTTTTCACACTGAAGATGTGTGAGAGCATACCTGTTGTAAGCAAGTATAATTTTAAAATCATTCTAAAGAAGCACCTGTGTTTCTAAGGTGATTTATACTGAACAAGCAGCACAAACAAAGTAGACAGGGAAGAGAAATGGCTATCAGCGATATATGGCTCGACAGGTAACACTTGCTGCCTTCTAAAAGGGCTCTACTTGTGAGATTCTGAAGATTCCATTAGAAATACTCATATTTAAAGGGTAACAATGTGAGAAAAGAATATGTTGATTTGCTTGATTATAAGAACCACTTCACTAGAAATAATTGTATCAAAACATCATGTTGTACTCCTTAATGTAGGTTAAGAAAACTAAAATGAACAACAACAAAAAAATTTAGGAATACTTGTGTTTAGCAAACAAATTTTAGGTTTCACCCTTGTGCATTTCACCCATTATCTAGGAACAATTAAGCATTTGGCACTGAGGAATAATTCAGAACAACAACTCCTGGGGGAGAACTAGATTGGCTGGTTGGTGATCAAAAAGAACTAAAGCATGTCTGAAGGCAATTAGCCCCCAGCACTGTGACCAAGGCACTGGAGGTGGGGCTTTTTCCTTCTGCCTTCCACACACCCCTTCAGGCTGAACAAGTTTTTTTTTTTTTATACTTTAAGTTTTAGGGTACATGTGCACAACGTGCAGGTTAGTTACATATGTATGCCTGTGCCATGTTGGTGTGCTGCACCCAGTAACTCATCATTTAACATTAGGTATATCTCCAAATGTTATCCCTCCCCCATCCCCCCACCCCACGACAGGCCCCCCGGTGTGTGATGTTCCCCCCTTCCTGTGTCCATGTGTTCTCATTGTTCAATTCCCACCTATGAGTGAGAACATACAGTGTTTGGTTTTTTGTCCTTGCGATAGTTTGCTGAGAATGATGGTTTCCAGCTCCATCCATGTCCCTACAAAGGACATGAACTCATTATTTGTTATGGCTGCATAGTATTCCATGGTGTATATGTGCCACATTTCCTTAATCCAGTCTATCATTATTGGATATTTGTGTTGCTTCCAAGTCTTTGCTATTGTGAATAGTGCTGCAATAAACATACGTGTGCATGTGTCTTTATAGCAGCATGGTTTATAATCCTTTGGGTATACACCCAGTAATGGGATTGCTGGGTCAAATGGTATTTCTAGTTATGTTTTAACCACTTTGTGAATTACACTTCTTTAAATTCCTTGATAATTATTCCCTATTTCACAAGGATGCCTTTCTGTAACATCTTGAAAATGTTACACAAATAGTCTTTCTTGAGGCACCCTCTAGTGATAATACTAAAGATCACAATCAAAAATGATTGTGCCCAGAGTAGCAGTACCACTTGAAACTTTGGGTTTAGGTTGTGATCTACCAAAAAATAAATTAAACTCATTAATATTTCTATTTAGGAAAATTCTGACAAGCAATTTTATAACAAGATCACATTATTAATTATAAAGCTTCGAAAGTACTTAGTGACAAAAACTAACAGATCAGGTTAACTACATGAGACTTTTCAGGGGAAAAAAGTCATACAAAAGCAAAAAAAAAAAGAGAGAGAGAGAGAAAGAAATGGGACAGAAACTATCCTTGACTAACATTTTAAAGGTAAGATTATTTACTAACATTATTTTCTGAAATTACATTATTAGATTAGCATTCACTTCCTACTAATCTCCTGAAGCCATCTCACTAAAAATTATGCTTTCAAAACAAATTAATGAGCTTAATTCATTTTCTATGAGTGTATGTTTCGACTTACTTTGTTAACTTTTTTGACATGGAATTGTTAGCTTTCAATGCTGCTGCAAAGGCTTCCTTATATTCTTCTAATTCGGTTGTAACCTCTTCATAAGCAGTTTTCATTTCTGAGAATTTACATTCCACATCTTTAAGTGTGAGTTCCTTTTTATTTAGTGAAGCCATATTATCCTTGTTTAACTGCTCTAATTGTTTTTCATATTGTGCTTGTTCCTAAAACAAAGGAAAAGAATACACTTTTAAAACAATTATAACCTAATTATTATATGTTTGTTGCCTTTCATTTTGAGTCAGTGATTCAAAGAGCAATTGTGAATATGTTAGTAAAAGAGGCTGAAGCTTAAAATATTTATCAGCAAGATCAAAACTAATAACTGAATTTAGAATTGTCTGATTTATAAAAATTTGAAATCATAATTATGTTAGTATTAATGTAATCTGGTCATATAAAAAGTAATAGAATCCATTCATAATTTTAAAAAGTGATTAATGAACAATGTAGCTTAAGACCAATTCAAAAGTATCACATAATTTTGAAATCACAATTGTTTCTTATGCCAACTGATCTTAATCATCAAATGACTCCACAGTGAGAATCATTACTCTGAAAGATTGATTTTGTTATAATAATAATGGAAATGTAAATATTTAAAAGAAAAAACAGATGCCATTTTTTTTCTAGAACTCTACAAAGCAAATTGCTACAAGAGAGGCAGAGGAAACATAATATATACATATCCAAAATATAATTTGTGGTGAAATAAATGAAAGCACATTACAGATAAACTTACCTGATTTAAAAAACTAACCTGTAAATGGATTTCTTCTAATTTTTCTACTGCCTGCATTGCCTTTTCATCTAGCTCCAATTTATATTCTTGTAGTTTACTAATTTCTACCCTATTGTTTTCCATATGTGTCTTAAGATTTAATATTTCTTCTTTCAACATCTTTTTATCCTCCTCAAGTTTTTCACATTGCTGTTGTACTTTTTTCATAGATAAAAACTCCTGTTGAAGAACTTGATTGTCTTTAGCCAAATTGACACATTTTGAAGATAAAGCTTCCTTCTGTGCTGTAAGATCATCAAACTGCATGAATAAAATAATATAGCTTGATAATGAAGTAGGCTGAGAATAATCTAATACAAAACCAATAGCAAATTTTGAAATGCATTTACTTGCAATAAAATGTTATCTGTAATGCAGTGGATTCTTCAAATGTGAACCCTTAAATTACTCAGAATTTTAAGAACAAAGTTAAAGCTACCATGAGTCACAAAAATATATTATTTGCTATCATCATCTTTGCCACAGAACTTTTGCACTTCATCTTACTTTTATTTTTCTGATAATTCATTTTTGTTCCTCCTTAGATGGCACTAAGTTATCTCTTAGTAAAAAGTGTCTAACCACCTTCCCTCATTATCATTCCCCATAATATGTCAAAAAAAAAGTTTCAGAGATATCATATTGAGTTATTTAGGCCAAAGTCAATAAATGGCTCTCAGAATAAGACTTTGAAAATAATATAACACTCTATACTAGGCATGGTGGCTCATTCCTGTAATTGTAGCAATTTAAAAGCCTGTGCCAGAATGATCACTTGAGGCCAGAATTTGAGATCAGCCAGAGCAACATAGTGAGACCCCCATGTCTACAAAATTTTTTTTTTAAATTAGCTGGGCATGGTGGCTCATGCCTGTAGACCCAGCTAGTTGGGAGACTGAGGCAAAAGGATGGCTTGTACCCAGAGTTCAGGGCTGCAGTGAATTATGACCACATCACCGCACTTCTGCCTGGATGACAGACAAAGACCATATCTCAAAAAAACACAAAATAATGAATCCTGTAAATAAGGATTCTGATGCCATAAGCCTTTCCTTAAACTGCAAATGTTTCATGCTAATTTGAATTGCATTTTAAGAAGTAATGATTCTTGGGGTAAAGGCCATAGAATACACACCCAGAAATAAATCCACATATTTACAGCCAACTGATTTTGGACAAAGGTGCCAAGAACATACACTGGGGAAAGGACAGTCTCTTCAAATGAATGGCACTGGGAAAACTAAATATCCATATGGAGAAGAATGATACTAGCTTCCTATGTAACAGCACATAATGAAATAAACTCAGAATTGATTGAAGACTGACATTTAAGGCCTAAAATTATGAAACCACTCTAAGTAAATGGAGGAAAAATGCTTGAGGACATTAGTCTGCACAAAGATTTTTATGGGTAAGACATCAGAAGCATAGGCAAAAACCAAGTGATAGACAAATGGTATTACATTAAGATAAAGAGCTTCTGCCCAGCAAACTGAGTGAAGAGAAAACCAGTGGAATGGGAGAAAATATTGTCAACTATTCATCTAATAAGGGACTAGTATCCAAAATATACAAGAAACTCAAAAAACTTGACAGTAAAAAAAAATCTGAGTTCAAAATTGGGCAAAATATCTAACTATACTTTTCTTTAGAAAAAAGAAATACAAATAGCCAATAAATAAATTTAAAAACGCTCAGTATCACTAATCCTCAGGGAAATAAAAATCAAATCTTCAATGTGATACAATCTTGCTTCAATTTGAATAAATTGCTATCATTGAAAAGACAAAAAAATAACATATGCTGGTGAGGTTCCAGAGAACAGTAAACTCTAACATGCTGTTGGTGGGAAGGTAAATTAGTGCAGCCACTATAGAAAACAACATGAGGTTTTCTCAAAAAGCTAATAATGGGACTGCCAAGGGATCCGGCAAACCCACTATTGGGTATTCAGGCAATAGAAAAGAAAACAATAGATCAAAAAGATACCTGTACTCGTATGTTTATTGTAGCACTATTCACAATAGCTGATGTATGGAATCAACCTGCATGTCCATAACCAAATGAATGGACAAAAAACTGTGGCACACAAACACAGTAGAATACTATTCACCGTATAAAGGAATTCAATCCTGTTATTCGTGGCCATGTGGATCAGTCTGAGGGATGGTATGTTAAGTGCAGACACAGAAAGATAAACACTGCACATTCTCACTCATATGTGGGAGCTAAAGAAAAACTGAGGGCTGGGCAACATGGCTATTGCCTGTAATTTCCTAGCACTTTGAAAGACCAAGGCAGGAGAATCACTTGAGGCCAAAGTTCCAGAGCACCCTGGACAACATAGGTAGATAGCTCTACAAAGTCAAAAATCAGACAGGTGCAATGGTGCATGCCCATAATCCTAGCTGCTCAGGAGGGTGAGGTCAGAGGATCACATGAGCCCAAGAGTTTGAGGCTGCAGTGAGCTATGATCAAGCCACTGTCTCTAGTCTGGGTGACTACAGATGCCCAGAGCCCAGACTGGACTAGCAAGGCCCTGTCTCTTAACAACAACAAAAAAGCTCACAGAGGTAGGGGAGGGGAGGATGTTAATGGATACCGAATTACAGTTAGATAAGAGGAATGAGTTCTGGTGTTCTGTGGCATTGTAGGGTGAATATGGTTAACTATGATTTATTGTATATTTTTAAAAAGGCAGAAGATTTTGAATGTTCACAATTCAAAAAATGAAAAATGGTTGAAGTAGTAAATGTGCTAGTTAGCTCGATCATTACACACTATATATATATGTATCAAAATATCACTCTATTGGCCAAAATTATGTATATACATGTCAATTAAAACAAAAGAGAAGCTATATTTATCCCATTAAAAAAACAGAATATGGGCAATCCTTACTGACTTCCTTCTAATGAATAGAATGCAGTAAAAGGGATATCATGTGGCTTCCCTATCTCAGACTGCTTTCCCTTTGAACTCAGCCCCCAGATTGTGAGTGAGATCAGGCCAGAGAGACAGCCTGGGAGTGTCAGTGTCAATATTCATGCTGCCTGCTCCAACCAAGGTTCCAGCCAATGGCCAGCATCAACCATCAAACACATGGGTGAGCAAAGCTTCAGAGGATTCCATTTCCCCAACTGATAAGCTATTCCTAGGGAAGCTGAGGGGAGCAGAGATGACCTGTCCTGGCTAAGCTTTTTTCAAACCACAGGTTCATGAACAAAATAAATGTTTTTCTTTTAAGCCACAAAACCCTGGATAATTGTTAGAAAAATAAGTTTTAAAAAGAGACAACAGGAAACATAACTTATGCAGAGAAAAGAGTCTCCTTTAAAGTAGGATCTAATAAATGTTGAGATTAATTTATTGATGACAAACATTATTGAGAAGCAGTAGATAACCAGGAGAGAGACATAAGCTGCTGAGGAGGAACATTTCCTAAAACCCCCTTCAATTATGAACTCTGATAACAAGACAAGGGTGTCTCCTTACAATTTCCCCTCAAGTTAGGAAATAAGACTGCAAAGAAAGAAGAAGTATGATTTGAAAAACAACTAGAAATACTTGGTTAGATAACCAAAATCAGACATTTGCCTGATTTCAGTTAATGAAAATTCTAAAAGAATAAGCTTTGAGTATTTATTAATCAATCTAGTATTCAATTTTCATTTTCCTTTTCTCAATGAGGAAATAAGGAGAACATTATGGAATGATTTTTAGTCTTCACAGAAGTAAAATAAGCACAATATGCTTTGAGTGTTAAGACATCAAATGCAATTTCTCCTTTATCTTACTTCAAGCTTGTTTGTATGGAGAAGTTAAGACCATCCCATCTCTGTATTATACCACAATGCTTCTCTACAGCACACAACTTGGCTCCGAAATTTCAAAAGTCAAAATACTAATCTACTATTTGTCTCTGATAAATTGCCTGAACATTACCTGATTTTGAAGTGCTGCACTCCTAAGACTTTTTCTTGGAATGAGTTAAACTTTATATCCCAAGAATCCTCTACTGAGCTAGAAAGCAGAGCTGTGCATCTCTGTTTCAGTAAAAGGAGGTCAATACAGGGAACTGTGGTTTCTGAGAATGCAAGATCTGCACCAAGTAAAGGATTAGATGCAGAGCTACCCAAGAGAACCAGCTACCAGGTGGAGAGGATCTGCGAACTACAACATGATGATTTCACATGATTTCCACTGAGGAAAGCTGGCAGCTCAGACTTCTCCTTCCTGGATGGTAAACATCTATGGAAGATTCTATGAATTATAATGAGTTAACAAAACATAATACACTAAATATTAGACTACATCAGCAGATCCTGTGATGAAAACTTACTGAAAATATAACTATAGAGGGAGGCAATGGAAAAGAGACTAAAGGTTTGAATAGAGAAAAAAAGAAAGAGTGTCTTGTAAGCCTGACTTGCCATCATGTCTTAGAGTAAGTAAGGTATAAGCTGGCCAGAGATTCCTTTGAGGCACAAAAGGTGAAGTTAAAGATATTCCACTAAATTTAATTTTTATTATGATATAAGACAACTGGTAATATGCAACATGCTTGAAAAAATCTTCTCATTAAATTCAATTTGGCCTTGGCATAAGAATAGATATAAACAAACTAAGAATTGATAATCTACAAATAAACCTGCACATTTACAGTCAATTGATTTTATACAAGGTTAACAAAAGAACAGAATGGGAAAAGAATAGTCTTTTCAACAAATGGTGCTGCGACAACTGGATATCCACATGCAAAAAATAAATAAAGTACGAAGAAAACCCTGGCATAAATCTTTGTGACTGCATTTGGCAGTGTTTTCTTAGCTATGACTCCAAAGGAAAAATGGATTCAATGAACTTCAAAATTGAAAACTGCTGTGCTTGAGAAGACAGTATCAAGAAGTGAAAAGGTAAGATACTGAGTAGAAGAAAGTATTTGAAAAGCATGTATCTGATAAGGGACTTACATATGTAGGATATATAAAGAACCTTTGCAATTCATAAATAACAAGATAACCCAATTTAAAAAATGGGCAAAGATTTTGAATAGATATATTTGCAAAGAAGATATAAAGATGGATAATAAGCACATTAATAGATGCTTAATGTAATTAGTCATTAGGAAAAAGTAAATCAAAACCACGTGTGGTATCACTTCACACCACAGGATGAAACCTTTATTCAATAAAAAAGAGAAAATAAGTGTTAGGAAAAATGTAAAGAAATTAAAGCCCTTATCCAATGCTGCTGGGGATGTAAAGTGGTGCAGCCACTTTGGAAAACAAACTGGCAGCTCCTCAAAAGGTTAAGCATGAAGTTACCACACGACCCAGAAATTCCAGTCATGAGTATATACTCCAGAAAATCAAAAACATATGCAAGCACAAAAATTCATACATAAATGTTTACAGCAGCATTATTAGTAAGAGTGAAAAGTGGAAAGAACCAAAATGTCCATCACCTTTGGGTGGGAAAGAACCCAAAGGTCCATCACCTGGTGAATGGATAAATAAACTGTTTGATGTATCCATACAATGGAATATCACTCAGCAATAAGAAGAAACTAAGTACTGATACTGTATTAGGAGGAGACAGCAAAATGCCTAGGCAGATAAGGAAGGGTCCCCGGAGAATCCCCAACAAGCCTCACAAGTGTTTACACCAGACGTTATGTGCAGATAAGGGAACCTGGACTTGTCTTGCCTGGACATGCCGGCAGCAGACCCGAGGCCCACAAGCACTGGGGAGATGGGGTGGAGTCACCAGGAATTCACGCCTTATGCAGAGCAGGAGCCTGGCCGCTTCAGCTCCTGTGCTCCTGGTATTCAGTTGAGAGGTGGAAACCTGTTTGCAGGACGCCCCTCTTTGCTGAGAGCTTTCCTTTCACTTAATAAATTCTGTCCTCCTCACCCTTCAATGTGTCTGTGTGCTTAATTTTTCCTGGTCATGAGAGAAGAACCCAGATTGAGCTGAACTAAGGAGCAAAAACCCTGCATCAATACCTGCTGCAGCACAGATGCAGCATGGAAAATTATGCTAAGTGAAATGAGCCAGTCACAGTAGACCACTTGCTTTTCATTTCAGAGGCTTATAGGCAAATCTATAAAAGAAGGTGGGTGGTTACCTAGGGCTGAGGGAGGAAGGGAAAACTAGTGAAGATAGCTAAATGATGTGGGGTTTGTTTTTAGGGTGATGAAAATGTTCTACAATTGATTGTAATGATGACTGCATAACTCTCTGAAAATACTGAAGTTAATAAATTGTATATTTTAAATGAGTGAATTGCATGGTGTGTTCATTATTTCTCAATAAACCTGTTACCCCCACCCCAAATTAATTTGGTACTAGTGATTTTGGTAGTAGTGATCTGGAGACAGGTACTGCTTGGTTTCAGATCACTGGCCAGGGTTCAAGGCCTAAGAGAATCAACAGCATGTCCTTTTCATAGAAAAAGAGATTGATATTTTAAAAGCTATCCTTTTCATTAGTTTCAAGTCTGTAAAATTAAATGAAAAATCTTTCACTGCTTAAAGCACTGACAGATTTATATTGAGGAATAAGACCTTGTTTTCCTTGGCCCCAATTTCTATCTAAAGGGTCTGGGAATCACACCCTTCAAACTATCAAATCTCATCAGATGGGTTTTATTAACTCTTATAATGTGGCTTCCTTTCTAACCTGATTCTGGTGCAGCATCACAGAGAGAAGAAGCTGAAGGAAATCAAAATATTTTACCCCCAAATATATTTTTTTGTCATATTTTGAAATGGCTGCTGCAGGGCCAAGAGATTGAAATGGCCCTCATTAACGTAGCCCAATCTCTCCCCTTCTAGTTCTTCCCAGATCTGGGGAAGATTAACTAAGAGCCTGAGGCATTTAAAGTCTGAAAAGATATATTTACCCTCTATTTTCTCAACATATTTTGGCAGAATTTGGGTTTTTCCATTATCAATATTTTCCAAAATTACATGATTTTTAATACCAAAACTGATCTAAAATTACCATACGTTGGAATATAAATTATTCTATTATAAAGATACATGCATTTGTATGTTCATTGCAGCACTATTCACAACAGTAAAGCCATGGAATCAACCCAGATGTCCATCAGTGATAGACGGGATAAAGAAAATGTGGTACATATACACCATGGAATACTATGGAGCCATAAAAATGAATGAGATCATGTTTTTGCAGGGATATGGATGAGCTCAAAGCTGATATCTTCAGCAAACTAATGCAGGAAGAAAAAAACAAACACTGCATCTTCTCACTTAGAAGTGGGAGCTGAATGATGAGAACACATGGACTCGGGGAGGGGAACAACAAACACTGGGGCCTGTTAGGATCAGGAGGGAGAGCATCAAGATCAATAGCTAATGCCTGCAGGGCTTAATATCTAGGTGATGGATTGATAGGTGCAGCAAACCAACATGACACACGTTTACCTATATAACAAACCTGCACGTCTCACACATGTAATCTAGACCTTAAGATAAAATATTTTTTTTAAATTACCTTCTGTTTTAGCTTCTTAATCAGAATATCCATTTTCAGTTGATCTGTTTTTAAGTCTCCATGGCAATCAAAGTCTTCATTTCCAAATACATTTAACATATTTATTGTCATTTCCAGGAGTTTCTTATATCTGCAGAAATGTACAGAATTAGTAAGTCAAGTATTTTTAAGAGTAAATATTTAATAATTGTTTAAACATCTGTTATGGCATATCAAAGAAACAAATCTATAAACTATGTTACTTTCAGTTTCAACTGAACATAGTTTGAAAGCATTCTATATGAAATTATAATCTTAGATAAATAATATGAAGAATAATTTTATGGAATATAGGGCAGGTAAAGTGATATTATAGCCATACAGTGTTTTTGTTTTGTTTTTTGTTTTGTTTTGAGATGGAATTTCACTCTTGTTGCCCAGGCCAAAGTGCAATGGTGTGGTCTCAGCTCACTGCAACCTCTGCCTCCTGGACTCAAGTGATTCACCTGTCTCAGCCTCCCAAGTGGCTGGGATTACAGGTGTGTACCACCATGCCTGGCTCATTTTGTATTTTTAGTAGAGACGGGGTTTCACTGGTCAGACTGGTCTTGAACTCTTGACCTCAAATGATCCACCCACATTGGCCTCCCAAAGTGCTGGGATTACAGGTGTGAGCCACCACACCTGGCCTAACCATACACTTTTTGTAAATAAACTACTCATATCCATGTTGGTATGCTAAGTAAAATAACGTGTTACTAAATATAAGCCATAACCCAGAGATGAGTAACCAAGATAAAAAAGTAAAACACATACATTTAAAAAGACACAAAAGTACATTTTGATACCCACTGACCACAGTCTATCAGAAGAAAAAAAAGTACACACAAAAAGCATCAAGGAGATCATTCAATGTAGAAAAAGAGAAGAAAACATCTTTAATATCTGAGTTGAGGAGAAAAAGGATACAGGCAGTTTTAGAAAAAAGGAAAGGGGCAGAGAGATGTGTGACAATTTAGAGACTTTGAAGAAGAGATCTAGACATCTTTGCTGACATAATGTCAACAAAATGAAAGAGATACAAAACCATGTAGAGAAAAGCAATGACAGAAAAATGTTGATTCTAATCAGAAAACCAAATTAAGTGCTCAGTAAATAAATAGAAAAGTAGCTGTGTTCAGGGCTTCAAAGACAGATTCCATTGTTTTAAAAAAAATCTGTGATCAAAACATGAATGTTCATTTTACTTTTTCTTTAAGTTATACATATATTTTTATATATATGAAATTTATTTATGTAAAACAAGTTTAATAACATGTATACTTCATGTATACAACAGAGGTACTCATGTACAATGAGTAAATTTCCACGTTTTATATCTAAAAGAAAAAGCAGAAACAAAATATAAGCTACATATCAAGATAAATTTGATGTTAAAGAATGACACAAACAGGTCTTCTTTAAACAATTTGAATGCAGCAGAGGATACTAAAAAAGGAAGAAAAAATGACCACAGACAGCAAAAAATATCTTCAGAAATAAAAATTCAAACCAGATAATGAAGAGTGCACTGGACAGTATATGTCCAAGGCGTGGTCATTGTTTTCAAAATCATTAAAGAATAAGTGGCCGGGCATGGTGGCTCATGTCACTTTGGGAGGCCGAGGCGGGCAGATCACGAGGTCAGGAATTCGAGACCAGCCTGACCAACTTGGCAAAACCCCGTCTCTAATAAAAATACAAAAATTAGCCGGGTGTGGTGGCACATGCCTGTAATGCCAGCTACTCAGGAGGCTGAGGCAGGAAAATTGCTTGGAGGCATAGGTTGCAGTGAGCCAAGACCGCGCCATTGTACTCCAGTCTGGGAAACAAAGCCAGACTTTTTCTCAAAAAAAAAAAAAAAAAAGAATATTTTGGCATTCAAAAAAAATTTCACCTTGCCCCAGCAGCTCAGCTGACTCCCACCCCCATGACACACGTCTAAAAAGTTGTGCTGTGAGTTTCTGAAATACATTTTAAAATAGAATTCATTTAATTATGAAAATGCAAACATAAAATGAATTTGTATCTAGGTTTTAGTCAAGTAAAATTAGAGTTAAATCAATTAATAAATGGCTAACATGTTCTACAATATGAAAACCATACCCAGTTGCCTCTTCTTCTAATTCATCATTTTTCTTTCTTATTCGATTCACATTATATTTCAGTGATGATATTAACTCAAAAAGTTTTCTTAATTCTTCATTTTCTTTTTTAGGCTTAAAAAAAGTGTTTAAAATTATTTTTGTAAAATCTGGAAACCCTCATCTCAAAAATATTATTTCTCATAAGTGGATTAGTAATACGTATTTATGCAGGTGTATAAAGTGCATTTTATAAACCTGACGCCAATAAGGTCAGATTTCAATAATAGTCACTTTTCTTAAAACTGCTAAAAATGATTCAAATTTTCATCATTATCTTTTCTGAAATTTAAACTGCCAACAATGTTTGTTACAAATGAGGGTTTTTACACACAAAATACTAAGGGTTAGTTTAAAAAAAAGAGTAGTTATATTTACATTTTAGTTTTTAAAGATGCTCTAGAAATATTGTTTTTAACAGTTTAAGATATTCCAAGTTTTCTTAAATTACATCTTACTAAGACAAATTTTAGAAAACTCTTATCTAGTTCCCATTACATTTTTCATCCTCATCTGTCTTCAGGCTGAGCTAAATACTGTCATTCTAAGTATTCACCCACAGGTTTCAGTTTTTCCCTTTCTCTTAACCATTTCTCTTTAAATAAAGTTTATCTTTTCTACAATAAACAAAAACAACTTTCGTCTACTTTTTGTGGCTTTTCTATTATCCTGTTTCTCCCCTTCCATTGGACTCTATGACACATGGTCTCATTCAGAAATCTTTTTTCATCAATTATTGTGTTTTTTATACTGAAATCTGATTTTTAATAATTCCAATAAAAAAGTCCAACGGTCATGAAGGACTTTACCCTGCTTTACTCAGCAGAGCAGTGACCAAATGCTCCCTCTGCTCCTCTGACCCCGCCTCCTTTCTAAATGCAGCAACCTCTGTTCTTCAGCCCTATACTTTTCTGGTTTTTTGTTTTGTTTTTGTTTTTTGTTTTGAGATGGAGTCTCCCACTGTCACCCAGGTTGGAGTGCAGTGGCATGATCTCGGCTCACCGCAACCTCCACCTCCTGGATTCAAGCGATTCTCCTGCCTCAGCCTCCCAAGTAGCTAGGATTACAGGCATGTGCTACCACACCCAGCTAATTTTTTGTATTCTTAGTAGAGACGGGGTTTCACTATGTTGGTCAGACTGGTCTTGAACTCCTGACCTCATGATCTGCCTGCCTTGGCCTCCCAAAGTGCTGGGATTACGGGTGTGGCCACCACGCCCGGCGGCTATTTCGCTTTTTAAATTCTCTCAGGACTCCTAAAATCTCAAAACTTTGACCTAGATTCCCTAATCTACATTTCCAGCTCTGACCTTTTTCTTGAGGTCTCTTCCTTCTAGTACACATATTATAGACAATATTCTCCACCACATGCTCATACATTGCTACTTGGTGCAGATTACTTTTGTAGATAGTGAATCTTGTCTATTTTATGTTGGTTCTTATTGATGTTACTTTGAGTATACTGTTATTTTCTAATCTCAAAGGGGGACTATCTCACTGTTACGATACTAACCAGTATACTTTGTCCTTTTTTTCATTCTTTCTTCTTTTTTGGACCAATATACTTTGTCCTTTTCTTTTTTTGAGATGGAGTCACACTGTGTCATCCAGGCTGGATGCAGTAAGCCATCTCAGCTTACTGCAACTTCTACCTCCTGGGTTCAAGTGATTCTCCTGCCTCTGCCTCGCAAGTAGCTGGGACTACAGGTGCACACCACCACGCCTGGCTAATTTTTGTATTTTCAGTAGAGACAGGGTTTCACCATGTTGGCCAGGCTGTTTTTGAACTCCTGACCTCAGGTTATCCACCCCTCTCAGCCTCCCAAAGTGTTGGGATTACAGATGTGAGCCATGGAACCCAGCCCTCTTTTTCTTTGATAATGAAAACTTTCCCATGAAAATCAGATTATCAATTGTTTGCCTTTGTTTTCTTTTAAATAATTTCCTTTTCCATAGAGATATGGCATGATGAACATCTTGTTCTAAAGTTCCTTTTGGGGGACACTCAACTATGTCATCGGGAAGCTTCAGTAAGTAGAGATCTCCCTTCTTCCCATTCAAGATTCTTCATCTCAAAATGGTGTCTACCAAATGTCTTAATCCAGGTAGTCCCTTGCTTAGAAATTCATGAAATAAGAACCTTCTGGAGAAGTTAGAGGCTATTGATTGAGATGGTTTAAAGCTGCCCCTTATTATGTGTTTTACTCCCAAGGCAGACATCAAAGCGGCTAATAATTCTATGCCTGATGTCTAACTCACTTCTATGGGAATCTATACAACATGTTTTATTTATGAGACAGAGTCTCCTTCTGCTACCTAGGCTGGAGTGCAGTGGCTTGATCACTGCTCACTGCAGCCTCAATATTCCAAGCTCAAACGACCCTCCTACCACAGCCTCCCAATGTAGCTGGGACTACAGGCATGCACCACCATGCCTCAGCTAAGTGTTTAAAAAAAATTTTTTTTTTTTAGAGACAGAGTCTCACTATATTGCTCTGGCTGGTCTCAAACTCCTGGGCTCAAGCAATCCTCCTGCCTCAGCCTTCCAAAACCAGGTGTTTAACTGGGGACTAACATGAAGCACTTAGAAGACTACATGGAACATAGTGAGCTACATAAAATATTTGCTATTAGCATAATAATTTTATTGTATATCTTAACAAAATTGTGTATTTTACGCAGGTGGCATGCCAATGGAAGTAGTCTCCTATAGCTGCACTGAATCATTCTTAACACTGAGAGTTGCAGCAAATGGGGGACATAATTTATAACTTACTTTTCTCTCTGTATGACTCATTAGGCAATGACTGTGTATGTACTACAATGTAAATAGCACCTCCTGGATGGAATAGTACGTAACTGACATGACCAGCAGAGACAGGCTAAAGACACTGAGCTGAAAACCCTGGACTCTATTGCTAAGTCAAGGCTCCTGAATCCGTTCCCTCTGAGCAACTGTTGCTGTGGTGCTGCCTTCACAAGCACTCTGCTGAGCACTCAGATTGAGGGGCTGTGCTATCCTTCATCAGACAAGCTGCAACCAGAACTGTTCAGCTGACAGACTGGGAGCAGTCCAGAAACACAGTAATGGCTGCATAGTGAAAAAAGGCCAATTTATATTCTTTTTCATAGAGAGAAAAACATAAACACGTGATTGAACGCATCTCCTGTGTTAGACTAATTGGGTTAGATTTGATATTTAATTGCTAAAACTATATTTAGAATATAACCTTACTGTGTCAAGGTCTCAAGGAAGAAATAATTGGTATGGTATAAATGATTGAATTGTATGCTACAAACTTCTAAGCTAAAATATTTTCAATGTATGCAAGGATAGGTGGCATACACATTATATATTATTCCCCCATTAAGCAAATTTATAATGAGAGAAAATTATCTTCCATAAAAAAATAAAAGCCATGTAAAATTAAGGACTAAGTTTTTCAGCACAGACTAGACAACGATTGCTAACACATAAGGTCAATGACAGAACAGTCAGAGAAAGCTTCATGAAAACAAAAAAATTGTCTGCCAGGTCTGAATGAATGAGGCTAGATGAACAGAAACTGAGAAGGCAGAAAGAATAGCATGAGCAAGACAAGTGCTGAAATCTGCCCAATTAACTCTGAGGATAAAGTCCAATGGCAGGGAAATAAAAACCCGTGTCCACATAATAACCTGTAAGTGAATGTTCACAGCAGCATTTTTCATAATAGCTAAAAAGTGGAAACTAACCTAAAGGTCCATCAACTGATGAACGAATGGAAAACCAGTATAGCCATGGAATAGAATATCATTTAACTATAAGAAGAAATAAACTACGAATGTGTGCTAAAACATGCATGAATTCTGAAAACATTATGCTAAGTGAAAAAGCCAGTCACAAAGGACTACATATTGTATAACTCTATGTATATGAAATATGCAGAACAGGCAAACATATGGAGACAAAAGTAGATGGTGGTTGCCTACAACAGGGGTAGGTGGAGGGACATGGAGGAAGGCTGCAGTCATGCCTAGGAGATGTGGGGTCACTTTTCAGGGTGACGAAAATGCTGTGAACATACTAATAGACACTGAGTTGTACATTTTAAATGGTTGAACTGCCTGATATGTGAATGACATCTCAGTGAATCTTTTTAAAATCCAAAGGCAGGATCAAGATAATTTTCTCAACTCTTAATTTTTGATGTACATGCTATATAAAATCTAAATATTTCTACAGTTTTACAGTATATTTTAAATAAAAGATAGATAAAGAAAATGCCTAACTTTTCAAATAGTTTGTAAATTAACCTAAAACATGCACATTTCAAAGAATAGTATAATGGCCTTTCTGTACAAGTTAACCTAGAATCTGTGAAACAAATAGACACAGATTCTGTGTCCATTCACAAAAGTGAAGAAATAAGACAATTTTCTGGAACATTCCATGAAACATTCTCCTCTGATTTAATCTGGCCTGCCTCATCAGAGCAATACAAAAATTACTTAAAAATACTGTTTAACAGGAAAAAAGTCAATTTTCTATGAGGAATGATGTATAATTCTCAACTTTTCCAAGGGTACATATTGTAAGAGAAAAGGTATGCAATGGTTTTTCAAAATGGTAGAATGAAAGTCACAATATAAAAAAATAAGTACATTATAAAGATAGTAAAATGGAAATCATTCATTATAATGAAAATAAAAAATCAAGCTTCTGCCAAAATTAGTATCCTAAAACACGTTATATAATTCAACTAGCTACAGAATAACTGTTGACATGTTAAATTCCATACATACTTGACTTTTCACTTGAAATAATTTCTTATTTGAGGCCTGTGTCTCATCCAAATTAATGTGACAACGTGATATACCTTCCAGTGGAGACTCTAACGTCGTTAATTTTTTTACGCTGTCAGCCACTTCTTGTTGAAGTTGTCTCACAACCACCTGATAAAATATTTTTGTTACTGATTTTATAAACTGCCTTATTAAATTATGTTAATAATGTTTAATTCTAACATATCTACTTTGAAAATTATCACCACACATATCAATTCACCTTCTTTTAATCACATGTACACATTTTTATTTATTACTGAATTCAGTGAGGGATGCAGAATATGTTCTCTTCCTGCCAAATTGGTATTCTCTTTTACACAACAGATTCATTCCAACATTCAATCATCTCAGAAGCTCAACTCAGCCTCAAAGTTCCTAACATATTCAATCACCTGTTCAAATCCTTCCAACAGATTCCTATCTCAGAATAAAAGTAAAATTCCAATGGCCTTTGATGCCCTAGGTAAAAAGGCCTCTACCTCCCTCTCTGACTTCAAAGCTCCTACAACTCCCTCCTGTAATTACTCCATTCCCACTGTATGTGAAGCCTGCCACCCCTCAGTCTGAAAATGGAGATGTAGTGCCTAACTCGTAAATCACAGACAGCTACAAGTATCTTTGTACTGAACAAAATTATATTCCAATGACAGTCATTGAGCCTTGCAATAAAAATTATGAGCTAATTATTAATATAAATATTCAAAGTAAACTATAAATACCAGTGGGAAAACTAAACCAAATATAGTTTTGCTAAGTTTTACCACATTTATCCTAAATTATGATTTTATAACCAGTAGGTGCCTTTAAAACATTACGTGGTCATAAAAATACGTAATTTGACATATTTTCAGATTTGTTAATATGAATAATAACAAAGCTATACCAACTAAAATACATAAAAAGCTAGTTAAAGCAAGGTATTACAAGACACAGCAATACACTTCAATTCATCTGGGGAATCTAGAATTAAGTGTCGAAGAAAATCACTTAATTAAATTTTAATTTGAAAATACTCACTTCAGGTGTAAACATTTCCATTTATAACTACATTATGGTCTTAACATGTGGCAACATAAAGACATTAAAATTACTATTTCAGCAGTACAGAACTATCTACCTTAAAATATGACTCTGTGCCTAATAAAATTTCATAGGTGACACAATGTCTTTTCTCAAAGTAAATCATCTCTCACCTCTATCTTTTATTTCCTAGAAATGAGGCATGTTTCTAAGCCGATATAGTAAACACATTTTTCCTTTTTTTATTAAAACAGCTTTGTTGAAATATAATTTACATACTATAGAATGTATCTGTTTTAACTTAAAGTTAAAAGATTTTTAGTACATTTACTGAGTTGTGCAGCCATCTCTACAATCCAACTTTAGAGCATTTCCATCACTGTAAGATTCCTCATGCCCATTAGCAGTCACTACCAGCTTCCAGCCCCAGCCCCTTGCAAACATGAATCTACTTTTTGTCCCTATACATTTATCTTTTCTGGATGCTTCATGTAAATGGAATTATACAGTATGGTAAACACACTTTTAATCTAGATTTTTATATTCAACTAAGTTCAACATGTATCCAGAACCAAATGTTTAAATTTTCTTTCTAGAAGTTTGAAAATATTTATCTTCCTTGATACTTACTACTACTTCTGTTTTCTCTCTCTCATACTGAAAGAGACTTTCTTTTAAATGATCACATTCATTCATTAGCTTCTTACTTTTCTCTTCTAGCACGAAGTCTTTCTTTCCACTCTCAATAAAGCCTCTTTGGATATTAGTTACTATCTCTTTATGATCCTCTTTCTGATGAACGTCATCTAGTTGCTGTACAAGCCACGCATTTTCACGTTGGAGGTGACATATCCTCTCTTCTACACAGTTCCACTTTCCAGTGGAATTATTCACTTTAGCTTCTGCATTTTGATACATCTCTTTCATTTCCTGTGTTTGCTGCTGTGTTTGGCTTAGGTTGTTTTGTACAGTTTCTAAAGCCAATGACTTTTTTCTGAGACTATCTCTTGTCTTACGGAACTTATCTTTTAAGGCATTGAATTTAATTTGTGTTTCAGAAAGTTGTTCAGTAAGAAACTCATTCTCATCTTTTACTTTGGAAATAGCAGAACTCATTTCTACTTGTACAGAAACATCTTGTGTTCTCTCTAAAGCAAGTTTTAGGTTTCTTTCTGTTTTCACACTTTCACTGTGTTTGCTTATAGCAGCAGCCAGTCTAGACTGATAAGATTCAATGTCAGCTTCCAGTCTTTTCTTGCTTTCTTTTTCCTTCAACAGTTCGGCATTGAGCCTTGTATTCTCAGCCTTGAGATCATTAAGCTCTTGTTGATACCGGAATGCTGTTTCTGTTATCATTTCCTCATTGAGTTTTATATACTTTTCAAGGGCAGCATTTGTTTCTTTAACAATTTTAATGTCCTTAAGATATTTATTTTCTTTTTCCAAGTTGTCATTTTTCATTGTACATATTTCCTGTCTGAGTATAGCAATATCTGCCTTCAAAATGCAATTTTCATCCATCAGACCTTTCATTTCTTCATGATTATGAAAATCCTAAATAAAACAAAAGAAAGTTTTAGCTAGTACTCAATAAAATAACATATCATGATTACCTCTGAAGTTAAAGAATAACCTGCACATCCGTACCACTAAAAAGTTTACCATAAGTGGATATCCACCTGGAGAAAAAGTTGAAGCAAAACTTTGAACCTTATAGAGCATAAATTCCAGAAAGTTCAGAAATGTATTTAGAGTCAATGAATTTATAAAAGTAAACACACACACACACCCCAGAGAATTTTTAAGAATATCAGAATTGGAAAAGCCTTTCCCTGAATTACAACAAACTCAAAAGCATAAATTAAAGCATTAACAAATTTGGCTAAATTAAGATATATCAAAAAATTGCATTTACACTTTGATATCTAACCCATACACCACCCTACAGTAAGAACTTTTGTTCACACGTATTTGGACAGATAAAATTTCCCAGAGTTATTACAGTTCTGTTTCACTGATAACATTCTATTTCAGTTTGACTCTTTTAACACTTTTATAGTCAGTTATAAGAATTACATTCACTAAATCATAAACTAGACATTATACTAGTCACTCCTATATACATTCATTGATGAACTCATCTAGTTACCACAATTTTGAAAAAGAAATGTTAAAAATATAAGCAAGCTACAGGATTTTCCCCAGGACTTCTGACTCTACTTCTAGTTCTCCAACAGATCACAGTTACTTCTGTGGTGTAAATACATCAATACGAAAGAAAACTTTTATTTCAAAACGCCAATAGTAAATAAGATAAAATTTATAGAGCTCTTCTTAGAATATCATGAGATTATTTGCGATTGCAATAATTTCTGTTTCCTCTTTATAATATTAGGTGCAGTAATCAATATGAAATAGGGGAAAGTACAAGGAAAAATTTTACCTGGAACAAAATTTTTATCAATAGGTTATCACTAAGTATAAATTATGGCATATTATTGTTTTCAAAAGCTCTTTGTAATAAAATAATATCCTATGTGGATGCCAAGATTTATAATAAATATTAATAATTGTACCTGTAAGTGTCATCATTCATTTTTAAAAATGAGATAACATTTATGGTTTTAGACCTAAACAATATATATTAAATCAAGTGGATATTATAAGTAACAGTGATAAGATAAAGTTTAAAATATAGAATTTTTACCAAAGATTGATTTACCCAATTTGGAGTATTTCTTGCAGTCTTTGATTTCATCTCTAGTGACTGAACAGTTGGTTCAAGTTGTTTTGCTTCAACTTCTTTCTTATATTGTTTCTCTTTCCTTTCTAATTCTTCTCTATTTTTTTTGTACAGCATATTAACATTTGTTTTTTCTTCATTTTCTTGTTTTAAGGTGCATCTGCAGATAAAGACATTTATCTTAAAATTCATTTTGTTAAAAAATAAGGAGTTCATCCTGTTATCTACCTCTGCAGATGTTGTTTATTATCTTAACAAAATTTCTATGTTCTGGATTATTTTTCCTTTGCAGTTCTCAGATATTTAATTTCTCACTTCAACATCTTCAAATGAATGCATATACTTGAAAAGTAGTAAGGAAAGAATATTCTGCTAAAGCTTTTGTTACTAGTCACTCTAATATACATTATAAAAAAGGATACCAGAGATAATTCAGTAAAGTTACAGGTTCAAAATTACCTTTTTAAATCACACAGTCATAATTACTCCCTAATTAGAAAAGATCATTTACAATCAACTAAATTTTTAAAGTTACTATTTATTGACAAGCATATAAGTTCACTAGAAATAAATTTTCATCTTTATGAAATATTGCAGGTGTTTCTCCAAATGATTTACAGAGTGAGATGACACCTTCAGATGTCTCTCACACAAACTATATCTGCAGATGACTGTCATCCAAAACTAGGCTAAAGAGTCTAACATCTGTTTCCCCACACTTTTTATATTTCTTTCTTAATACTTTCAATTCACCTTCTTATTACATATATTTTATATATTCATTAACCTATTGTTCATTATGTGTAATATATAATTAATGCATGTTAATTATATATTAATAAGTGTGTGTATGTTCACACCAGTTATGTTTTCCTGTGAAATCTAGCCCCAGAAGTGGAGTTGTTGAGTTAAAGGGATGTCAGGCTATTTGAAATTTTGATACACAGCACTAAGTTACCCTTCAGAAATAATTTACTAATTTCCTATACCAACAGTGTATGAGAATGCCTTTTTCCTCACATTTGCCAACACTAATAATTACTTTTTAAATATCAGCATGACTTTACAAAATATATCTTATTTTATGTTAATTTGCATTTTTCTGATTACCAGGCAGGGCTAAATACCCCTGGTAAAAATATAAAACTTGTTAATCATAAGGAATATTAGTCCAATTTTCAATTAGTTTATAGCACAATGACAATTATCTCCTGTGAAATACTGCTATAGGCGGCCAGGCACGGTGGCTCACTCCTGTAAACCCAGCACTTTGGGAGGCCGAGGTGGGCAGAACACCTGAAGTCAGGAGTTCGAGACGAGCTTGGCTAACATGGTGAAATCCTATTTTTACTAAAAATACAAAAAATTAGCCGGGCATGGTGGCACATGCCTGTAATCCCAGCTACTAGGGAGACTGAGTCAGGAGAATCGCTTGAACCCAGGAGGCAGAGGTTGCAGTGAGCTGAGATCACACCATTGAACTCCAGCTTGGGCAACAAGAGAGAAACTCCATCTCAAAAAAACAAAAACAAACAAAAAAAACCCAAAACCAAACAAACAAAAAAAAAACACTGCTATAGGCTTACCTATCATGCTCTTCCTTCAGCTTCTTGGGAAATTGCTGAGGATACGTTTTCCCAATCTTTCTTTGTTGGGTTAATCTGCCAGCAGCAGCAGAAGATGTACTATCACATATATTTTCTGAAAGTTGTATTTTTTCACTTTTGTTTGTATTATTTCCTTCTTTGACCTTTAATAAAAGATGAATAATAATTGTTATTATTTTATTCAATAAAAAGAACTTTTTCCCTGATTTTTTTTACTTGATTCAGGTTAACTATCACCACTTTAATGATAAAAGTATTTTGTGCTTACTTTAATTTTATCATTATACATAATTATTATCATTATAAGATACTTTTATTTTATCATCGAAATTTTTGTCAAATCTGCTCATTTCTGTTTGAGGGAATAGAAGCATTTTCTAAAATTTCAAAAAGGGCTCTTCTCCATTTTGTGCTTTTATTCCCATCCACTCTTTGCTATCTGGTATAAATTTTTATGCTATCTGGCTGGCAGAAACAGAGAAATAAAAGGACACAGGCATAACATATGTCTTCTGTCTTTACTACCTGGATTTTACATGAAATAGCCAGATTAAGAGGATGTGACCTTGTAGGCCTTCAGGAACAGTAAAGAAGTTTTCCCTTTTCTGTACTGAGCTACTCTTTTCCCCACTGCCTTTTATCTCTCTTTTTTTTTTTTTGAATCCTGTGATATCAAAAAAGTAAAGGTTCTCTTTGAATTATGGGAACCAACGTTTGCCACAACAAAAGAAGCAGAGTGAAACTGCTGAGTTTCTAGTGCAGAATTCTGGAAAATGAGATGCTTCCCAGATTTCACATTCAATTACCACAAAAGTTTATAGGTGGAAAACATATGGTACAGTTACCTACTTTAACCCCATTATCTACTGATAATGGGAGTCAAACCAACCAAGACATATTAAATGTTTCATCCAGAGCTCTTGAGGTGGCATTCACTAGCATTTCATGGCACCATATAACATGATACAATTCCATATTGCTGAATTACATAAATTACCAGATAAATTTATCAAATTAGATATATTAAAAGTCTAACTTGAGCAAAGCAATTTAATGCCTCAGAGGGTGGAAAAAGGCCTCATCTGCTTTTACTTTGAAAGAAGAAAATCTCTAGATTTTTGTCTATCTTTAGAACACAATGTACAGAACTCAACTTTCTACTAGAGTCAAAGGCTAAATTTTTGGCTAAGAAATTATGCTTCTTATATGATAAAAATCATACATGCCAAAACTTACCATACTTTATTAAACAACATAACGTAAGGTCTGATACAACAGAAATATTGCAGAGTGGTGATTTTTTAAAATATGTGTAAGTATATGTTTGTTTTCAAAAATATTGGAAATAACCATGATGGGACTGTAAGTTCAAACAGTTCGAGCTAAGCAGATAAACTTGCATGCATGAAAACACATTAAACAGACTCATTTGGCTGGGAATATTCGTTGCAACTCTCAAGGCTAGACGTGTTTTTGTGGCTTGTCTCAGTCATTGCTTCCCTCCCATTGTATTCCCATTCTATCATTAAATAAATGTAAATCATCTCTAAATGAATACAAGAAAAAAGAATCTAGAATCTAGAGCTTGTTTCTTTAGCAATTTCTTTATGTTGATCTGGTTCAGAAGGTCACATGGTATGTGGCTTAATTAGTTTCCCAGCTCATACGCCACTTGGAAGACTGATAGTGAGACATAGGTTGATTAATGAACAAACATTATGAGAACATTCTCCAGAACCATTATTTAGATAGCAGAACTAATCTACTTTGACACATAATTACACATTTAGATAACCCCACTGTAACTGTACACATGAGATTTTCTTGAATAGAAAATTTGACTAAATCAAATAATTGATAAAGAGGAAAAAGAAGCAGCAAGTGAACCTCTGTCTTTTTGAAGTTGGACTTGCTTTTCTCCAAAGCCAGGAACTCAACTTGTAACATGCCTACCTCATTCTTTTTTTTAATTATTATTATACTTTAAGTTCTGGTACATGTGCACAACATGCAGGTTTGTTACATATCTATTCATGTGCCATGTTGGTGACCTTGGAATATCTTCCCATAAGTCTTCTAGCTATATTTTTGATGTTCTCTCACTATGTGGCAAAGAATAACTCACATTTTATAATTCAAGATTCATGCTTCTGTAGTTGTTAGCACTGGGATTGCCATATAGTGGCTGCTGGAATAAACGCTGTATTGGTTTTCTGTTTTTATAAGTATCTGTAGCAGCAGAAATACTGTGGCTTTCTATCTGAATCATATGCTTCATTTCTTTGGGGTGGGTAAACAACAAATCAAAAAGACTTTCTGGATCTCTAGACTGAGGCCAATGCCTAATGTCCAATTTCCAATTAGTGGTATCTGGGTTTACATTTTTTGCCATTTGCATGTCAAACTCTTAATCATCTTTCATTTCAATCATAATTACTGGGTTCCTTAATTTTTTGGTTTCAGTATCATTACAAAAATTTTCATCATCTGTGTTAGAAACAAGCTATGTGTCTGGTTTGCTATCATTTTTATAGTCTGATTTATTTTCATTTAAATGAAGCTTAGAAGATGACTGGTAACTGTATTTCAGGGACCTGGAGTATGAATGGAATAAAAAGACATTTGACATGGGCTTCCTCTGTTCAGGCGCTGCCTGGAATGCCACAGAGTTAGACCCTCCAGATGCATCTTCCTCCTCACAATCAGGGACCTGATTCATCAGATTAGAGGGCACTCCTTTTTTGTTCATCCCTCTTTAGAGTTACTATGTAGGAGCTCTTCCTCAGGGCAAGCAGTAATTCTGGAGTTTTCAAAACTTTCACCAATATTCAGCTTGAACTTGTTTGTAATGAATTTTAAAGAAAGTCGTGAATATACAGACAGATTATTCCCTTTATCACAATTCTTACCCAGTTCTGGTTCTTGAGACTTTTTTTTTTTTTTGGGCAGGTGCAAAATGGAAAACAAATTTGCTTGTTTTGTTTCTCAGATGCCTTTTCTGTCAGAGTGCATGTTTTAAAATTAGCTTTAATCAAGTATAAACAAAAATACTAGAAAATAATTAAAATTTAACTGTGAAACTTAATCTATGTGTTGCCACTCTTAAATTATGGGATTGTAACTAAAAAGTGAAAAATAATTTGCCTTGGCTTAACATAGGACAGAAATATGAACTGGCAAGCTGAACTCTTAGCATTTGTTTGGATTAAACTTAATGCATTATGTGTAAAATCTACCAGAAATGAATTCAAAGCTGATAGGTAGTATTATAAAATCTTCCTCTCTTACAAAGATTTTACCTCATCATACCAGAAAAAGTGAGCCCCTACAGTACGTGTATATTTCTGAAGATTAACTACAGACTAGGCAAACACTGAATTATTAAGAGCCAAACTGAACACCAATAAGAAAGGGAAGCAAAATTTTAAATTCTAATTCAAATAATATACTATGATAGTGTTATGTATCTAGATGGATTATCTGCTTATATCCACTTCTAATATATTTTAAGTTCCACTAGTGATAGTGGATGGATTTTTTAAATTTTAGTAACATTTACTATGTATTTATGTCAAAATAAAGTTATTGTTTGTACCCTGACACCAAAGGTCCCATTCCACAAGGTAGGATTCTCTTAATAGGCAACTGGGTTGACTTTTATGACCCCATTCACTCCCTGAACACAGACACAGAAGTCAAATCGTGACCACAAAACAGAATAAATCTTTAACCTCGGCACTGATGACCAGCAATGTAAAACTGCAACATTTGAACCACTGGCAATGATGACTCCTTTAACACTAGTTTAACTCAGTGGCCATCATTGTTAAATTGTTCACAATTTCTATTCCTTAATAATATGACCCAATATTTCATGTTACCTTCTGTATTATGAGTAAGGTTATAACAATAAAAGAGCAAGATAATTCTGAAAATGTCTTGCCTCAATTCCAAGGGTAAAGACAGCTATGAGTTACTAGAGATAGTAAGAATTACCAGAATAACTAATAGTTACTAGAGATAGTAAGAATATCTTAAGTTTCATAACTGGTTAAAATGTTTTAAAAATTAAATATAAAATTATGAGCTATTGGATTCTAAAGGTATAGTCTAAAAGGTCATGTCATTTGGACTATGCTTTGTTACTGAAGCAAAAAAACAAAACCCAATATTAAACAAGAAACTTAAATTTTCATATACCTGTGGTTGCTTCTTTTCACTTCTTTCATGCCTTTGTTGCTCTTCCTCTGAAGCCACTGGTAAGGCTTGTTCTGTTGACAAATTCATTGGTTTAGTTCAAATGAACTAAGAACAGTTAGATAAAGACTATAATCTATATAAAAATAAATAGAGAATAACATTTCTTTGTATTTTATATTTTGAGAGTTTCAATGAAGCTTAATGTTTACTGAAATATTTAGTTCTTTAAGAAATACTTCTAATCATCCAAAACTTCAACAAACCACTTGGGGAGACATTAGAAATCACCAGGTTCAAGCCATATGAAATCTCAGGGTCACTCACAAATTGTTCCACCCAACATAAATCAACAAAACTGTTAGAAACAAAACAAAATTTTGAAATACAGTCAAAATATACAATGTAACACTTTACTTCATAACAGTATCTTTTTAACAAGACACTAATTGAGTTGGCAGTTACTAATAATTTGCAAAATTATTGTTGTTTATACCTTAATTAGTGTGCACCCCATTTTTTACATCGCAAATGTTTTCCCCTACTATTCTGAAAAATTTATTTTCATCTTTTAAGACTCAGAAAGTAGGCTGGGCATAATAGCTCACATCTGTAATCCCAGCACTTTGGAAGGCCAAAATGGGGGAATTGTTCAAGGCCAGGAGTTTAAGACCAGCCTGGGAACCATAGATAACCTTGACTCTACAAAAAATTGGACAGGTATGGTGATATGTGCCTGTAGTCCCAGCTACTCAAGAAGCTTAGGTGAGAAGATCCCTCGAGCCCAGGAGTTTGAGGTTGCAGTGAGTCTCGATCACACCATTGCACTCCACCCTGGGTGACAGAGTAAGAACTTGTCTCCAACAACAGAAAAAGAAAAAAAAAAGGCTCAGAATGCTGTGTGAAGTCTTCCTTGATTCTAGCTGTCTTTCTCCACACACACAGGTGTCTGCTTCATTGGAGTCCCTTAGTACTTTGTCAAATTTTCCAGCGTCACTTTACCACCTGAACTGCACATCATGTCTTTACATGTTGATCCCCTTTGCTGTTAGACTGTAGAGGACAATCTTTTGAATCATCTTTGTATAAACAGTCTTAATTTTGCTAAATAATTACTTATTGAGTTCCTGCTAAGTGTTAGGCACTGGGGTATAAGGAAGGAAAATAAAAGCTGTCAGGGATGGCTTTCCTAAAGATCATGCATGAGCTGAGACTTAGAGAGTAAGGTTAGCCAGATTAAGTGAGGCAGAGGGCAGGAAAGGGTGAGCACATGCCAGGCAGCAACAAGAGAGGGAGAGAAGCCTCCAAGAGAGTATATATTTCTCTGCAAAAGAGGAATGGTGAGGGGGCCATTACCAGCAGCTCAGTAATTCCAGAGAAAAAGGCAGATGGGGAAAGGGCTACAGATGGAGATTTGGGCAGAAATCAGTTTCCTTTTCTTTTCTTTTTTTGGGACAAGGTCTTACTCTGTCTCCCAGACTGGAGTGCAGTGGCATGATCTTGGCTCACTGCAACCCGGCCTCCCAGGTTCAAGTAATTCTCCTGCCTCAGCCTCCCAAGTAGCTGAGATTACAGGCATGTGCCATTACCACCTGCTAATTTTTGTATTCTATTAGAGATGGGGTTTCACCTTGTTGGCCAGGCTGGTCTTGAACTCCTGACCTCAAATGATCCACCTGCCTCAGCGTCCCAAAGTGCTGGGATTATAGACACGAGCCACCATGCCCAACCCAGAAATCAGTTTCTGAAATCCTTATATAAAACTTTAAGATGCTTGGACATAGGTATTCAGGAGTGGTTCACAGTTCTATTTGCATTAGAGATAATTAACTCTAATTATTGTGAGGAGCATAAAATTCTGAGGCATATAAATCAATGAACAAAGATAAAATATAAGGCAGTGTTGCAAAGATGATGCAGGCCTGAGGAGATGTTTTCAGAAATATTTAGGACATAAGTATCAGTGGCCATTGTAAGCATGAATTTTTATTGAATGAATAAATGTATATATCTGGGTCCCTGGAGAAATACACTCTGCTCATTACTTTACAAATTTTATCAAATGAGAAGTAAAATAATATACATAAACTGTTTCAGTTACTTGTATTTACTTTACACTTTTTCTGTTTCAGTTTTACTGTGCCAAGGAAATGCATTTGGGTTTTGTGGTGGTTGTTGCTGTTGCTGTTGTTGTTGTTGTTGTTGTTGTTGTTTGAGATGGAGTTTCACTCTTGCTGCCCAGGCTGAAGTGCAGTGGTGCAATCTCAGCTCACCGCAACTGCTGCCTCCCAGGTTCAAGTGATTCTCCTGCCTCAGCCTCCCGAGTAGCTGGAATTACAGGTATGTGCCACCATGCCCAGCTAATTTTGTGTTTTTAGTAGAGATGTGTTTCTCCATGTTGGTCAGGCTGGTCTCAAACTCCCAACCTCAGGTTATCTGCCCGCCTCAGCCTCCCAAAGTGCTGGGATTACAGGCACGAGCCACCGCGCCCAGCCACATATGGGGATTTTGTTTTAAAAGTTCTGTTTCCTGGATCTACCAAGCTCATGAGAAAATAGAAGCAAACACGTCATTTGCATAGGTAAGAAACTTTGGATTTATACTTTGTCATCACTACTCTAGAAGATTATCATCATGTTTTGTAAAATAAAATGTTAATTCTAGACATAAGGGGAAAGAGAAATTAAAACTATAGGGGTGAAAAAATATTGCATAATTTATTACTGTTGACCTGACCATATGACTGATTAAGGGCACTGAATTTAACTTGTATGTGAAGTAGACCCCATATTAGCTGCAGTTAATCAATAGACCAAGTATTCTAGCAGAATTAAATTTGATGCTCCTGTGTTATCTTTAAATGATACAGCTCTTCTGAAAACCCATACTCATAGTGCATGATTATCCATTAAGACAAGGTGATGGAATGTGTGAATACAGCTGAGGAGACACCCCAAGGCAAATGCTCAATGGTTCCCATTAATATTGGGGAAATCAACATTATAATACAGAAAACCATAGGCATTATTTAATATTTGGTTTTGGAAGGTATTTTTAGTGACACTGCATACAGTTGTACCTAATAATTGCAAAATTACAGATGTAAAAATAAAACAAAGGCACATTGTGTTTGAGTAGGAAATCTGTAGACGTCTAGCTGGTTTTCTATTCCAGGCCCAAAATTCTAAATATAATCATGGTACCCGCACACAAATTTATGTTAAATACCAACTTCAATGAAATTACTCTTTCTCCTCATTCTCTTTGTTATTTATATGTTGCTTTCCTTAAGGGAAGAATACAAATGCCTTGCTAAGAAGCATTTTGTTTGGTTGTAGGCTGCATAAAGGGAGTAAACCAAAGTACATTTGACCACAAGATGACTTTTTAAAAGCCAGAACTATGGTAGCATGAAGCCAACTGAGGTAATCTAGAATAAAATTTTCTATGTTTGTTTCCCTTCTTTGCTCTCTTTCTACTCTAATAAGTGCGATTCACAGAGGTAATGAAGAGTATAATTCCCTGATAAAAACACAGCTCCAAGATTAATCCTTTCTTTAACTATGAAGTTCGTGTGTCCAAAGTCTTGTAGTTGCTGTCTGATTTTTGATCACGAATGGTGATACAGATATTTATCATCAACTCACAACTTCCCAAATCTTTGAAAAGTCTTACTATTGATGGTTCAACTAGTAGAAACATAATCTAAAATATCTGAAAATAAAGTTTTTATTAGAATGTAAATAGTAATACAAATTGTAATAAGGTGTAAAAGTTCTTTCTTCACTGAAGCAGGACCATGATGTCCTCTACCCCACAAACACACTACTCCCTCATGGTCTAATGTATCTTAAAAGTCCTGTAATTGCTATTAACTCAGACAAGTTTACTTAACTTGTTCTAAGCTTCTGTTATTTACTACAATTTACTTTATCACTCAATAATCTCTATTATATATGTTGTTTTCCATGAGAAATTTTTTTATTAATAATTAGGATTCTTCAGGGATAAGAAAATATTTGAATAACTAAGTTTGTGCATAAACACATTAAGGTCAAATACCCATGACAATATTGTGTGTTTCTGTGTACTAGAGACAAAAACTTCAAAAAAATTTTTAATGAATATACATTAAAAACTGCTTTCATTAAACTGAGATGATCTTCCCTCAATGCATGAATACCTTCAGAATTCACATAGACCAAAGAATTGTATAAAATATAATAGCCTTAAAAATCTTATTTGTACCTGGCACAGTGGCTCCTGCCTGTAATCCCAGCATACTGGCAAGCTGAGGCAGGCAGATCACCTGAGATCAGGAGTTTGAGAGCAGCCTGGCCAACATGGTGAAACCCCATCTCTACTAAAAATAGAGAATTTAGCAGGGTATGGTAGCACATGCAGGTAGTATCAGCTACTCGAGGGGCTGAGGCAGGAGAATTGCTTGAACCCGAGAGGCAGAGGTGGTAATGAGTCAAGACCGAGCCACTGCACTGCAGCCTTGGTGACAGAGCAAGACTCTGTCTCAAAAACACAAACAAACAAAACACCTAATTGTTCCCACATAAGTCTATATTCACACAAGATCTGAAGAGTACACAACACCGTGAGACAGGACAGACATAAATTTTAAAAGTTATATTCCCGGTTTCTGTAAAAATAAAACGGTTGAATTTAAGCTTTTAAGACAAGTCAAGGAAAAGAGCAAAAAAATGCAAAAGTGAAACTTGAAAGGTCATTTTCCCATCAAGGGCTCATGATCCACTGGACATTCACAAACTATATTGTTCAAAACATTAGTTCTGAATTTTGATCTGAGTATCCCTGGAGTTGCAGTTTCATTCAAAGATGTCCAAGAGGTCAAATAAGACAATATCATTTGCTATTTTCAGTTTTCTTTTCTGAGAACAGCACAACAAACTTCTTCAGAGAAATGAATTGTCCTAACTTCATAGGCTAAAGGCTCATGAGTCACAGTTCTAAGGGCATTTATAAAATATGGTGGTGCATGCTTGTATTCTGAACTTTTCAACTTTAAACTCTCATATAGTAAATATTAATAGATACAAACTGATTAAAGAAAAGCCCACTTAATCTGACATTATTTTTCTTTTTCTTTCTTTCTTCATTTATCAGCAACAGGAGAGTCTAACTAAATGTGGTAAAGTGGTATAAGGGAATACAATGAAAAGTGTAAAATGAATTAAACCAGAGATAATCATATCAATGTGGATACATCTGGAAAATATAATACAAAATACACCAAAGAAAGTGGCAGAAAGGTATGTAAAGTGTATAACCACTCACATACCATTTTGGGACACAAATAAAAAATTCTGCATATTATTTCTGAGCATCACAATATAGTTAAAGATTTCAAAAGGGCATTGAAATGAAAAACAACCAACTTATGATGTCGGTAGCCTCTATGCAATCATGTTTTAAAAACCTTAACACCAAAAAGTCTCAAAATCACCATTTTAAAAGACTGTGTCTACCAGTTATAAATGAATCATTACTTTCCTCATTTTTAATAGTCAAAGATACCACAAACACACACATACACACAGCTATATATACACCTACACACACAGTCTTGCTCATTAGAACATCTGATTGGCTTCAGATCATCAGTGTAATAACACTAGCAGCAAGCCTCTAAAGTTAAAACAGAATCTGACATGTTAATAAGTAAAGCTTTCCTCTAGGTAAAGTTCAGAACTCCAAGTAGCACTTAACTCATTGGAAATATCTCAGAGTCTCAAAATTCACTTCTTTGAATCCCTGACAGGTATAAAAATTTTATACTGAAAACTTCATGCTATTCAAAAACATTAAAAGAGAAACATCTGAGTTAAAGCTTACATTTTTAAAATCTTTTTTATGCTTCTAAATTTATTTTTATTCAAATATGGATACCAACAATAACATTTATGTCAATGCCTTCCATTCAATTTTGAACAAATAGAATTAGGAATAAGAATAATGTGAGTACTTCCAATCATTGAATGTACTTATTTCCAGTATTCCATTAAATGTACCTGCTCTCAATGTCTGTACATTCTTTCTTTGTACTGCTCCTTTCACAGCAGGATCTTCCACTTCAGTGCTAGGCTGAATGGGTTTTAAAAGAAAATGATTCATAAATCATATATATTTTATACAACATGGAGTTAGTGATTCAAAAATATACATAATTAATTACCTTCAAGGAAGGATGTTTTGCAGGAGGCCCTACAAAGCAAAGGGGATATGTCATCAATTATATGTAAGTATGACAGGGCCAACCAAACATTCATGCAGTGGTACTATCGAGCTGAATTCTCATGCCTGGCTATAAAAATAATTACTTAAGGTTTTGAGGGTTCTTCTTGGCATCTTTTCATTGCCTAGGACGGCAACATGACAGAAACATAATGAGGAAAATAGGAATATAGGATTCCTAAAATGCACAGTTTACATTTCAGTAGTGAGATTATGTTTCAAATGCCTATACCTAAAATAGAAAAGCATGGATATCACCGTGAACACGTGGACTGATGAGGAGAAAAGGGACCATTAAACAGAGGAGCAAATCAAACCTGAGGGAATCGACGTCAAAGCTGATGGTGAATGTACAGAGTATTTTAACTCAACACAGCAGAGGCATTGCTGCCAGCATGCCACAAACAAATTCCCCTCGTCTTGTCACTGAGGAAATACACAGTTGGGATGACAGTTCAGGTGAAAGTGTGATTCACCTCTCATCAAAGAAAGTGTTCTACATTGATCAGCTAGTATACACACTTATGAAATGACAGCTAATCAAACTACTCATTTTTCCCATGATCACATGGGCTACTGCAGCACCTACATTTCTCCTATCCCCTCATTTGGCCTTGAGTTAGAGCTCCTTGATCCACTCATGCAAGGCGGTCCATAAAACACATAAAATAAACCATGTCGAATAAGCTTCCGATATCAAAATATTTATCAAAAAAGAAAACACTGAATTACCACAGACTTGCTGGATATGAATACATATTTATATTTCAAAATCAGTGCAGTATTTATTGAAAAAGAGAATTTTGGTATTCACCGAATGAATTTTGTAATATCAAAAAAAATTAGCCAAAGCATCTATATGCAACTTAATCACATCTTATTCACTCATGTCAGTGAAACTTCTCTCTCTGAGGCCTGACAGTTATCAAGTGAAATGAGCTGCTGTGGTTTACCCCAACTCTAGCACTCCCTCCTGCCTCCAGTACTCTCCACAGCAATAACCTCTTTTGTGAGACTGGGCATATGCTGAAGCAACTGGAAGTGAGTTGTCTCAAGTTTACTTGGCTTCAACTCCCAAGACCCCAGCAAATGTCTTTCTTTCCTCCCTCCGTGTCCTTTCACAATCCCTCTTCCTTTGAAAAAGTGATTTTTAGAACTGTCATCCTGATGCTTCCCTTCCTAACTGCTTTTTATGGATAATTGTGACCACTTTTTTCATCTGTATTCAGCAGTAGTATACACCTGTAATCTCTCTGTTTTCATCTCATTCTCCTTCCCCTGTGGCTAGAATCATGCTCAGAAATAAAAGGAAATTAATGCTTTCCCTGGATTCTGTTATTTTTTAAATTGCTCTCCAATGGTTCTTTTTCCAGAGTTCTCTAAAGGAAGGCTATTCCCTTGCTATTCAGAGCTGTGTCCAAGGACCAGCACCAAAAATCACCTGAGTACTCATGAGAAATGCAGACTCCCATACCTGCTGAATCAGAATGTGCACCTTCCAGAAGCTCTTCAACTCATTCATGACAATTTGAATGCCCTGTTCTACACTGATGTGCTTCCATATTGGTTTCCCCTAATTGCCCTTTTGGCCTAGCCTCAATTTCTTCCCTATTATGTCCCTCAATTTAATACTACATTATAAGCCATAATGTTTCTAATGAACTTTTAATCAGGCAATAACTTCTTGAATTAATTTCTTCTCCATAAATCACCCAACACTATTCAATTATGTTAATTTGGCCTATATGATACTATCCTATGAGGTTACAACATTTTCTATAAAAACAAATTATAGCCATACATGGCTGACCATCTTTGGTGATGTTCATCTATGGTAGATAAAACACAGGTCTGTGTGGTGAGGTGCCTCAATCCTTAATGCCTCCCCAGTAGTGAGGATGACAGCAAGAGAAGGAAAATGTTACTGTAATTCTCTGACACATTTTGGTACTGGAAGCTCACTTTATCTTCTTTCCTGTTTCTAACACCATGTTCTTCCTTCTTCTACAGATCAATTTGCCTTTACTATCCTCTCTTACTTACCTCTGCATATGCTTTTTTATTTATTCCATGTACAATCCGCTCTCCTCATTCTTTCTTTCTCTTTATTCATTTCCTCTTCCCTCTCTCCTGACTTGCCTCAGGTCTTAGAGTATCTTAAAATGGAACTCACAACTCAGCTCCTTTAGTGGTACTCCCAATAGAATCAACTGCTGACCCTTGGTTAGAGACACAACTTATCACCATTTCACTTCTCCTTTACTTATTATACAGTTAATAGGACACTTTCTTTAGCTATTTTAGCTAAAGAAATAGGACACTTTCTTTAGCTCATATTTTCAAAGAAACATTCCATCAAATGACTTTTTTTGTTTTGTTTTTTCTGAGACGGAGTCTCGCTCTGTCACCCAAGGTGGAATGCAGTGGTGGTATCTCCGCTCACTGCAAGCTCCGCCTCCCGGGTTCAAGCCATTCTCCTGCCTCAGCCTCCTGAGTAGCTGGGACTACAGGTGCCCACAACAACACCTGGCTAGTTTTTTGTATTTTTAGTAGAGATGGGGTTTCACCATGTTATCCAGGATGGTCTGGATCTCCTGACCTCGTGATCCGCCCGCCTCGGCCTCCCAAAGTGCTGGGATTACAGGCGTGAGCCACCGCACCCGGCCTCCATCAAAAGACTTTTTAAATAAAATACGGTTCTCACCTTCTCCTTGTCCATTGACTATTCTGTTTCCTTTTTCATGCGAAGATCCAGGTAAAGGCTCTGACACTTTCTCGGGGACACACTGCTAAGGTAATATCAAGAATTAGTTTCCATTTTAAAATTATAATGAGTTGCATCAAGAGTTTCTTATCAATCTCTTTTTATGAAACTGGGTCTCACTCTGTCAACCCAGGGCTAGAATGCAGGGGCCTGATTATGGCTCACTGTTGTCTCAAACTCCTGACCTCAAGCAATCTTCCCACCTCAACTTCCTGAATAGCTGGAACTACAGGTGCGTCCCTTCATGCCATGCTAATGTTTTTATTGTTATCTTTGCAGAGACAAGGCCTCATTATACTGCCCAGGCTGGTCTCAAACTCCTGGGCTCAAGTAAATCTTCCACTTCTGCCCCCCAAAGTGTTGAGATAAGCAGTGTGCACCACCACACCCAGCCCTAATCAATTTCTTTAAATCAATCTCAATGTTGCCCAGGCATGGTGGCTCACACCTGTAATCTCAGCCCTTTGCAAGGCCAAGGTGGGTGGATTGCTTGAGTTCAGGAGTTTGAGACCAGCCTGGGCAACATAATGAGAACACATCTCTACTCAAAAAATACCAAAAGGAGTCAGGCATGATGGTGTGCGCCTGTAGTCCCAGCTGCTTGGGAAGCTGATGTGGGAGGATCACTTGAGCCTGAGAGGTGGATACTGCAGTGAGCCAAGATCATGCCACTACACTGCAGCATGGGCAACAGAGCAAGACCCTGACTCCCCAAAAATTTCAATTTAAAATATGAGAATGAAGAGAGATACAAACAAAAAACAAGCCTAATTGGTCAATGAAATATGAGCTTAAGCCAAGAAAGAAAAGAAACAACATGAAGTACAATAAAGTACATGGGGAAATAGATCTATAACAGAGCCTTTTGCTCTTTCATATCCCTGATAATACTAATTAATATTTATGCTACAATTAGTTTTTTGTAAGTACTTCTGTGATACAGTTTATTACTATAAGACATTCAATTAGCTAAATATGGTCATCGACCACTACCTGAAAGAACATTATTATAACACAGAGAGAAAACTAGAACTTTCAATCAACTTTCCACCCAGAAAAAAATTGGTCACCAGAATTCTAAAGAGTAACGTATGGCAGACACATGAAAAAATGCTCATCATCACTGGCCATCAGAGAAATGCAAATCAAAACCACAATGAGATACCATCTCACACCAGTTACAATGACGATCATTAAAAAGTCAGGAACCCACAGGTGCTGGAGAGGATGTGGAGAAATAGGAGTACTTTTACACTGTTGGTGGGACTGTAAACTAGTTCATCCTTTGAGGAAGACAGTATGGTGATTCCTCAAGGATCTAGAACTAGAAATACCATTTGACCCAGCCATCCCATTACTGGGTATATACCCAAAGGATTATAAGTCATGCTGCTATAAAGACACATGCACACGTATGTTTATTGCGGCACTATTTACAATAGCAAAGACTTGGAACCAACCCAAATGTCCATCAATGATAGACTGGATTAAGACAATGTGGCACATATACACCATGGAATACTATGCAGCCATAAAAAAGGATGAGTTCATGTCCTTTGTAGGGACATGGATGAAGCTGGAAACCATCATTCTGAGCAAACTATCGCAAGGACAAAAAACCAAACACTGCATGTTCTCACTCATAGGTGGAAATTGAACAATGAGAACACTTGGACACAGGATGGGGAACATCACACACTGGGGCCTGTCGTGGGGCGGACAAGGGGGGAGGGATAGCATTAGGAGATATACCTAATGTAAATGATGAGTTAATGGGTGCAGCACACCAACATGGCACGTGTATACACATGTAACAAACCCACACATTGTGCACATGTACCCTAGAACTTACAGTATAAGAATAATAAAGAGTAATGTATGGCTTGAAAACATATATTTAATAGAACATGAGTTAGAGCTAATAAAAAGCTTAAGAAATGTTAATCTAAAATCTCAATGTTAAGATTCCAGTTGAATGATACTAGAAAATATATTGTAACCCTATTTGCTACTGATGACCTATTTCTATTTTATTTCCTTTTTAATTATGGCATAATTTCTCAACATAACATATCAAAACTTATACACCCTTAAATATTAAAAAATACAATGTAAGCAATATTTTAAATACAATATTTAATTATTAGATACATTAGGTTTATTATATTACTTATAACATTCCATTATATAAAAATTCATTTGTCTATTTATTCAGATTAAACAACTATTAAGGCTGAATGTCTTATGCCTGTAACCCAGCACTTTGAGAGGCTGAGGCAGGCAGAACACTTGAGCCCAACAGTTAAAGACCAGCCTGGGCAACAAGGCAAAACCCTGTCTCTACAAAACTCAGCTGAGCATGGTGACACAGGTCTATGGTGACATAGCTCTATTGTTTAAACTACTTGGATGGCTGAGGTGTGAGGATCACCTGAGCCCAGGAAATGGAGATTGGAGTGAGCCAAGATCTCACCAGTGCCCTCCAGCCTGGGGGACAGAGTGAAACCCCATCTCAAAAAACAACAACTAGAATGCTTCTTACATGGAAGACTGTATTCTAGGTACTCCAGGATACACACAAATATGTTTACTGACCTCCAGTAGCTTACGGTATGCAGGAGCTTCCAATGATTATTTAAACAACTAAATAGAAAACCTTCTGAAATTCAAAATTTCAGAATATGATATGAGGACTTTGAGTGGCTATTTTATTTTTTAAGATGTAGTCTTGCTCTGTCACCCAGGCTGGAGTGCAATGGTGCGATCTTGGCTCACTGCAACCTCCGCCTCCCGGGTTCAAGCGATTCTCCCACCTTGGCCTCCTGAGCAGCTGGGATTACAGGCATGCACCATCACGCCTGGTTAATTTTTCTGCTTTTGTTTTGTTTTGTTTTGTTTTGTTTTGGTTTTGGTTTTTTTTAGAGACAGGGTTTCACCACGTTGGCCAGGCTGATCTTGAACTCCTGACCTCAGGTGATCTACCGACCTCGGCCTCCAAAACTGCTGGGATTACAGGTGAGTCTCCACGCCTGGTGAAGTAAATATTTTAAATAAACTACAATGACAAAATTATGATGATAAAGTCTTACCATCCATTGGTATTAAGAGTCTCTGCTTCTAGAACTGGTTATTTGCAGCAAAATACATGTTATTCAATTAGATGAAGTGCCTTATATAAACTCTTCATGGACAACTCATAAACCACACAAAAATTCCTTTGCAATACACATTTTGAGAACATAAATTTAAATTTCTATATTTCCACAATTTATATTTTTAAATCAGATACGATGTTGCCCAGGCTGTTCTCAAACTCCTGGGTTCAAGCAATCTTCCTGCCTCAAATTCCCAAGTAGCAGGGACTACAGGTGTACACCACCACACTCAGTTATTTTTCTACAATTTTTATTTTTTTTGTCTCACTACAGAACCAATAATATAAGTAGAAAAACAATCTCTCGTAAAAACAATATGATACCAAAATAATAAGTTTCCAAGAACAAAAGCTATATGCTATGTGCTGAATATTCTTGCCACTAAAAATCACCAGGAGGATCCCATGATTACTGCAAATAATTTGATCCACTGAAGATTTATACAGGCATAAATATTAAGAAAGTCACACTCGTATGATTTAAAAGTCAAAGTATTAGTATTTATCCAAATAAACCTTAAGCAAATTTCATATTTCCTCTATTGGAGAAAGCATTTCCTAATGTGATTTTCCTGTCACTACTAATTTTCCAGTTCATTTTTTTTCAGCTCCCACCCTGTCACAGTACTTATCAATCTTTGTTAGTTACCAAAGTTAAACACATTTTTTGAATCAACTAGCCATATGTATGTTTTTCTCTGACCAACTTTCCATTACCACCATAAAACAATGATAGGTAAACCACTGCTAAATTTGAAAAGTAAATACTACGCAAAAGTACATTCAGAGTGAGAAAATTAATTTTACAAGAGACCACTTTACCTTAGTAGCAACATTCAAGTCTTTGTCATCCGATGCAGGCAATGAATCCACACGCAGTTCATGGAAAATGCTTGAGAGCAAAAACACACAACGAAAATGAGCAAGTTGATTTCTTTACAATTTTTTTAACTGCCAGTTTATATCCAGCTTCCCCCTCAAAAAAAGAAACCATAATCTAGGGAAAGGTCAGCAATCTATATATTAGTGATTCTTGATATAATTAAAATATGTCCTCTTCTAAAAATAGATTTTAGTTACCTATTTCTGCCTCCACTTGTCTAAATCTATAAAATATTCAATGAAAACTAACCTTGAGCTTTATAACAAATAGTGACAGTCAATAAATTGGCAGAGCCTGACAATGATTTGCCCTCACAAATTATCTGTCCTGAAGCTGAACTTAAAATTCAATTAATGGATGACATAAATTTTGTTACCTAAACTGGAAGAAAACTAATAACCTAAAACAAGGTAGAAAGATCCACTGTCTCTTTTCCATGATCTGTCTCTGGATAAAAGACTAATCTGCATCACTTCAATATGACAGTCTTGATTCCTCAGCATGGAACCCACTTAGGAAGGTCCTATTGCTTTCCTTTGCCCTAAATCAGTACAGGAAAGCCCCTACAATATTTGAAATGTATGAAAGCTAAATGTACAGAAGTCAAATAACAAAGGTGTATGTTCTTATTGAGAATACTTTTCCCAGAAAGATTGAAATATTAACAATTATAAAATCCCATTATTTTCAACCTATAGGTCCTACCTTATTCAGGTCCACATAAACTAGCAAGCCCTTAAAACTTTTCATAGGCACTCAGACACCCAAGGAGAGAGACTGTCAGAAAAAAACAGAGTCCTGGTAGGTGTACCTCTATTTCCCTAAGTACTCTCTAAGTATCTGTCTTCCTATGGGCTCCCACTTCCAGATTCCACTTCTGCAGGGCTCCACAGAAGTCTCCAATCTTTAAATCTTCAGTCTATGAAAGCACAGATTCCTGAAAGGATGGCCTCAAATGACCAGGACTAGGAGCTCTCTATATCCCTGCTCCTGAAAAACAAGCTAACTGGAGTCTCCATCACCTGCCCCCAGCTAGACACACTACCAACTACCCAACTGAACTCCATGACTGATTTGCCAGCCAATCATGCCCCTGACCCAGCCCACATGGACATGGGAAGGACATCAGTGAATCGGGAAAAGAGGCAGAGGTGAGGAGACACCTGTACTGGGCCACAGATCTATGTAGTTCAGCAATCTCCAGCCCCTTAGTACTCCAGGGGCTCTAAGCCACCCCTTTCTAAGTCAGGATGGAAGCAGATGACACCACATTTCTATCTGCTGCAGACGCTCCTCCCAGTGTCTCAAAATGTTTTAGCATCTTTCAGTAAAAATCTTCAAGTTTGTCAGTCCTTGATTTAAAAAAAAGCAGCAAACTTTTTAGAGCTCCCTTGAACCTTCTATTTTAATGTGCCTTCGTAGATAATTCCCAACATCTTGTGTCCTTCATTTTTATAATTTATCTTTATCAAACTTGTCATAAACCCCAATATTTTGATCTCTTATAGAAGAGTCTGTACTCCTATCCAATCCAGTGTTGTTTATCTTCAAACTTGGACTTCCCCTGCTCATTCCATTCTTATCTACTTCCATTGGGTTCCCCGGCTAATTCCATTCTCATTCTACCCACAGACTCACTCCCGTTTGTATTATTAAAACACACGCCAATAGGATATAAAAAGAAGCAAGAGTACTGGGCTTTAACATGAGTTCAAATCTCATTTCTGCCAATTCCTATGTCTAAAAAAAAGCATCCTAAACTCTTTGAGCCTCACATTCTCTATCTAGAGAATCATTTGACCAGAATGTTCAACACAGGTAAAAATACTAGAAGGTATTTTAATTCATTCCAAGATTCCTTAAAATTCTGTAATTCTATGTCCTCTTGATTCTGTCTATAGAAAAACTTAGAATACATAGCCAGCAGAGTTTGAAAAAATAATAGAACAAAAGAAATACCAAGAAAAGCAGAGAAGAAAGTTTTAAAAAATGAAGGCAAGATTATAGAAAAGTCACGGAAAAAGCAACAAGACTAAAAAATGTATTATGGAAGTAAGCAGAAATACTTGCCTAAATGGAAAACCAAACTGGGAAGTCAAATAATTTGTCTCTAAGACTTGCCTAAACTTGCTTTTGTAAAACTTACACCCCTATGGCAAAGCTAAGTAAGATCTGCCCTAGAGCCTTTGATGGTAAAAATAAGATACTGGTTACCACTGAAATTGTCAAATTTATTAGGACAAACTCTTGGACTAACCACATTCTAATGATAAACTTAAATGAGAGTTCAAGGTATTTAAACTCTCATTAATTTAGACATTAATCAAATTAATCAATCTGACTAATCTGATTCAGACCTATACCTTGATCCAAGGGCTGCACAGATATCTGTCAATCTATGCTGAGGAGCAAGAGACAGGATTTGGAAGGCAGGCAGGCTGATGGTCAAACTGTAGGCCAGCTACTTTGTTAACTATGGGATCATGAGGCAATTAATCAGCTCTAATCCATAGTTGTTTATTTAATAAACAGTAGGTTATAGGAACACAGATGTTGTGATGGCTTTATGAGATGATATATGCATAGAACATATTAGGATGTCTAGCCCAGAATACAACACTCAACAGATACTCATTTCTTCCATCTATATTTTCTTAGTTAACATAATTTTTTAAATCTATAAAATCCTACCTGACTGCAGATTCATCAGAACTTCCAACATCTATTAAAGAAAAAGGTAAAATGCATTTTAAATCAATAACAAATGTACAGAATATTAAAAGCATAAGAATGCACAGTGATGCATCCCTCTAATCCAAACTACTTGGGAGGCTGAGGCAGGAGGATCACTTGAGGAGCCCAGAAGTTTGAGACCAGCTTGGGAAACATAGTAAGACTCTACCTTCATAAAAAAATTGTGCACACTTGTATGTATGCTTTAGATCCTGTTTGTTGTTGTTGTTGTTTTTGTTTTGGTTTGGTTTGGTTTTTTAAAGCATAAGACTGATGCTTTGTTACAAAGCATTCCTTTGGGAGCATGCCTGGGACCTTATTAGAATTAACATTCGTTATACATATTGGTAGGTAATTAATGCAGTAAGAACTCTTCCCTTTGTATTTATTAGATGCAAAGAAGAATAAATTTATTAAAATTTGGTATCTACAAGTGAACTGCAGTATGCAAGTCATCTTAGCCAAACCCTATGAGGTTGAGTAAAAATGGTATTGTTAGCAGAACAGGTGTGATGAGTCAACAGTGTCAAAGAGCATGATTTCTGGACCAAAATATGAGGCGCCATTAAAACAGAGTACACAGTAGTACCCCTTATCCACTATACGTGCAGAAAGACATACTTGACACATTTTTCTCTGCTGTCACACCACAGCAACAATCATCAACAAAGAAGGCTTCTGTGACCAAATGTGTGGAGGGTTTTTCCCCACCAACAAGCAAGCAATCATTCCTGCTGATGACACAATTCAATTCTCACACCTTATCTGCTGGTAACATCAGATTCAATTTAATTTATAAATTAAACTTTAGCATACATATGTATGTATAGGGAAAAACAGTTTGTGATTCAGTACTATTCATGGTTTCATGCATCCACTTGGGGGTCTTGGAATGTATCTCCCACAGTTAAGGGGGAGCTACTGCACTTATTTTGTTATAACACAACACAGCCTCTCTAGCTCTTCAGTTCAAACTGCTCAGTTTAGAATAAAACACCCTAACACCAGATGTCAGCAAAACATAGGAATCAGACCAGAAACAGGAATCCTTGCAAAGACTTTCCAGCCGCTAGTGGAAAAGAGCTCAAAAGAGATCAATGTATTACTCTGGCTACTACTCTTTGGGGAAGGTGCTGGGTGGTTTACTTAGTTGTAGCTATTTGCTCTGCCCTACATATAGCAAGGCCCAAATTCACCTGCCATTTTACCTCCCACAGAAAAACCACTGGAAAGATCACTCCTTTAAGAGCTTATACGCTAGGAACCACACCTCACATTCAGAGAAGCTGAAGAAACACCAGGGAGGTGTGGCAGGCTGCTGGACAGTACTATATGATGTGAAAAATATATAGAAAGAAAACCATCAATGCCCTTTTACTACCGGAATGTTCCAGTGCTTGCCCTTCTCCCTAGTAGGGGAAAAAAATTCTTTTTCACCTCACAGAAAGCAAAACTCTCTTGCTATCCCTCATGACAGAATCTAGTTGTAGGTGAGTCACATCATCATAATACAGGCTGTTGTCAACCTCATCCCTCAAAGGAAGAGGATCAGTGAGGAACCTATGTACTTACCTATAGCATTCACTGTCTGGTCTTATTTCCAACCGAAGGTAAGTATGAAAGACTTTGTGATTCCAGTTTTATAAAGTACAACCCCTTGCACTTGTCCCCTTCCATTGCTAGAGAATCTATCTGGACCCACCTCACAGAGCAAGATGCTCCAGTTTGTGCTGTGTGGTACAGCATGGTGTCCTTTTCCTCAACCCTTTCTATTATGTGCCACATATCTATACAAATCATGTTTTCTAAGTATGTAAAGCATATGTCATCAGAATATATCATTCTTTACAATGATAAAGAAGCAAAAGAAAAACAAAAGGACAAAGAACATCTTAAATGACTACATTCAACTGCCATGGAGCTTTAATTTTTTAACTATTCAAAAAGATATCCACTGTATTATTCCAACTATGTGACTCTTCTGAAAAAAGTAAAACTATGAAGACAGAGTAAACATCAATGGTTGCCACGAGTTACTAGGGAGAAAGGGAAAGATGAACAGGCATAGCACAGAGAATTTTTCGGGCTGTGAAACTGTTCTGTCGATAATATTACAGTAATAGATACATGTCATGTCATTATACACTTGTCCAAATTCACAGAACGTACAGCATCAAGAGTGAAGCCTGATGTAAACTATGAACTTTGAATGATTATAATGTGTCAATGTAAGTTCATCAGTTGTAACAAATGTACCACTCTCTGGTGGAAAATAGTAATAATGGGGGAGGCTATGCATGTGTGGGAGGCATGGGATATATGAGAAATCTCTGTACCTTCCTCTCAATTTTGCTGTGAACCTAAAACTGCTCTAAGAAATAAGGTTATTGATTTAAAAAAAGATATTCAGCTGGGCTCAGTGGCTCATGCCTGTCATCTCAGCACTTTGGGAGGCAAAGATGGGTGGATCACCTGAGGTCAGGAGTTCAAGACCGGCCTGGCCAACATGGCAAAACCTCGTCTCTAATAAAAATACAAAAATTAGCTGGGCATGGTGGCTGGCACCTGTAATTTCAGCTACTCAGGAGGCTGAGGCAGGAGAATCGCTTGAGCCTAGAAGGTGGAGGTTGCAGTTAACTGAGATCGCACCACTGCACTGCAGCCTGGGAGACAGAGTGAGACTCCATCTCAAAAAACAAAAAGATATTCACTGTCTATGCATCCCAGGATCTCCAGAACAATTACAATAAATAAATAAATAAATAAATAAATAAATAAATGGCTGGGGGCAGTGGCTCATGCCTGTAATCCCAGCACTTTGAGAGGCCGAGGTAGGTGGATCACCTGAGGTCAGGAGTTCGAGACCAGCCTGACTAACATGGTGAAACCCCATCTCTACTAAATACAAAAAATTAGCCAGGCATGATTGTGCATGCCTGTAGTTCCAGGTACCTAGGAGGCTGAGGCAGGAGAATCATTTGAAACTGGGAGGTGGAAGTTGCAATGAGCCAAGATTATGTCATTGTACTGCAGCCTGGGCAACAAGAGCAAAACTCCGTCTCAAAAAAATAAGTAAATAAAATAAAAAATAAAGATATTCACTGAACCTGTTACTATGATATATTTAAGCAAGACACGGTGACCCTAAAAATTAGAGATCATTGAAGACCAAAGTAACAACATGTGGTCATTACTTCTCAAATTGAACTATATAAAATATATAAAATAAATAAATTTAATTGCATGCTTAGATAAGAAAATATTGATAAAAATAATTGAATATTTTATCTTATTTCATAATTCTAAACAGGGATTTAACACAATATGAAAACTAGACTATTCATGTAATCAAAATAAAAGACAATTTTTATTCTAATGTTAACTCAGAAATTATTTTGCTTATTTAATTTAACAATTTTACTGAAAGGTTAATGAGATAAATAGGACAGATTATAATTACCTAACATTGCTATGGTAACTTATATACAAATAGCTGTTCATCACCAAAAGTCAAAAAAGTAACAAGCACTGCAACTTAAGATGGATCATACAACAGAAATTAGTACCAAGTTACCTTATCTTATAATATTATGTTATTAAAATGAAATTTTAAAACAACACCAAAAATTAAGTTGGGGTTACAAGTGTTGTGCAGAAAAGATTTCATATAGCAGGCAAGAGGCTGCCATCCTTAGAAAGGCCTGCATGCAAGGCTGGCCCTTGGCTGGTGTTTAGGAAATTGGAAATGGGAGGGTTTCCACCATTCCCTGAGAAGAGTGGCTCACTGTGTCTAAAGTGCTTATAGAAACAGTGTATTTACTCTAAACAGCTGCTTTCCTTGTAAGAGTCTGGAATTTGGGTACATGTGAGGGAGAGTAACCTCCATAGAAAAACTTGGGCACTTAGTCTCTAATGAAACTCTGGTACTGGTAGACATCACTGCACATATGTTGTCAAAATGTGAGCCTGGGAGAATTAAGCAGATCCCGGGAACTCCACAGGACAGAACTCCTGGAGGCTTGTGCCTTGTTTCCTCCAGAATTGACCACATGCACCTTTTTCCTCTACTAATTTTGCTTGTCCCCTTCCTTGTTATCAATTAAAGATCTGAGTATGACTATTTGTTGAGTCCTGTGAGTCCTTCTAATGAACCACCAAACCTGGGGTGGTCTTGGGAAACCTTGACACAAATTCATTGTGTAAGATTTGTATTAAGTTGATATGATACGTGTAACTGTAATCAGATGGTTATTTCACAGAATAACTTTACCTAATCTGTTTTTCTTTTCTTTTTTTGTCTTGATATTTGACTTGGAGATTCTTGTATTTCTATATCTATCCAATTGAATAAAGCCATAGAAGGAATAAATGAAAAAATAATGTCAGAAAATAATGTGAAATGAGCAGCAATCCTCTTTTATCTGAATAAAAAATAGAGAATCTGGGTGATTGACAATATGTTCTACAATATGAATGTTTCTAGAAAAAAAATGAAAAAGTGGTCAATTTTCTGCAACTCAACTGGGCTTCATTCCTTTTTATAATAATTTTGAAGGCCAGGTGCAGTGGCTCACACTTGTAAATCTGAGCATTTTGGGAGGTTGAGGCAGGAGGATCACTTGAGCCCGGAAGTTCCAGACCGGCCTCGGCAATATAGTGAGACCTCATCTATTAAACAAACAAACAAACAAAAATCCCTTAAAAAGAAAATTAGCCAAGTGTGGTAGTGCATGCCTGTAGTCCAAGCTACTTGGGAGGCTAAGGTGAAAGGATCATTTAAGGCCAGCAAGCAGAAGTTGCAGTGAGCCAAGATGGCACCACTGCACACCAGTACTGACAACAGAGGGAGACCCTGTATTAAAAATAAATAAACAAATAAATAATTGTGTATCAGGCCAGATGTAACCACACAAAACTGTAGTCCCAGCTACTCAGGAGGATGAAGTAGGAGGACTGCTTGAGCCCAGGAGTTCAAGGCTACAGTGAGCTATGATTGCACCAATGAATAGACACTGTATTCTAGCCTAGGCAACATAGAGAGACCCCATCTCCTATGATAATAATAATTGATTAATTGTGCATCATTCAAGTAAATTGTGTAACTGGAGAAAAACATATGACTATTGAATATACTATTATAGTCTACTACTGACCATAGAGTTCCTGTTTACTTGCTTCTAATCTTTTTCTTCATTTCTCATAAAACTGAAAACATGATTTAAACCCATTAAAGGCAGTTCATCACAAAACAAGTCAAAAAGTCAAAAGAATTGCATCCAAACAGTAGGATGCGTTATCCACCGCTCTCTGTGAACAGTTGGATTTGGTCATTAAGAATCAGCAGGACTTTTAACTTTGTGTCTGTGTGCACAGGTGTGTGCACATGTGCACGTGTGTATGTGTATGTATGTAAACTATGACAGATAAAATCATTTTGCTTGTGTACGAATATGTAATATAACTTGTGCTTCTCACAAAGGAATTGCTTTTCCGTCTCCTGTGCTCAGTAGCTGTCTTCAAAAAATAATCTCCTATTTGTATGGGTGCACACTGGTTCAGTTCTACAGTTCTTATTGCCATTTATTTATGGTACCAGAAAGGGATTGCTGAGTTCCTGGTTCTAAAGATAGTTACTTTCTTAGTGACACAAATCAATATGTAATACAGTTCACCCTTGAACAGCAAGGGTTTCAACTGCAGGGATTCACTTATATGCAGATTTTCTTCTGCCTCTGCAACAGAGAGACAGCAAGATCCACCTCTCCTCTTCCTCCTCAGCCTAATCAACCTGAAGATCATGAAGACCTTTGTCAGGACTACTTATGCTTTATGAAAAGTCAATATGTTTCTCCTGATGATTTCCTTTCTAACAGCTTCATTTCTCTAGCTTATTTTATTGTACGAACAGTATATAATAATGCAGCACAAACAAAATAGGTGTTCATCAACTGTTTATGTTATCAGGAAGGCTTCCAGTCAATTGTGGGCTATTAGTAGCTAAGGTGAAGGAATCAAAAGTTATACTCAGATTTTCAACTGCACAGGGATCAGAGTCCCTCACCCCCACATTATTCATGGGTCAACTGTAGTTATTTGTTTACTAAATATAAACAATTTATTATAAAAATGAAATTGAAGATCCATTTGTATAACAAGTCCAATTTGTTATAATGTGACTATAGAGGAAACATACAACATACTAACTTAAAAATCTTTTTTCTTATTTATGCAAAAATATTATATAGGATTTTAGGGATCATAATTAAATAAATGAATGTTTTCAGACAATAATGTTTGAGATTGTAAATTAGCTACAACTACCTTCTTAAATAAATCTGAATTTCAAACTAAAGAAGTTAAATTTTAAAAATTAATTTACATATGTATATACATATATACACATTCAATTTACACATATTTTTAAACTGGTCTTTTTTGACTGAAACTACCTTAATCTTACATCTTACTTTGTATTTTCTTATCAAGAGTAGGACCACCAAGACAAGTAAGAAATTCACAATCAGAAGTCTTACCTGATTTCTCCTTTTTAAGTATCTTCTTTTTATGTTCCAAAATTTGTTGTTGAATTCTATGTATACAAAAGTAATAAATAAAATTGCCATTTTTATAATGAAATAAAAAATATTCACCAAACATATTAAATTCCAAAACACTTTCAAGCAATATCAGACCTAATCTCAGAATTTTAATGTCCCATACACTTCAAATTTGTAAACCTTACAAGCTTATTAAGCTTATAATTAAAGAAGAAAAGAAAGTGAAGTACTCATAAATGGAGGAAGCACAGCTCAGTAAATGAACTCTAGTTAGCTGGATATCATGCAAAGTGTCCTGCACTCAGAGTAAGTCCTTGCTCTGTAACCAAAATACCTCGCTCTGTAGGTATTTTGTCTTCAGACAAGTTGCTTCTCTTAGGCTCCATGGTTTCTTCTAAAAAACAAGGATTCTGCTACCTTACTTCACTAGGTTGTTTGGAAGATGTAATGAGATTACATGTTTATATGTTCAGAGAAATAGTAAAGCAATGGAATAATTTATTCTTGAACTTTATTGCTGAAACCATTTTGGAATCCCAAATAATGCTCGGTGTGTGTTTTTCTGTAAGTTCTAATACTCAAATGTTGCAGTTTTCAGAAAATGTTATTAAGTGCTAATTTTGGTTATTACTTGTATTCATTGTGGCTTGTAATTCAGGGCATTTTACCTAATTCATAACTTATTACTAAATTTCTATATATATAAATTTAGTGAGCTCATCACTGAGCTCATCAATCACACCAAGGGCAGAAAACTAATAGGTGTCAAAACCTGGCTTGGACAACTACCACTCCTTCTCTACCTCCTCAAACTCTGAGCCAGCAGATCTGTGCTTGGCTGCTGGATCTCCATGGTCCTCTCCAACTAACAGACAAGACAAAACCCTGCTTTGATTGTTTTTCAGTTCCATGAAGGAAATACAAGTTGACATTTTCTCATTTCCAAGACATGTACTAACAACATGTAACATCCCCTTATTACTCAGCTCTGTTCCCATTTCAGAGATCACCATACATCAATAGTTTCATAGCAATAATCACAATTTCAATATTGTGTGTCACCTGTTTTGGTTTTGCTCACACTGCTTCCTTGGAGCTACTCAACAAATAGTCAAATGGCCTTCCTGGGACTAGGCAAAATATGGAATGTTTTCTGAATTTGTGTGCCATCCCTAGGCAGTAGCCATGCTTATCTGCTCTGTATTGATCCAATTTTAAAATATGTGCTGTTGAAATAAGTACAAAGCCCTGTTTGATACATGGATATTCATGAGTCATGGATGAGGCTTAGCTCTATTAAATCCAACTCACTTACTTCAGATTCAGAGAATTTTATTGAATGGCTTCCTGTGAGGTAGAATTTTAAAATATATTGAAAACTTGAGGAAGAGCTGCAAGTAGCCCAGGAGATTTTCATGATTATAGAGACACATTACTTGAGGGGCCAACTGCAAGCTGGTTCCCACTACTCAGTGGAAAGATAACATGGAACATTCCGCTATCTAACCAAAGCTGCTGCACAGGATATAAAAAAGCCTCAAGGTACAGATCTGATAGCAAAAGAGACAGGGAACTCTGATCTCTTCCTGCAACATTATTTGAACATCCCTGACTATTGAGAACAATCCCAACTAATATTGGTTAAAGGAAAGACAAACATGGCTCTCAAAGGATAACATACCATGAAGGCCTAGGCAAAGTCTAGCTAAGACGTGGGCTCCAAATAAGGTTTTTAGTGTAGGGTGAGCATCAACTTGCTCAATATTTGTGTGGATAAAGCTAGGAGGCCTAGCTGCCAGAGCAGGGTGCTGGGAACAATGACTGAGCACAAGTACATAAACTAATAAACACCGTAGCTTTGACCTCTATATATGAATCACCATGAAAACTGAGGGGTCTGAATCAGTGAAGGCATCCTGGTGGCAAAGGTCAATCATTATCAGATTGCAGGACCGGTTATAATGGCAATAATACAGCAAGTGAGTCCATGGAAACAACAGAATGATTAGAATGGCCTTTTTTCCCCTTCTTCTGACTTGTAAAGAAAGATTGCCTTCCTTGGACTTAGGAAACCCCTTAGCTTCTTGGAAAATTCAAAGAAGGAAGACACAGGAGAGAGCCCCAGGGGACAATACAAGATTTTCTGTTAAACTGGACATTACAAGACTCAATAACTAATTAGAAAAGTCAGGCCAGGCATGGTGGCTAGCACTTTCAGAGGCCGAGGCAGGGGGATTACTTGACCTCAAAAGTTCAAGACCAGCCAGGGCAACAGAGTGAGACCTTGTCTCTACAAAAAAAAAAAAAAAAAAAGGAAAGGAAAGGAAAAGAAATCAAAGACATGGCTCTTTTTATCCCATGCATGGGGATTATACTTAGAATAAAATGAATAACATTGAGATCCCTAGGGATAAATGTCTCAAAAATCCAGAAAAAATCTCGCACTCTACTTCTAACTAATCTAGACTTCTGCTTGATTTCTGGCTAAAAGGTAGACTAACTCTTCGCTATTTCAAACTATCTGAACCAAACTATGAACTCTCACCTAATGTATAAGATGGAGTAGTTGCAATTATTTTAAACTTCAATTTAGCATTAACTGGCCTTTTAACATAAACACTTACTTTGTCAAATGATGAGAAATAGCATAATCTTCTGCATCTCGTCCACACATGTCTTGAGCGAAGACATCAATATTTTGCTTAAGAAGGATATTGACAATACCTGGTGAGTCATAGTATACAGCAAGCATGAGAGCTGACCTAAAACAACAAAGAAATAACTCCACTCAAGAACTTTAATAAAGACTTTTTTAAAAAGCTAGTTTGATACACTTTACCAGTTTAATATCCGCCTGTCAGTATAGATGTAATAACCATTTGCATGTACTAGCTTGGGTCTATAAGCATCTAGGGTGCTCAAGTGTTCATCTTTGTAAATTGTCACCAAGGCTAAAAGAAAGGGACAACAGGGAAGCCTCTTGTCCCACTGGGGTAAGACATAATACAAGTTGCTAACTTATAGTCCTTTGATGGCCAAGAAACTGTGCTGAGGTCACTTATCTAAAGTAGGCAAAGATTTAGATGAAGATTTCCCCGTTGCTTTCCTAGTCAAATCAGCTAGGGGTCAGATAAGAGTTATCTGCAGGCTGAAAACAACAACAACAACAACAATAATAATGACAATGCTAGTAGTCATAAACTAAAAGTCCACACTTTAAAAATGAATAAAACTTGTCAGGTGCAGTGTCTCATGCCTGTAATCCCAGCACTTTGGGAAGCCAAGGAGAGCAGATCACGAGGTCAAGAGATCAAGACCATCCTGGCCAACATGGTGAAATCCCATCTCTACTAAAAATACAAAAATTAGCTGGGCATGGTGGCGTGCACCTGTAGTCCCAGCTACTTGGGAGGCCGAGGCAGGAGAATCGCTTGAACCTGGGAGGTGGAGAATGCAGTGAGCTGAGATCACACCACTGCACTCCAGCCTGGCAACAGAGCAAGACTCCATCTCAAAAAAAAAAAAAATTAATAAAACTAATACAAAACCCTTTAGCTAATAAAAGATTACAGTACCAAAAACATCTGATTATAAATACCAAACTCTGTATATTATAAGAGAAGATGAATCCTACTATATACTATTCTTTATGTTACTCAGTCCAAATATTGGCTGGTCTACCTGATTATTCATGGTGATATTTTTCATTATATGCCAATAATTATGTTAATCTTCTTATTAATATTTCTGACTTGAGTGACCACTCTAGAATACTCAGGTTTTATTTTTAAAAAAAGAACTACTGTACCGTCTCAGCCTATCAACGGCATGTGAACTTGCTTTCTTTTTCAATAAAAATTCCACCATTTTCTCTTTCTTGCAAATTATAGCAAATAAAAGTGGGGTATTATTGTCCTATAAAACAGCAGAAAAAAATTAATAATTCACAAAATTACATATTTCTCAACTGAACTGAAAATCTTCTCTAGGATGCTTTGAACTTCAACATACAATACAGAAAGGAAGTAAATGAAAAGCAGTCCCTTCATTCTCACTCCTCTGTGCTTTCTGATATGCTGTGCTTTGCCTTGCAAACAACCCTCCTCTGTCTCCCCGGATTAACTGTGGTCATTGCCAAAACTCACTTTAAACATTTACTAGTCCCAAGAATCCTTGCTTTGATCACAGCACTTATCATGGTACATTGTAGTCATTTCACTGTTTCCCACTGAAACCAAGAGCTTCTTGAGGCAAGGGCCTAAAACCCTAAGACACAGTAGCAAATATTTTAAGTTTTTTACATTAATTAATGATCTAAATTACTATCTCTAAAGCAGTGTCTCTTAAACTATATTCCAAAGAATATTTGCTTTATCAGAAGTATTATACCGCAAGAGAAAGACTCCATGACCATCTGTATTTGAGAAGTATTACAAAACTGTATTTTATGTCCAATAATCAAGAAATCTCTTTAATTTCACCTAATCCCCTTTCACAATACTATTTGTGGCAAACATTAACATTTGAGGAATTAAGAGTTTCAGAGATACAGTTGCCAGAGCTTCCCAATACAGGTGGCAGTTCCCTCTGGGTGGTACAAACTTGCTTGATTCACTTCTATCAATGGTGTCAGGATCCCAGATGCCAATGTCAGGCACTCCTGCTCCAAATGGGTCACCATGGAAATGAGCTTTGAATTAAGACAGATTGGCTTCAAATGCATTTATTTTCCTTATTATTAAATAGTCCATGGGTTTTTCCCCTAATACAAGAGAAGAGATTTTTATCTTTACTGTTAGAAAGCTCAGTATATTCTGTGTAAGAGAGATAGGTTTAAAAAACTTAAGAGGAAATATTTTAAAAACCAAAACTCAGTAAGAAATACTATTCTCAATTATAATGGTAATCCCGGGACCCTAGTGCAGCTCTACTTTTTAAATCCATTTTTACTGGCTTCCACTTAAATGGCTACTTAAAATTATTTTTTATTTTAGACAAAATATAAATCGGAAATAAAAACATAATGGCTTATCAATAGAAGTTCTCATACTGATCCATATGGATTATTTCTGGCATAATACAAGCCAATAAGTCACTTGCATCCTTAAGGAAGAGCACTGAGGAGAAAGATGTACTGTCTGCAATATTCATAAATTATCCAACTATAACCAGGAATAACCTAAAAAGGCTTCTAGGCATTCTTATGGGCAGAGAATTATTTGTGGTATATATAAAGAAAAGAGTTAAAAACTTCTAAACTCTAAAATTCAACTCCATAACTGAGGGATTTATATACTCTATAGACTATATATTATAAACAAATACATGCTGACTTAAAAACCTTGAAATTTTTATCAAAATATACTATAACATAGGAGTTGTAAACTCAGATACTTACAAGGACAAAGGAAGGTTGCCTGAGTAAGGGAAGTACTAAGGTGGGCACAGTAGCAAACTGGAGAATACCTGCCTTCTATAAAGGGGCAACTTCTGCACAGCAGACCAAAGAATGATAGAAACTCAGGGGACACCAGATTTGACTTTTTAGGATATGCCTGAAGTCCACATTTCTTCACGAGTCTTCTAAATTTTACATGTTGATTCAACTTATAGAGGCAAACAAACAAATCTGTGTACCACATTAGAATATAGCCCTTGTTTTTTTTATATTCGCTATTAATGTGTTACTAAATGGTTGTGTATAATCCAAGTATTTGCATGTAAAATATTTTCTTTCTCTGGTATCATATGTTCTACCAAAAAATCAGGCTCTCATATATAATAAAAATTGCTAAAAAGACTCACAATACCTGCTTCAAGAATTTTTCCAACATGTATTCATTTAAAATATGTTTGTATATAATTTTCCCAGATTATTAACCAAATAGATAATTGGTTCACAAGACTGCTAAAACTAAATTATTAAAAGAATTCCTATCTATATTCTTATTAACTTCATGGATTTCAGTGTTTAAAACTGACATTTTGGGTATGCTAAAGTTCTATAAACTTAACAAACATACTGAGATAGTTCATAATAAAACTTCAACTAAAAAAAATAGTTTAGGATTTGCTATTCTAATTGAGAAAGCCAAACTTGTAATGAACATTTGTTGACACATAATCACCTGCGTGGTGACAAAGGGACATGAAATCATGAAAGGGTCAGCCTCTACCTATTGAAAGATTACTCATAAGCAAATTTCTGAAGACTCTCTGAATGGTAGTGAATGATTCATGGTGGGAAGCAAAACATGTTATTCTGTAAGCTGAGAGATATTGCCAATGATATTTCCTTTCACTTCCCAGTCACAGATGTAGAGAAAGACAGATAAGTCAGGCTAATATAATTGAAAAGGAGAACTCTGAAGGAAGTGGCAACTATCAAATGCCAACTCTTCTAGAGATTTCTTACATTTTTGAGATACAGAAATTTATATATTGCACTTATCTATTCTGGGGTTTTTAATCAAGAGTGTATCCCAACCTTGAAGGTTTTTTGTTTTTTTGTGGGTTTTTTTTTTTGGCTATTATTGTTGTTAGAGACAAGAGTCTCACTATGTTGCTCAAGCTGGATTCAAACTCTTAGGCTCAAGCTGGGACTACAGGAATACACCACTGTGCCCAGCTTCAAGAAAACATTTTTAAACACGTTCAGGCCTTAATAGGTCTATTACATCAAAATCTTCAGGGGAAAGCCTACAATTGTAGATTTTTAACAAAATGTCCTCAGGTCACTGTAATGCACAATTCTGAGAATCAGTGCAGCAGACAATCACTTCAGTCTCACCTCTCACCCACATGGCTAATTCCTTTATCAGTTGGAGATGTGGCCAAAAAGAGAAAAGAGTAAGAGATAGTGTCATTTATTAAAACTCCAGTTAAGTTTCCTGGCTATGGGTAGAACAGGGACAAGTAAACTCAAAATCCCACTTGATTTTGCTATTTACAAGCTCCTTATCTCCCACCTTCCCACTAAGACATTCTAGATTTGAGAGGAGGCTTTAGGTTCTTATCTAAGTGGCTGTTTCTGCCAGGATGAGCAATAAGTCAGTTAATAATTTGTTCCACCTTCTGCTGAAGTGTTTCTCACTTCGTCACCACATATTCACTGCCAATCTGGTTTCCTCAGAGTCCTCCTAAAATTCATCTCTAGGCAAGTTGCAATTCATTCTTTTTCAAACCAAAAATTATTAGACCCAAAGCTAAACAGCACCTTGTCTCAACACATAAAACAAACTTTAAAACAAAAAAAAAGTCTTCCTGGCATTTTCCCTCATTATCTAATATCCAAGTGACCTGCATATTTCTGATTGCTCTCTTTCTCCCCTCCCATTTTTCCCTCTTAAGCCTTGCCACTGAAAGATGATACATCAGTTTTTCAGAAAATTAGCAGCAACAGCAACATGTCCCTTTATTGTAAGTTGCTTTAGTTTTGTTTGAGTTTTAAGATAAAGCCTAATTCCGGGGAATATTTTCTTTCCTGTGTTGTTTTACATTAATTAAGAAAAAAAAAAAAAAAAAAGAATAAGCCTGTGTAGAAAAAAAGTTGAAAAGGTTTTACCTTTAACAAATTCACAAATATTTTCCAAAGTGCATTTTATAAAGCTGTGCCCTTTAATGCTTCTTTAAAAATATCAATATTTAAAATAAAATCTTAGACAATTAAGTTATTTCAAAATAACTTAATTTGTATTTGCATTCAGGGAATGGTTGAGCTTCCAAATATAAAAAATTGACCCTTACCTATGTCAATGTTAAAACAAATATTTTGGAAAGAAAGTTGATTGACCTATACCTTGTCCAGTGCTTCAATATGTGCACCATGGGAAAGCAGTTTTTCTGCCAGTGAGGTGCTCTCACTATACACGGCATAATGGAGAGCAGTGTTGCCGTAGATATCCTTAAGGTTTGGATTGGCGCCATGTTCCAGCAGAATAACGGCACAAGCCTCTTCCTGGCAATGGACAGCCTGTCCGTGTTAGACCAAGAAACAGACTGTAAATTCCAAGAATTCAAAATACACATTCCACAGGTTTCACCAACTAGTTATATGTAAATGAGATCAATTTATTTTAATTCTATATATGTAAATCAAATCCATGTCATGCTAAAAGAGTTGGCTCTAATATACCTGTATCAAAGGCGTTCTGTTTTCTTTGTCACAGACATCAATCTGGCATTTTCTGTTAACCAGGAGAGTGACCACTTGCACATGGCCACTGGCACAGGCCAAGTGTAGAGCAGTTCTATGAGAGTAAGAGGATTTTTTAAGAAACTGTAGTACAATATCTCAAAACATACAATCATTCATGTAATGTAAAAACTGAATAGCATGTTTTTCCTCTGCCTTCAAAACAAATAAATTTTTTGAAGAAAGTACAATACTTACTAGCTCTTATTGCTCACTGCCTTAATGAAAACAGCAGCCTATTTGAGTAGAAAGAGCTCAGTCTTTGGATTCGGTTCAACTAGGGCTTGAGTCCTACTTTAAGCCTTGACACTTACCAACTATTGCTTAGCCTTTCTGTACCTCAACTTCCTCATTAATAAAGATGACAATAGTAGCTATCTCATAGGACACCATCGTGATGCTTAAATGAGAAGCTATGTAAAGTATGTAGAACAGTTCCTACGACAACTCAATAATTGTAAGATTTTTGTTTTTTGAGACAAAGTCTCACTCTTTTGCCCAGGCTGGAGTGCAATGGTGTAACTATACCTGGAACTCCTGGGTCAAATGATCCTCCATCCCCAGCCTCCTGAGTAGCTGGGACTACAGATGAGCACCAGCATGCCCAGCTATTTATTTAAAAATTTTTGTAGAGTAAGAATCTCACTTTGTTGCCCAGGCTGGTCTCAAACTCCTGGCATCAAGCAATCCTCTCACCCCAGCCTCCCAAAGTTCTGGGATTACAGGTGTGAGCCACTGCACCCAGCCAGATATTATAATTATTACTATTACTACTACTTAACAAAACCATTTTAATTAGGTAGAATGATACAATTATACCTACTTTGCAAGATGACTTAACGAGTAGGTCACATTTTAACACCTCTGACATTGGAATGCCACTTATAATTCATGATTTGTTATAACTATAATTGGTAGCATTTTAAAAATTATCTTATTGATATATAAAATATCGGGGCATCACGCAATCCATGAGACCTTACATTAAGTAGAATATGGTATACTCAGCAGGTCTAGGGCAGTTCTAGGCATGTAACTGAAACTTAAATACATTTTAGTTCTTAAAGGTACTATGGGGAAAGAGCACTGAAATAACAATAATGCATTTTTTAAACAAATTAATTCTTTGATTTTCAAACAACTTGAAACCAAAGGAAACTCATGATTCAAATGAATACATATGGCTCATTGTATTCAATATTTATACTTAGAAAATATATGCAAATAAGACTTTCCAATGATTAATATTAGTATTTAAGACTGATAAACTTTCGAAAGAGCAGTTAAAGGTTATCTTCTACTATTTTCTAACTTCAGAAATGCTTTTGTTTGAAAGGTGGGAGATAAAGTTTCAAGGAGATTAAGTCCCAATATTCCTATTTTAAATCTCTCAGCTTGTGCAGGCAGGGCAGGTAAACATGAAGTGTTTAAGGATGGACGGGTCCTGAGAGATGATAGAATATGTCTGCTACATAGCAGGTACTCAGGTTATGCTTGATCCATAAATGGAATGAAAGAATGGATAAATACAGTTGGGGAGTTCATTATTTTTAAATAAACTCCTATAAAGCAATATTTTTGCAATAGTAATTATTTATATGTGTTGTTTTATTTTTAAAGAACACAATTAAAATGAAATGATTATGTTTGCATAAATGGAATGAGTATATAAGCAAAACATATGTACATAATAAAATATATAGATAATAAAATCTGGAAACAGATAAAAACATTCCTTTTTTACTTCTGAAGAGGCTAAAAGCTCAAAGAAGATAACAACACACACAATAATGACAAAAAATAGAAAGTGAGAAATTATTTTCATCAGCGCAAGATTCATATTCCTCTCTTCCCAAGGATTAGTCCATTAATAATAAACTTTTACTAGAAGTTTTGTACTCACTGCAGCAATCACAGATAAGAAAAAGGAAAAAAACTTTACTTAAAATACAAATGCTCAGAAATTACAAATTTTATATTTTGTACATATTTTTGCTAAAACAAGACCATAGTATGTTTGTGTATGTATAATTTAACTAATTTTTTCTCCTTGCTAGCTATAACAAAATACATCTTTGCACATCAACGTACTTCTGTATCTACTGCCACCTTCAGTGGTCACATATTATTCCATCCTATGGATGCAACTGAAATTTATTTATAGGATCCATTCTATGGGTTCTCTTTAAAGTAAGTACTGTGAAAAATAAAGTGCATGTATCTTTATTTCCTAAGGGTATTTTAGTATAATGGAATTGGTGGGTAAAGGGCATACACATTTTTTAAATGTAGTACTTACCATTTTCAAATGAGTACTTTGAAAAGTAATCAGCAACTTTAAGCAGCAGTATAAAACATCCTCACAAATATTGTGGATAGAAAACTGTTTCATTCCTCTTTTAGTTTAAATTCTTATACCAGAAATGCGAAGGATTTTTTCCTATGTATATAAGTAACTTGTAGATCTGGAAAAAGGTACTTTGCCCACTTTTAGAGTGTTTGATGATTTGATTTGAAAGAATTTCCTGTAAAATGAAGAGGTACTTTTCATCTAATGTGTATATATAACTGATATATATAACATATTATATGTGTTATATATGTATACATATCAGTAATATATATATATCTTATGATATATAATAAACAACATAGGCCAGGCGCGGTGGCTCACACCTGTAATCCCAGCGCTTTGGGAGGCGGAGGCGGGCAGATGACTTGAGGTCAGGAGTTCGAGACCAGCCTGGCCAACGTGGTGAAACTATACAAAAATTAGCCAGGCATGCTGGCACCTGCCTGCAATCCCAGCTACTTGGGAGGCTGAGGTAGGAAAATTGCTTGAACCCGGCAGGCAGAGGTTGCAGTGAGCCAAGATTGTGCCATTGGACACCAGCCTGGGCAAAGAAGCGAGACTCCGACTCAAAAAAAAAAAAAAGAATATAATGAATTCCCTATAAAATGAAAACATACTTTTCATCTGAAAATATATATATATATATAATATAGTAAATATTTTTCAAGTAAGCTCTCTTATCTGAGAACTTTTCGCCCACTGAAACAACTCACGGTTATTTTTGATAGGGGAACAAGTACTCTCATTAGGCACCTCCTATAATGTATATAAACCATATTTTAAACGTGTACGTTAAAAATAACAACGCTGTATATGCTTAACTTTGTGAGTTAAATCACTCAAATTCTCCAACTGCTCCAGCCAGGGAATTATGAGGGATGGAAAACAGCTGAGAGTCCGTTTGGCTCCGCCGCTCCGAGGGTGCCCGGCGCCCTGCACGGCCCCGTCCCAGGGTCTGCGGGGAAGCCGGGCCTGGGGGCCCCCTCCCACCCCGGGCTGAGCCCCCGCTACCTGTGCTGCTTGTCCAGGGCGTCCAGTTCTCCGCTCCTGCGCGCCAAGCAGCGCTCCACCTCCGCGGCGTCGCCTTTGACAGCTGCCCTGTGGATCTTCTGCAGTTCGGAGTCCCGGATTCGGTATCCGGAACCCGTGTAGACGTGGTCTATGGAGCCCTGGGCCGTCTGGCCCCTGCGGCTCCCGAAGCCGAATAACTTCATATTGGTGACTTCTTCTCAGACCCCCAACCACCGGCTCTTGAGCGAGGGCAGCTCCCTGTCACCTTTTCACCACCCCCCTCCCCGACCCCGGCCGACCCAGCCCCAAATCCCCTATCCAACCCCAAAGCCCCGATCCAACCCCAACTCCGCTATTTCAAATCTATAATCTACTCCACAATCCGCGATCCAGCCCGGTCCACCACAGCCTTCAGCAGCGACACTCGCAGCCTCCGACCTCTCAGACCGAGTGAGCCTCGCAAAGCCGTTGGGCGCGCGCCTGCACGGCAGTTGCTGCCGGGCTCCCAGAAGACGCTCCCTGGCGGCGCGCGCCTGCACCGCGGTTGCTGCCGGGCTCCCGGAAGACGCTCCCTAGCGGCGCGCGCCAGCAGGTGGGGCTGCAGCTCTGGGCGTGCGCCGATGGGCTCGCCGGTTCTCCTGGGATCGCCCGGGCGGCCCCAGGATCGCAGGCGCGCAGCCAGCCCGGCCTGAGAAGGAGGGCCTGTCTGGCCTTGCAGCCCGCCCCGCTCCTCCTCGGAAGGGAGATACGGTGCTGGCAAGGGCACTCCGCGGCCACCTGAGTGGCTTCGCGGATTGGCTGAACGCTGAGGCTCTGGCCCTGAAGTCTGTGTGGCTAGTGTCAGGTAGCTGGAGAGGGATGGAGGCAGAGTCAGGGGCTGCTCCTTCCCCCACCCGCCCTCACTGCTGCCAGTGCCACACGCGCGGTTTGCAGCTGCAGATCTGGCACTGGCGCAGGATGGCGGAGCTTCCTTTGGATGGCCTCAGGGCCGCAGAGCGCACAGCCCACCTGGCCTCAAGGTCCGCTCCTCTTGGACATCTTTCTGGATCCTGGGCCCTGGCGCTGGGCACTCTGTGTCCACACGGATGAAACAGCGGCTGCTGGCGGGGCCGGTTGCCTGATTTTGCTGCCTGGGGGTCTGGCCTCAGGATCCACGCTACTGCGGGGCGGGCCTGGTCTGGAGTGTCCAGTCACTTGCTGCCGGTGCACCACGTCTAGACTGCAGCTGCGGCTCCGATGCCGGCGTGAGCTGGCGGGCCTGGTACCTGATGTCCTCAGGGTCAAGTGCATCGCCCTCCCACTTGAGAGGTTGCTCTGACTTGTCCTCCTTCAAGAACGCAGGGGCCGCCGGGACTGGCTCTTCGTGGTAACCGGGATGGTACCGAGCAGCAGGTTTTCACCCTGGTGCCACTGCTCTGCGGACTGCCTGACTTGGGCGCCCAGGCACCCGCCCCAGGGTCCGCGCGGCAGGTGTGCAGGTAGGGTGAGTGGCGCGGAGGGTCGGGGGTTGCTCCGTCATCTCTGCCCGTGTGCAACTTGCAGTTTTGCAGTTTTCTGCAGCAGCTGAGGCGCTGGCGCGGGAAGGCGGAGCTCCCCTGGATGGCGTCAAGTTTGCGGGCACAGAGCACAGCCCACCAGGCCTGAAGGTCCGCTCAGGGGCCATAGTGGTTGAGTTCTCTGTGGAACTGGGATGGGGTGAACAGCCAGTTCCCGTCCTTTGGCCGCCTGGCCAACTGCCAGACTTAACCGCTGCCGCCCAGGCATCTGTCTCTAGCGTTGCCACTACTTGGGTAGAAGTGGGGGTCGAGGTGGGGCGTGGAGCGTCACCGGTTGCCAGGCCAGCACTGTCTTTGCAACATATTCAGATGGCGGCGGGCAGCTCGGGCGCCAGCATGGGCTGGCGGGGCTCCCCTGGACGGCCCTCAGGTCGCTCACAGCATTGTCCCAGGACTTCCTCGGCCTGTGCCAGGTGGGCAAGGTACGGGGGTAGCTTCCAAGGCTTCTATCCCAACTCTACCTATTTCTACCTATTTTCTCTTGAGTTATTTTGCCTTTATCTCAGTTTTATTTGCAAAAATAGTATACGCAAAATACATCGAGTGAATGCACATCAGGCATATAGAAGATCTGGCAGAAACATGTTTTCTCCTGCCCATTTCCAGTCAGTATTTGAACACAGAGGCTTCCACGGTTTTGATTCTTTCCACAAAAGGTTAGTTTTGTCTGTTTTCACCATTTATGTAAGTGAAACTATAAATTATATAATTTTTATGTTCACTCACTAAACATGCTTGTGACACATCATTTTGCTCCTACTGATTATTCATTATTTTGTAATATTCAATTTTATGACTGTACCACAGGTTTGAGGCCTTTGCTTGTTTTGTTTTTAATCCATTCCACTATTGATAGACACAAAAGCAGTTTCCGATTTGAGGCTATCATGAATAAACCTGCTACGAACAAATCAGATATACATATTTTTTTCTGTAATAATATTTTCACTTTTCTTGAGTTTAAGTACATAAGAGTGGATTTTCTGGGTTATAAAATAAGTATATATTTGGCATTGTATGAAATGGGGAGACATTTTCCTAAGTGGTTATGCCATCTTAAACTACAATGAAAATGAGAGAATCAGTTCCACTTTCTAACCAATACTTGATGCTGTCAGTTGTTTTAGTATTATCCATTCTTATGGGATATAACTGCTGAGTAGCTGTCTGCCTTCTCCCATAACACAGAAAATTGAGGGCCCAGAGGACAGTTTTATTTTCATATTTGACATCTTCTATTATTTTTTATAGAAGGATGATTTCAGTAGTAAAATTTTCTTTCAATTTTCTAGGTTGTCTCTGATTCTTACTGGGGTTCCTTGTCCTAAACCACATTCAGAAATTTTCACGACCGACTTCTTATCTTTGTCATACCAGGCCAATGAGGGACAGCATTCCTGAGACTTTTTAAGTACTTTGTGTGTGTGTGATGGTCTAATAATCATAGCCTTAAAACTTTCTGGCTGGGCATGGTGGCTCACACCTGTAATCCCAGCACTTCAAGAGGCCGAAGCGGGTGGATCACCTGAGGTTGGGAGTTCGAGACCAGCCTGACCAACGTGGAGAAACCCCAACTCTACTAAAAATAAAAAATTAGCTGAGCATGGTGGCACATGCCTGTAATCCCAGCTACTTGGGAGGCAGGAGCTACTTGGGCTGATGCAGGAGAATTGCTTGAACCCATGAAGTGGAGGTTGCAGTTAGCCAAGATCACACCATTGCACTCCAGCCTGGGCAACAAGAGTGAAATTCTGTCTCAAAAAAAAAAAAAAAAAAAAAAAGAATCTCACACTTCTGGGAGACACTGAATTCGTGAATGTGTACAGCATATCACAATAACTTTTCTTTGAGACCAAGTCTCACTCTGCTGCCCAAGCTGGAGTGCAGTGGCCCATCTCAGCTCACTGCAACCTCTGCCTCCCGGATTCAAGCAATTCTCCTGTCTTGGCCTCCCGAGTAGCTGGGATTACAGGTGCTGCAACCATGCCTGGCTAATTTTTGTATTTTTAGTAGAGACAGGGTTTCACATATTGGCCAGGCTGGTCTCGAACTCCTCACCTCAGATGATCTACCTGCCTCGGCCTCTCGAAGTGCTGGAATTACAGGTGTGAGCCACCATGCCCAGCCAGAAAGTTTTAAGGCTATGATTATTAGACCATCACACGAAGTACTTAAAAAGTCTCAGGAATGCTGTCCCTCATTGGGACCACAACACCCAGATAATTTTTTTTTTTTTGTAGAAAGAGGAGCCTTGCTATGTTGCCCAAGGTGGCCTCAAACTCCCACCCTCAAGAGATCTGCCCATCTCGACAACCAGAGTAACTGGTTCTACAGGAAAATACCACTATCCCATGATAATTATATTTTATTAATTTTTATTTGCATAGACAGGAGGTCTTGCTATGTTGCCCAGGGTGGTCTCAGACTCCTGGACTTGAACAATTCTCCCATCTGTGCCATCTGTGCCTCCCAAAGTGCTGACGCCACAGGCATAAGCCACTGCACCTGGCCCGACTTAAGATGTCTTTAATCTAGCATCCCATACTTCATATAATCAGGAAAAGCAGTAGTGTTTCTTTTTTTTAATTACTTAGTATCTCAACAAGAATCAACCATCTCTCACCATTGCCAGGACCCTGGTCAGAACCACTATCATCTCCCACCTGGATGTTGCCACAGCTTGGCCTCCGTGCTTCTACCCAAATCTTCCCACAATCTTTCTCAACTCAGCCACCATGGGATGCTTTTAAATCAATAGACAGTTCGTGTCACCTCTCTGCTCAGAACCCTTCCGCATGTCCCATCTCAGACAGCATAAAAGCCAAAGCCCCAGCAATAGCCTCCCAGGGCTTGCACAATCTGTACTGATCTGAGTCCCACAACTCCCTGGCCTCCTCCCCTACCTTCTCTCCCCCTCTCTGCTCGACAATCCTCTTTCCTGAGCTTCAGACACACCACGGAGTTCCCTCTTAGCATCTTTATTCTGTTGTTTCTGCCTATAATGCTCTTCCCTCAGTACCTTGGCCAGCTCCTTCCCCTCCTTCAAGTCTTTGCTCAATTTTCACTTAGGAGGCCAACCCTGACCACTCTATTTAATATTGCTATGTGTCCCCATTCCTGCCATGCTCACTCATTTCTTTTTACTTTTTTTTTAAGATATAATCTCGCTGTGTCACTCAGGCTGGGGCACCATGGCACGATCACAACACACTGAGACCTGGAACTCCTAGGTCAAGAAATCGTCCTGCCTCAGCGCCTCTAGTAGCTAAGACTACAAGTGCATGCCACTACACCCGCTAATTTTTTTTTCCCATGTAGACAGGGTATCACTTTGTTGCCCAGGCTTATCTTGAACTCCTGGGCCAGAGCAACCATCCTGCCTCAGCCTCCTAAATAGCTGGAATTATAGGTGTGGGCCACTACCCCTGGCTTCATGTTCATTTCTTCTTGCTGCTGTTACAAACTACCTTACGTTGAGTGGCTTAATACACCACAAATCTACTACCTAACAGGTCTGGGGGCCAGAAGTCCAAAATAGGTCTATTAAGGCTAAAGTCAAGGTGTCAGCAGGACTGCATCCCTTCTGGAGGTTCCAGAGAGAAGGTGTTCCCTTGCCTTTCCCAGTTCCAAAAGCCACCCCTATTCTTTGCCTCATGGCCCCTAAATGCATCTTCAAAGCCAGAAGCAAAGCATATTCAAATCTCCCTCTGTGACCTGTGCTTCCATCATCAAATCTCCTTCAATTCTGACTCTCTTACCTCCCTCTTTCACTTATAAAGACCTCTTGTGATTGCTGGACACAGAGGCCGGGGCTCACAACCATAATCCCAACAGTTTAGGAGGTCAAAGCAGGAGAAATGCTTGAGGCCAGAAGTTCGGGACCAGCCTGGGAAACACAGTGAGACCCCCCCCCTCAATTAAACAACAAAAAGAAATAAGAGAAAATTAGCTGGGCATGGTGGTATGCATCTGTAGTTTCAGCTACTTGAGAGGCTGTGGTGAAAGGATTGCTTTAGCCCCAGAGTTCAAGACCAGCCTCGGCAATATAACAAGATCCCATCTCTACAAAAAAATACAAAAATCAGCTGGGCATGGATGGTGTGCACCTGTAGTCCCAGATGCTTGGAAGGCTGAGGCGGGAGAATTGCTTGAGCCCAGGTGGTTGAGGCTGCAGTTAGCTACGACTGCATCATTGCACTCCAGATTGGGTGAAACAGAGACACTTGTGTTCAAAAGAAAAAGAAAAGAAATACACATTTGGTTTCTGCCCCTCGTCCTGGCACAGAGCTTCTCAAGTTCTTATAAAGGCCTTGGTGATAAAGGTGATAGGAGCATCTTTTGTTTGAATATTTGGTCTTAGTCCCAGGTTTCTAACACAAGAGCCTCTAAGACCTTTGGGATCACCATAGTAAGAATGCATTTGGTGATGTTACTGATTTGACTGGGTGACTGAAAGCTCCTAGACAGCTTAAGAAAAAGGGCTGGTTGCCAGAAGAACAAACCATGTGATTAGAGGCTTGGAACTGTCAGCCTCACCCACTGGGCTCCACGAAGAAATAGTGGCCGAAGACTGACTTAATCACCAATAGTCAATGATTTCATCTATCATGCCTGCTTAAAGAAGCCTTCATAAATGACCTCAACAACCAGATTTGGAGAATGCCTGGGTTGCTGAACACAAGGGAGATAGCAGGAAGGTAACACGCGCAATAGAGAGCATGGAAGTTCTGCAGCCCTCCCGACCTCCCGACACACCTTGCCCTGTGGTTTTTTTTTTTTTTTTGAAACAGGGTCTGGCTCTGTCCCCCAGCCTAGAGTGCCGTGGCACAATCGTGGCTCACTGCGACCTATGCCTCCCTAGCTCAAGCCCCATCTCTCATCCTCTCACCTCAGCCTCCTGAGTAACTAGAATTATAGGCACTGAGTAGCTAGAACTATAGATCACTGCACCTGGCTAATTTTTAGAAAAACCTTTTTGTAGAGATGCGTTTTCACCGTGTTACCCAGGCTGGTCTTAATCTCCTGAGCACTTAAGCGATGCTCCCGCCTCAGTCTCCCAAAGAGCTGAAATTACAGGCATGAGCCACTGTGCCCAGCATGTACATCTCTTTCACCGGCTGTTTCTGAGATATAGCCTTTAAAATGAACCAGTAAAAGAAAGTAAATTGGTGAGATGCAGTGGCTCACACCCATAATCCCAGCATTTTGTGAAGTTGAGGTGGGAGGATCATGTGAGCCCAGAAATTTGAGACCAGCCTGGGCAACATAACAAGACCCCTTCTCTACAAAAAATAAAAAAACTTAGCCAGATATGCTGGTGCGGGCCTGTAGTCTCAGCTATTTGGGAGGCTGAGGTGGGAGGATCACTTGAGCCCAGGAGTCCCATGCTACAGTGAGCTTTGATCACACCACTGCATTCCAGTCTGGCAATAGACTGAGACCCTGTATCTCAGAAAAAAAAAAAAACAACCTGTTTTTCTGAGTTCTGCAAGCTGTCCGAGCAAATGATTCCACCCAGCAATGGGGTCATGAAACCCTGTTTTCTAACTGGTCGGTCAAAACTACATGTAACAACCCAAGAGTTGCAATTGGCATGTGGAGTGAGGGTAGACTCCTGGGACTGAGACCCCATCCTGCGGGGTCTGCACTAACTCCAGGGAGTGTCAGGATGGAATTGTGGGATACCCAGTTGGGATCCAGATTGTCTGAAAATCAGTGTAGAAACTCCACATGCACATTTGGTTAGAGGTGTTTAACCATAACTACTATTCACGAAAAAGGTCTACTCATTACAACTGAAAATCATAAAATTGTAAGTTCTACAAAAATAAATCAACCTTATCTACTGCCCAGTCCTACCAAACTACAGAATGTGAGAACAGAAGGTCTGACCGTGGACTCGAGAGCTGACATTAGGAATGTCACCACCATCCTGCTCTCCAAGGACTCCTCATCTTCAACAAACTCCTCATCTTCAATGGGCAGGGTGGAAACTGCAACTTGTGCCATGATCCTTGCACAAGAAAAGTAGTAAGAAAGTGAGTGGTAGAAATCCAGTGTCCTAAACTCACATCCAGAGCTGTGAGAGTTTTTCACCGGCTGGATAATTCACAGTTTTCTTGAATCAGGGGAAAAATAAGACTCAGAAACTAGGAATTCGTTTTGCCCAAAACTCTCATCAGATAGAGAATCCATCCACTAACTTTCTATCTAGTATTATTTCCATAAGTTAGATCAGTATCACTCCCAAATGCACATGGCACCCAGAATCTGCGCATTTCTCCCAAGTAAAAGAGGAGGTGGATGGGCGCAGTGTCTCATGCCTGTAACCCCAGCACTTTCGGAGGCCAAGGTGGGTGGATCACTTGAGGTCAGGAGTTCAACACCAGCCTGGCCAACATGGTGATACCGTCTCTACTAAAAATAAAAAAAATTAGCCAGGTGTGGTGGCACGTGCCTATAGTCCCAGCTTCTTGGGAGGCTGAGGCAGGAGAATCGCTTGAACCCAGGAGGCTGAGGTTGCAGTGAGCAGAGATCTCAGCACTGCACCTGAGCCTGGGTGACAGAGTGAGACTCTGTCTCAAAAAAAAAGGGGGGGGGGAGGAGGCAATGCACTTTACAACCCAGTGATGGGCTACCACAACTCAACACAGCAAAGAGGTGCCAAGCTCCCTTTCTCCCCTGCACAACCCGACACAGAAGAGTTGGTGCAGTGGAATGAGGTTGAATGGAGAGAAGTTCCTCTTCTTTCCTTTTTTTTTTTTTTTTTTTGAGATGGAATCTCACTCTATCACACAGGCTGGGTGCAGTGGCACAATCTCGGTCACTGCAACCTCCGCCTCCCAGGTTCAACCAATTCCCTGCCTCAGCCTTCCGAGTAGCTGGGATTAGAGGTGCCCGCCACCACACCCAGCTAATTTTTGTTTGTTTGTTTAGTAGAGACTGGGTTTCACTATGTTGGCCAGGCTGGTCTTGAACTCCTGACCTTGTGATCCACCTGCCTCGGCCTCCCAAAGTGCTGGGATTACAGGCATGAGCTGCTGCGCCCAGCCGAGAAGTTCCTCTTCTTACTGAGAAAATGGATCACAGGGCATCAAGTAACACATAAAATTCTTTATAATAAGCAGTATTATTTTTGGAAAACCTTTCCTAATATTTTGGTATCAGCAAAAACCCTCAGATTAATTTCAAACACTATAAAAATACAGTACATAAACAGAAAATATTAACTGTCAGCAATGCTATAGAGAAATTGGAAGCTGTATGCATTGCCTTTTGGAATGTAAAATGGTACAGCCCACTGTGGAAAATGGTTTAGCAGCTCCTTAAAAATATTAAGCACAGAATTATATGATCCACCAACACCCTTTAAGTGTATATACCCAAAATAACTGAGAGCAGGGACTCAAACAGGTATTTGTACACCCGTTTAACAGCAGCATTATTCACAGTGGCCAAAAGGTAGAACCAACCCTAATGCCCATCAGTAGGTGAATGGATAAAGAAAATGTAATATATACATACACAGAGTATTATTCAGCCATAAAAAGAAAAATATCTGGCCAGATTCAGGGGCTTACACCTGTAATCCCAGTATTTTGGGAGGCCAAGGTGGGCAGGTCTCTTGAGCCCCAAATTTTGAGACCAGGCTGGACAACATGGCACATTTGGTCAGAAGTGTTTGACCATAACTACTATTCAAGAAAAAGATCTACTCATTAGAACTATAAATCATAAAATTATAAATTCTACAAAAACAAATCAACCTTATCTACCACCCAGTACTACCCAATTACAGAATGTTAGAACGGAAGGTCTCACCATGGACTCAAGAGCTGATATGAGCAATGTCACCACCATCCTGTTCTCTGCGGACTCATCTTCAACAGACTCATCTTCAACGGACTCCTCATCTGCCATGGACTCCTCATCTTCAATGGGCAGGGTGGAAACTGCAGCTTGTGCCATGATCCCTGTGCAAGAAAAGTAGTAAGAAATTGAATGGTAGAAATCCAGTATCCTAAACTCACATCCAGAGCTGTGAGAGTTTTTCACTGGCTGGCAAATTGTTTTTTTGCATCAGAGAAAAAAACAAAACTTGGTAACTTGGTATTCGATTTGCCCAAAACTCTCATCAGATAGAAAGTTAGGGGATGAATTCTCTATCTAGTATTATTTCCATGAAGTTAGATGAATATCACTCCCAAAATAAATCCACGTGGCAACCAGAATCAGTGCATTTCTCCCAAGAGGAGGTGGCCAAGCTCCCACATCTGTAATCCCAGCATGTTGGGAGGCCGAGGTGGGTGGATCAGGAGGTCAAAAGATTGAGACCATCCTGGCCAACATGGTGAAACCCTGGTCTCTACCAAAAATACAAAAAATAGCTGGATGTGGTGGTCTGTGCCTATAATCCCAGCTACTTAGGAGGCTGAGGCAGGAGAATCACTTGAACCAGGGAGTCAGAGGTTGCAGTGAGCCGAGATCGTGCCACTGCACTCTAGCCTGGTGACAGAGCAAGACTTCATCTAAAAAAAAAAAAAGAAAAAAACAGTAAAATACAAAATGTCTTTTTCTCCTAACCTTCTTAGCCTTCTGCTGGTACTTCAATTTCTGCTGGTACTGTTTGGTCATTGCCCTCTAAAGAATGATGGCTTCCTAAAAAGAAAACAAACAACATATAAACCAATAAAAACTCACATTGAAAGATAAAAAATAATCTAGGTGACGATGCAAGCACTTTTAAGACATAATAGGCCAGGTGCAGTGGCTCACACCTGTAAACCCAGCAGTTTGGGAGGCTGAGGAGGGCGGATCACCTGAGTTCAGGAGTTCGAGACCAGCCTGGGCCAACATGGTGAAACCTCATATCTACTAAAATACAAGAAATCAGCCAGGCGTGGTGGCGGGGGCCTGTAATCCCACCTACTCGGGAGGCTGAGGCAGGAGAATCACTTGAACCCAGGAGACGGAGGTTGCAGTGAGCTGAGATCGCGCCGCTGCACTCCAGCCTGGGTGACGAGAGTGAAACTCCATCTCAGGAAAAAAAAAAAAGACATAATAAACATAAAATATGATTCTATTAACTCTATTAATCCAAATAACATTTTCTAATTCAGAAGAAATATATAACATGTCTATTTGGTAGCTTAAAAACATTCTTTTAAAATACAAATACAGTAGACCCAAGTAGGCTTGGGGACTTAATATTAGTTACTCTAGCTACATGATAAAATTACTGGATATTGGAATCTGAAGCAGCACAATTATGCTTCAAGTACCATGCTCATCTGTCACTGACACACACACACAAGTGTGAATGCCTGCTTTGCTCAATTAACTCTGTAAATAAGTTCAGGATTTGCTGTGGAATGTTCCCTGCTTTCCATTTTCACTATGGTGAAAGTTATGGAAACTCGATCCCCATAATTTAAGCAAAGTTGTACTTAAAGTAACTCATATGTAAAAATTTAAGATACTACCTTTAGTGTCAAAAACATTTTAATCCAAGTAACGTAATCTGCCTGCTTCTAAAAACTGGCATATAAAGCAACAGATCTGTTAGGCAGTCACAAGGTAAACAGGCTCATCCTACTGGAGCAGAAGTTTTACTCACAAATATGAAAGAAATAATCTAAAATATCAGAGTGCCACTTAGGATTAAGACCACAAACTGCCCCCAGTACACATCCTCTGTCCTTAAAGATCTGAGCTACTAACATGGAAAAGATTGAAAAACACTGTCTTCAAGTATAAATAAAAATATATTACATTTCGGTAAGAATACATTGTTTAGGGGGAAGGGAAGCAGATGCTCATCTATTTTGTCCTATCTATTGATAACTAAATTCAGAAGCTGTACTAAAAGTCAAACAAAAGTTATAAATACATCTCAATTTTTAAAGAGCAATGATTACAGTCAGAAAAACTCATTTGGTGGCTAGTATTCTTGAATTAAAAGTGCCATACCAAAGTGAAATCTTTTTGGTTTTCAACACCTAGCTTTTTCATGTCACAATTATTTTGGGATTCTTTTCCACTTACTGCATATTGTGAAAACTCACCTGAACTCAAAACTCTAGGTAAATCTATAAACCTGTAACTCAGAATCCACCTTTAATTCATTTGTAAAATACACTTTCTCTGCACACATTTCCTCTCTCTTCTTTTAACCGTAATATTTGGATTTAGGGAGCATCAAGTTCCTTGACTGTAAAGTCAATGAAAAAAGAGATATGAAGTCAAAAGAATGGGAGATAATGAACAAGAGGCCAGTAGTTAAAAAGTAAAATTTCAATAAAGAATAACAGTTAAGATGGTCGTTCATGTTATTACCCAAACACTAGGGGTTTCGTCCAGGTCCTCCTGCTCATCGGAGAAAAAGCCAGTCACTGAGGTGACAAGTACTGCCAAGGAAGAAAGCTTTAACCTGGTGCTGCGGCCCAGGAGCTGGGAGCTCAGTCTCAAATCCATGGGCTTGACTAATAGGGGCAGGAAAAAAATTTAACAATGTATAAGAGAACAGAAATTAGGGAGGGGCAGGAGGCATGTGGTGCTGTGATCTGGTATGTTTCAGTTATCTGATACTTCCTGAAGGTCTTTTTTTGAGGAGAGAACTCAGATACAACAGATCCAAGTTTCAAGCTTTAACAGCAGGGTCAATTTTGACGTTCATCCAAAAAAAACCCATCCATTGGGACAACAGGGCCGGTGTCAATGTAAGCAATGATTCTGTAGTTCCTCTTTGTTCTTTCAAAATCTAAAATAAACAATTGAATTTATATTATATGCTAAATCTAAAGAAAATACATCTTGTTGTACTTGAGGCCAGAAGAGATAGAAGTAAGGCAGTCAAGTTTGGGAACATTATAAAAAATTCAAAAAAAGTAATAAATGCATAAAACTTACAGAGTAACAAGTGCTATTTCAGAATTCTTCTAAATACTAAGTATTCACATGACCTTATCAATATTTGCATTACTAACCATACAATAAGAACCTGACTTCTGACTGTTCTGAGATAAGGGATAAATGTGTACTTTACCTTAAATGGGAAAGTGCATCATGTACCCACTTCGAGATTCACAACAGGGAAAACTGATTTGAAAAATTGTTGCTTGTGAAGTTCATTTATATGTTAAAAAAAGGCCAATACATTTTCCCTTTTCCACATAGAAAAGGAACACTATACTTATAAATACTAAAACACAGTCTGTGGAATACAAGGAACCAATAGAAACAGTATGTAGGAAAATGGAAGTGAAAAGATTATACATTGCAAAGACTTCAGTAGAAGGAGTTTTTCATCAACATCATCAGTTTCAGAAGGGCCTGCTTTGGGATACAAAGACAATACTTCAACAGTAACTCCCCCAAGCCAGACGCAGCGACTTATGCCTGTAATCCCAGTAATTTGGGAGGCCAAGGCAGGCAGTGAGGTCTGGAGTTCAAGACAAACCTGGCCAACAGGGTGATACACCGTCTCTACCAAAAAATACAAAAATTAACCAGGTGTAGTGGCATGCACCTATACAGTCCCAGCTATATGGGAGGCTGAGGCAAATGTACTCATTTTTTCATTCCTGCACCCAAGAAACTGCAACCAATCTACTCTGTTAAGAGCAGAGATAAAGGGTTTAGACTCCATATTACATGTGAAATAGAAGAAATGAATCAGTTTAGTATGAACTTGTATGCACTTTTGGAGAGGAAAGTAGGTCAAGAAGCCATTAAGATACATGAAGGAAGGTCAAATCTTAAAGAAAACTAGAAATTCAGATTTATTTACATAGCTCTAGAAGGAAGAACCAGGAATAGTGGAGAATGAATGTAGAAAACATTTTTAGTGAATGAAAGCATGAGATGATAACACAAGCAGCCACCAATGGAACAAACTGATGTGCAACAGCGGATTTGCCGTCACTGAAGCTATCCAGTCTCCAACTGTTGCAGGTATTACAGAGCTATCGAGAGTTTTAGTAGGCGGCTGGGGTTCCTTTCAGATCTGACATGGCATGATGCCAAAATGCTGTACATGCTCTCATCTTTTTCTGGCTCATTTTTTTTCTCTCTTCAGGTTTCTTAACCTTTTATCTACTTCCCTCTATTAATAATCACCTAAACCATACACTCAGTCTTCTGGAGTAAATTTCTTTATCTTTCACTTCACAAATAAACATCTTTGATGGATGAAAACACCGCAGGAAAGCCACCTAAGCAGATATGACTTCTCAACTTTTTTTTTTAAGTGATTTCCATTCATCACTAATTCCAAACAAAACAATTACAAACTATCATAAAATTATTAGAAAGTGAAAATGGGAAGCATTGGTTAAATATGTGTTTAGTATGCTTCACCATGTCCTCAAACATATTTAAAAAGTTAATCCACACTTCTTTAAGTGCATTGGGGGACTTGCTTTAGATTAAGAAATATGTTAACTATTTCAGGACACTAAGGACCTTACAAATCTGAATTAGCTCAGATTGGCTGCTATCTCCTCAATTATTTTCTGATAAATAAGAAACAAACAGTAAATAGCAACTTGCAGAAAATCTACCAGTAGTACACAAGGGCAGCCAAACTTCAAAATTCTTGCCACTCAAACTCTAGACGGTTACTATTTACTAAAATGTAAATAATAAAAAGACTTTTCTCAATCTTGTCCTCCAGAAAGAAAAGCCATAAAGTTCAAACACTAACCAAAAAAAGGGTAAGGAGAAACGTTTATATATTGGCGTTCCTTTTATTAGTGTCTTCACATACAACACTCCTCAATTTTAAACACCGCTTTCTTTCAGAAGACAAAACCAAGACAAAATGGTAGAAATCAAAGGGTTACAGACTTTGATTTAAAAGGCATAACCTTTTCAAAAATGAAAGCTATCGATGGATCACTTCTGAGAAGAAATTCCCTGGCACTAGGATAGAGGTTGGAAAACCATCTTTCCAGGTGCTCTAAAATAGAATCCTCTCATAGTGCAAGAGTCCTTCTAATTCTAGGGGTCTAGGATTATTTTTATTATTATTGTTACCTTTCCCGTTCTGGAAAATCCTCAAGACTCTGTCTTGTAAATGTCACCAACCCAGTAGGTTCTACAGAAGCAATAAAAGAAAAACATACCCAAAATAAGTTTCAATTTTGAAAACATTATACACACACACGTGCACGCGCGCGCACACACACTCGATAAAAGAATAGGTCTAACATTGACTATAAAACTAACCAGGAAATACAAAGCCTAGCATTGGAAAATAACAGAATATTGATTGAAAATATTATCCTTACAGTAGAAACTCCTATAAAACAGTAAGACTTCACTAAACGAAACTATACAAATAACAGCACAACAGTAGGATTTGAGTGCTGGTACTTTTTGGTAAAGTTTTGAAGCTGAATACACTTTTAAAAACAAAACCATTGAAAAAAAGGATGTATAACTGGTACAGCTTATGCAGTAAAGACAAAACTGAATTCAAATTTGTAGACTCCTTTACAAAGAAAGGACTTAACCCTACATTCAAAGACTGGTGAATAAAGACACATTTATGTACTTTGTAGTAAAGTGAAATGCCACAGCTTTAAAAAGAAAATCATTTGCACATCCTCTGAAGTTAGTAAAGCTAAGTTTCAGGCTTAGATAGTGGGCAATCACTCTACTTGTTAGTAGCAGTCTTAGCCAGAGAAGAAATTACTGGTTCTAAGAGTTTACAGAATAAAGATGACATATTTTTCAAGAAGCAATACATTTGGGAGGATCAAAATGGAGTAGTATTAATGTAGTCAATAATTTTAAGAGGATGAGATCCTTTTCTAGTCAGATTTATTTATTTTTTAAAGCTAGTAGCAAAAGAAACAAATATATCAGCTGGCCAGAAGTAATTTGTCTGACTCAAATCAAAGAGCAAACTAAAAAGGCTATGCCATTTCTGTTTTCTTGAATAGAAAAAAGCTCTTAAGGAAAGAGAGAGATGTCAGGAACTATTACTGATGACAGTGTATAACCCAGTGAAAGCCTGGCCATCATTTCATTCCTATGCACAATTCCACATTTCCTTGTTCTCAGTCAAAAGCAGGAACCACTCAAAAACCATACGGAGCAGTTGCAGAAGAAAACAAAATTTTTTGTTAACATAGGTCTTACATTCTTTAGATATCTAACTTTAAGATAAACGGATAACATATTTAAAACTCACGAGTAAGTGGTCAAACAACTCTAACACTAGAGATGCAATTCCATGAATATAATAGAAAACATCTCTCTTGTCATTCGGTAACTTAGCAGAGAAGTAAGAACACCAAATGTCCTTCATATATACTAAGAGATGCTAAGAGAAATTCGTAAACACTGCTGGCAAAGCAAGAAAAGGCAGAAGAACATGGTTTCTCAGATTAACAAAAAATGCCTTGAGAGCATGTCTGTTAGCTTTCTTTTTCATAACAAGGCAACTTTCATCTCAGAATAGGATACTCTGATTAATCAAATACTTCCCATAATAAAATCACAATATATACTACATACAGGTCATAAATTTTCAAAAATCTGATCTATAAGATACTTTATCTAAAACTATATAAAAAGTAATTTAATTCAGAAGGCTTTTTAAAACATTTCAGTCTCAAGATCCTCATCAAATATAAAATACACGTTTAACAACACTGAAAAGTTGGTCCTGATGGAATTCTATTTTATCAATTCTAAAAGGCGGGTTTTTCCACATACTACATTTCTGAAACTGGAATACATCTTTTATAATGGAGGTATCTTACCATAGGTCTAGACTAGAGGAGAATTTTCCCAGAGAAGGTGTGCATCTGCTTCTGCTGTCATCTGGGAACACTATCAGCCCAACACCATCTGAATTAATCCTTTGTGGCAGGCCTTTTTGGACCACACTGGTGGTAAGGCTGCACACCCAAAGCTTAGGGCTTGTGGTTCAAATTCTCAGAGAAATGTTTTTTTCTTTCTCTATTTAGTGTCAAGGTTGAGACTTGCATGCTTCTTTATGGTCCCTTTTCTGGATGGTCAAGTTAATTTCTCATTTATCCCTAGGTGTACCAGCCTTGTGGGTTAGGTCTCCTACTAAACTCCCTGTCCTGAGTGTTTTTCCCTTCTTAGAGGTATATAATGTAATAGCACTTTTTAAAAATAATCTATGACATCTTAGATTCGATGAAATATGGTACCTTAAATAAGCTTCTCCAGTCTATTGAGTAGGCTCCAGAACTTCTACACAACGACTCATTATACTGCAACCTCTTTTATTCTCTTTAGGATTTCCTCTTTAAACCGTTAGCTTTACATACTGCAGACCAAGAGCAATGTTGTACTGTATTTCTACAAAGAACTTAATTAACATGTACAGTAAAAAAGTCAGAAAATAAAATGTCTAGTTATAATTTATTTCTTCAAATTCCAAATACTTATAATGGCATATACATTTCTAGTTTAAAAAACAAACTTTTAGCTTTTTCCTCAAAGTATCTGAAATCCTAAAATGTAGAAAGCCAAGTTAGTTTTTAGAGAAGACATACATGATTTGACTCCCAGGACAAAAAAGTAAACTCTGTACTACTTAGTTATAACAATTCTACTTAAAACGGCAACTCAAAGTACTGTAAAAACAAAACAAAAAAGACCAACAGTAATAATTCTACTTAGACCTAGAATAGCCAAAAAAAAGTAGTCATTTTTTTTTTTAGACATAATCTTGCTCTGTCACCCAGGCTAGAGTGCAGTGGCACAATCTCAGCTCACTGCAACCTCCACTTCCTGGGTTCAAGTGATTCTTGTGCCTCAGCCTCCCGAGTAGCTGGGATTACAGGCTCCTGCCACCATGCCTGGCTAATTTTTGTATTTTTTAGTAGAGACAGGGTTTCACCATCTTGACCAAGCTGGTCTGGAACTCCTGACCTCGTGATCCACCACGCCTGGCCTTACGTAGTCATCTTTTTAACAAGTCATTACAAATTCTAATTTGATTTTGTGTCTCATAGGTCCAAATGATTCTGCATTTTAATATTTCATTCAGTACAGGGCACAAAACTGAAATTCAATAAGCTATGAGATAAATAATTCCGTATCAGAGAAGCATATAATGTTCCCTTAAATATTAAAATCCTGATAATTGATTTCATTCTAAAAATTTAACAATGTCCAATAGCAATACATTCAAGGGGGAAGATGCCAAGTACACTGTCATGCAAGAGTAAAAGAAGGATATGAGAAAAATGACCTTAAAATTGTTCAAAGACATGTTTTAAGACAATCCTACAACCCAGAACTGAAAAAAAGCCATTTCACTTGACCAGGTTGACATTACCTACTTAGCACAAAGAAACTTTTAAGGTGTTCTGGTTTACATCCACTTGTAGGAAAGGCTACCCATTGATAATAGCTTACATTTATTAAGCATGTATCTCCTTGTTTAATATCTATAACTACCCTGTAAGATAATAACCATTATTATATTATTTCATAGGTGATAAAACTGAAGCTTAGAGGTGTCAAGAAACTTGACCACGGTCATTCAGCTTCTGAGATAAGAGTGGCAATACCAATCTATTATCAGTTGGTCATTACCAGTATTTGTTGGACATTTACTATTACTGCCTCAGCTGCTTTCAGGTTTTGGGGAAGCAAGAATGTTAAGGTTCAATAGAGGAAGATGGATATAAAACTCAGTACAAAACAGTTTTATGAGAACTCCACAAAGGGCTTAGGGGGGCACAAAAGAGAGGAATGGGTAGAAAAGCAATGCGTTAGTTGACTTATACAAATAAACTAGTGAATGCTTCTTTAAATAAAGAGCATCCAAAATTTATTTCCTGGTCAATATAGTTTCTCTGGTTTTTATTCATGAAAATGTTTTGATGTATAGAATATGTGTCCGATTTCAGAGTATGTAAACCCCGCCCCCCTACATTTATAGCACACATTTATGCTTATACACAACACAAGCATAAAACCGAAGTTACCTTGTCGCATCATTACTGTTTCAATGTAGTTGGGACAGGAAGGTTTACGTTAAACACAAAATGTTCCTCACATGTCACTTGACTTGAACTGTTCCCATCAGCAAGAAAAATTACTGCAAGAATGAAAGGAGTTCACTTTTCTCTGTGACTGTTCCAAAGAAGCGGAAGAGCATTTTAAGTTTCTCCGGTTTCCTTGATGAATGTCCCTCAAACAACCTAAAGGACTTAAAAAATAAGAGAATGGAAGATGAGTTAAAATGCCTTAATGATTCAGAAAACTACATCCATATTGCTACCAAGTAACAAAAAGAAATAATTGTTCCAGAAGACAATTCTGTAATGATAAGAACTAGAAAATTGGTTTAGATTCAAATGGCATCTGGAGAGAACTGAAATCAACTAGAACCAGCCTTCTTCAAAGCTGTTCAAATCAGACAGCATTTGCTACCAACCACATTTCTCCAACCTATCTTCCACCACAGAGAAGGCACCATCTAGCCCTCCCAGTCAATTGGGGTCAGTCAGTGCACAGCTACTTTCTCAATGGCTAATAACATTTATAATTCATAATGTTACTACGTAGTTTGATAAGTAACAATAACAGTATCTGAAAAAAATCCTTATCTGAGTGTTTTTGAGGAAATGAGAGTGGAGGGGAATGGGGGAAGGACACAGGCAGGTATAACAAGATATCAGGGCTCAACAATCCTTGTTAATTAAACAACTAGTTTCTTTTACGGACTGAATGTTTGTGCCCTCTCAAAATTTATATGTTGAATCTTTAATCCCTAATATAGCTAAATTTGGAGACAGGGCCTGTGAGGAGGTACTAACAGTTAAATGAGGTCATGGGGTGGGACTCTAATCTGATAGAACTGGTGTCATTTTAAGACAAGGTGAGACTACAGTACTCTCCCCTTTGCCATGTGAGGACAAGATGCCAGCCAACCTATAAGCCAGGAAGAAAGCCCTCATCAGGAACCGAAGCAGCAGCACCCTGATCTACAGCTTCTAGCCTCCAGAACCGTGAGAAAATTAAGCCACCCAGTTCTATGGTATTTTATTATGGCAGCCCAAGCTGACTAATAGAGATCCTTTGCACGGTAACCAAAACAGTGCCTACCCTGTGTCATCTAGTTTTCAGCAACCCGGACTTGGATTACTTAATTCAGTTTCCTTTGAAATGATGTGGCATTGTTATTGGTAACATGTAATTCAGTTTATTCTGAGGAAAGAAAAACACGGCTTTAAAAGCATTATGACCTGAGTAAGTAGTTCACTAAAAGATTTGTAACACAAAAGCATGCTTTTGAGTATGAGATCTAGCTTTCCAAAGGCATTTAAAAATTATAGAGACTCAGTGGCTATGAATGATGAGGTACTCTTCATCTGCCTCTAGCCATGTGCTCTGACTTTAAAACCAGAGACCCTTCAAGTAAGGTCCACGTTAGTAAGTGCTGAAATGGGTAATTATTTTTCATGATTACAACAGCAAGCTTATGTAACTACGCTGAGAGGGAAAAGTTAATTCCATGAGAAAATCCTATTGAGCGACTGAAATAAATTAGGAAAAGGAAAGGAAATGCAGATTTCAAATGGTTCCGTTTTCAACGATCTGAAATCTGTATTCAAGGCCAATTTCTGGAAAAACAATTTATGTGAATATTTATTTCCTAGAAAGAATACTAATGTAGGCTAGTATTTTAACCAAATCTAAAATCAGATCTCTTTTTTAAAAGTTTAAGACAGCCTGTGTGATAATTTTTATTTATTTAAAAGAATCTGTCTTCTAAAATATTTAATACACATCTCTTATAATCCAGTTGCTAGTTGAAACAGGGTACAGGTTAAATAAGATAGTATTTCTAAATGGATTCTGAATGGATTAAGACTCAATAAAATGGACATTTTATTGAGTGAATGGAGAGATCTAATCCATCTGGCAAGTCAGTTAAGAGAGCTTCTGCTGCCATTTTTATTGACATGTAATAGTGTAATAAACTCACATGTAATACTGTAAAGCTCTGTAAAAAAATTTTAACCTAGCCTATTTGTTTAAAGGAGATGTTAACAATTCATGCTCCCTTGAACCACTTCATTTTTGCTTTTAGGACAGGACTGTTCATTAACACACACAATCAATTACTAAACACAATTACTGAAATAAATATTATCAAGCAGTAACCAAAAAATTCAACGTAAGGCTATCATACCCAAACTCCAATATCCAGAAGCCAATTTAAGTAACCCATGCCTCCTTGGCAAAAGTGTATGGATATTACCTTTTCCTTGTGATAGTAAAACCTATCCATTTTCTTACATCACCCAAGTATCAGCTTTTACACTTCTACAAATAAAGCAGACAATGAACATACTGTGTAGAAATCTTGAGCCCTTAATTAAAAGGTACTCACAGAGTTGTATCTAAATCATTGGCTACAATGATCTAAAACACACACACACAGTTATATCTAGGTCATTTGCTACAGTGATCTAAACCACTTCATTTACATCTTAGTATTAATCACAGGACAAAAACGCTAATATTTTCAGAACTACAGCCAGTGTTGCTATCTGGCACAGGCAACGTGTCTTCAAAACCCCTTGATACTATGTGTTTGCCCCCAAGTAAATAGGAGGGAGATCCAGGCGCCCCTTCCAAAAGCAACAGCTTAGAGGAGAGAAGGAAAATCAAAGATACTGAGACGATTCATTTTAGCCAAAAGCGAACCTGCCACCCGAAAGAGCAAAAAACAAAATCTGAAAACTAAGATGTATGTTATTATATGTTATTCACAGAACTTATCTGCAATATTTTTAAAGAAAAAATTACAAAACCGTGTTTCTCAAAATGTTACAATAAAATTTTATGTGTGTAAAGTCTATTTTACGTGTACATTTGTGTGTGTGTAAAAGAGAGGGGATTATGAATTAGGAAGCGTATGTACCAAAACATTAGAAGTAGTTATCCTTGGGTAATGAGATTATGATTTTCACTTTCCTCTTTATACCTTAATATATCATCTCCAAATTTACAATCAGAATTCATTATAAAGCTATTGCATTTTTATTTATTTATTTATTTTGTGAGACATGGTCTCACTCTGTCACCCAGGCTGGAGAGTGCAGTGGTGCGATTTCAGCTCACTGCAACCTCGGCCTCCCAGGCTCAAGCGGTCCTCCCACCTGAGCCTCCTGAGTAGCTGAGACCAATCAAAGTTAAGTTTTCTTCGGTTTAAAGTAACTTGTTATGTTGTTTAGCCTCATGGTAACCAGAAAACAAAAATCAACAGACACTCTAAACATAAAAACCAAGGAATTAAAACACTACCAGAAAAAATTACTTCACTACAAATAAAGACAGGAAGAAAGGCAAGGAGGAAAGAGAAGAAATAAAAAGAGATCAGAAAGAAAAGAGGAAGGGAGAAAGAACAAAAGAAAAAGCAAAACAATCAAAAAAGTAAAAAATGGCAGTAGTATGTTTTTATCTGTAATAATCCTGAATGTAAATTAAATTAAGACAGAGTGGCTGAATGGATTAAAAGACCCAATTATGTCCTGCCTACAAGGAACTCAGTTCACCTATAAAGACATACACAGACAAAGTCAAGGGATGATAAGAGATATTCCATACAAACGGAAACAAAAAAAGCAGGAGTAGCTATACTTAGATAAAATAGCCTTTAACTCAAAAAAAGAAAAAATAAAGATAATTATATAATGAGAAACAAGTAAACAGCCGTTAAGTGCATATGCAACCAACACTGAAGCACCTAAATATAGATGCAAATATTAACAGGCTTTAAAGGACAGAGGGACTGCAATACAATAATAGAGTAACCTCAACACTCCACCGTAATCAACACCCCACTATCGCGAACGGACAGATCATCCAGACAACAAAACATCATCAGTTAAACTGTACTCTATACAGAATGGACCTAACAGACATTTACACAGCTTTTCACTCTGCAACTGCACAATGCTCATTCTACTGAGTGGCACATCGATTATTCTACAGGACAGACTGTGTTAGGCCAAAAAACAAGTCACAACACTTTTTTTTTTTTTTGAGGTGGAGTCTCTGTCTCCCAGGCTGGAGTGCAGTGGCACTATCTCGGCTCACTGCAAGCTCCGCCTCCCGGGTTGACGCCATTCTCCTGCTTCAGCCTCCGGAGGAGCCGGCCACCACACCCGGCTAATTTTTTGTATTTTTAGTAGAGACGGAGTTTCACCGTGTTAGCCAGGATGGTCTCGATCTCCTGACCTCGTGATCCCGCCTCGGTCACCCAACACATTTTTAAAAACTGAATTCATATCAAGTATCTTTTCTGACCACAGTCGAATAGTATTAGAAATCAGTAACAGATAGAACTTTAAAAACTGTACAAATACATGGAAATTAAAATACACACTCATGAACAACCAATAAAAGAAATGAAAAAAATACAAGGGAAATTAAATATTTATTGAAACAAGTAAGAATAGAAACACAACATAAATCCTGTGGGATGCACCAAAGGCAATTCTAAGAGGAAAAGTGTATAGCTATAAATGCCTGCATCAGAAAAGTAGGAAGATCTCAAATAGCCTGACAGTACACCTCCAGTAATGAGAAAAACAAGAACAATCAAATGCTAGAATTCGCAGAAAAAATACCATAAAGATTAGAGAAGAAATTTTAAAAATAGAAACAAAAAATACAAAAAGTCAATGAAACAAAAGCTGGGGTGTTTTAAAAAAAATCAAAATTGACGAGTTTTAACCAGATGAAGTTAGATAAAAAGAAAACAAAGTCATAAAGAAGGCATTAGAACTGGTAACCCAGAAATACGAAGCATTAAAAGATTACTAAAAACATCACAAACAAATTGAAAAATCTGGAAGTGAATACATTTCTAGACACATAACGAATTCCCAAGATAGAATGATAAAAAATAAAAATAAAAAACCTGAACAGACCAATAATGAGTAATGCAATTAAAGCAGTCATAAAAAGTCTCCTGGCAAAGAAAAACACAAGAATCATGGTTTTCCTGCTGAATTACCAAACATTTTAAAAATAGCTAATATCTATTTTACTCAAAATATTCCCCATAAAATGAAGAGGAAGAAAGGCTTCAAAACTTGTTCTATGAGGACAGCATGACCCTGGTACAAAAACCAGACCAGAACACAACACAAAAAGGAAACCACAGGCAAATATCCCTGATGAACAGAGGTGTAAGAAATCCTCAGCAAAATACTTGAAAATTGCATTTGACAATGCAATAAAAAGATCATCTGCCATGATCAAGTGGATTTCATTCAACCCAGGAATATGAGGATGATTCAATAAACACAAATAAATATGCAACATCACATTCAGCAAATCAACAACAAAAACCATATAATCATTTCAGTAGACGCTGAAAAAATTAAAATTCAACATTCCTTCATGATAAAAACTCAACAACATGAGTACAGAAGACACATATCTCAGTGCAATAAAGGCCATATATGACAAACCCACAGCTAACATAATCAAGAAGGAAAAGTTAAAAGCTCTTCTCCTCTAAGATCTGGAACAAGTGTGGCTACTTTTACACCACTTTTGTTCATCATAATACTGGAAGTCCTAGCTAGAGCAATTAGGAGAATGCAATAAAAGGCATCCAAATTGGAAAAAAGGAGTCAAATTGTCTGTTTCCAGGTGACATGAACATATATAGAGAGAACCCTAAAGATTCCACAAAAAACCTACTAGAAATAATAAATTAGTCAAGTTCCAAGATACAGTATCAAAATATAAAAATGAATACTACACCCATGCACCAATAGTGAAATATCTAAGAAAGAAATCGAGAAAGCTATTTCATTACCAAAAAAATGATATCTAGGAATAAACTTAACCAAAAAGGCAAGAGATCCCAAAATGAAAACTTCATAAAACATAGATGAAAGATACTAAAGCAGACACAAGTAAATGGAAAGATATCCCATCTCTATGCACTAGAAGAATGTTAAAATATGTGTATCACCCAATGTGATCTACAGAATCAATGCAATCCATGTTCAATTACAAGACATTCTTCATTGAAATAGAAAAAGAATCTCAAAATTCACATGGAAGTTCAAAATACCTCAGATAGACAAAAGAATCTGGAATAAAAAGAAAAGCTGGAGGCATCACACTACCTGATTTCAAAATATACTACAAATTTATAGTAAGGATGGTACTATCAAAACAGTATGGTACTCTCAATAAAAGGGGCGGGGGAGAGACAAGAGAGATGAACGAATGAGACAGACAGACATAGACAAGTGAAACAGAATAGAGAAATCATAAATAAATTCACGCGTTTACGGTCAATTCATTTTTAACAAAGGCCCCAAGAACACACCTTCGGGAAGGACAATCTCTTCAATAAACTGTACTAGGAAAACCCAACACCCACATGTACAAGAATACATCTAGGCCATTACCTTACCATATACAAAAATCTACTCAAAATAAAAGATTTAAATACAGGACCTGAAACTATGAAACTACCAGAGAAGAAAACATAGGATAAATGCTTCATGAAATTGGTTAGGACAAGGAATTTTCAAATAGACATCAAAAGCACAAGCAACAAAAGCAAAGATGTAATTACATTAAACTTAAAACCTTTTCCAAAGCAGAGGAAGCAATCAGTATAATGAAGACAGAACCCGAGAATGGAAGAAAGTCTTTGCAGCTATGCATCAGGCAAGAGGTTAATACACAAAATATCTAAAGAACTCAAACTACTCAAAAGTGAAAATACAAATAATCTTATTTTTAAAAATCTACCCAAAACTTTTGTCCCCCACTATTTCCCCACCTTCTTTTCCCGACCGCATTTCGCCCTCTCCCTCTCACCACCCTTTCTCTTCCTCCATCTACCCCCAAACGTTTTCACCGTTTTCTCCCCACCATCATTTCGTTTTCTCCCCGCCCCCGCCCCCGTCATTTCGCAAAGCCTTCTCTATTCTCCCGCTCACCACGCTTTTCCCCAACCATCTACCCAAACACTTTCTCCCGTTTTTTCCCACCGTATTTTCCCCCTTCTCCCTGGCCACCCTCTTTTTTCCCCCTCCTGCTGTCATCATGCCCTTTTCCTCCTCCATCTAAGCAAAAACATTTTCCCCCCGTCTTTTCCCAAAGCCTTTTCCCTACTCCTGCTGCTCACCACCCTCTTTTCCCCCTTTATCTACCCAAAAACTGTTTTCCTCATTGTCTTTCCTCCTGCTCCTCCTTGCCTCTCTTTCCCTTCTCCATCTACCCAAAAACATTTCCCCACCATCTTTTCTCAAAGCCTTCTCCCCACTCTTGCTCACCTCTCTCTTCCCCCCATCTACCCCCCAAAATTTCCCCATCTTTTCACAAAGTCTGCCCCCTCTTCCCACTCGTCCTCTTCTCTCCCCTATCCTGCTTGTCACCCTTTTTTTTGCCCTGCATCTATCCCAAACTATTTTCCCGTCTTTTTCCCACCCTTCTTTCCCTGCTCCCTTCTCGCCACCCTCCTTTCTCCTCCTCGTCACCCTCTTTCCCTCCTCCATCTACCCAAACACTTTTTACCTACCGTCTTTTCGCAACCATCTTTCTTTTCTGCCACTGTTTTTTCGCAAAACCTTGTCTTCCTCCCGCTAGTTACCCTTTTTCCTTCTCCCACTTGCTATCTTCTTCTGCTCCTCTATCTACCCAAAAACTTCTCTCCCCACTGTCTTTTCACAAAACCCTCTCTCCCTACTGCTAGCCCATTTCCCCCACCTCACCACTCTCTCCTCTCCCCAATTGCCACCATCTTTTCCCCCTTCATCCACCCATAAACTTTCTATCCACCGTCTTTCTGCAAAACCTTCCCTCACTCCAGCTCCACACCCTGTCTTTCCACCTCCATCTACCCAAAACCTTTTTTCCCCACCATCTTTTCCCCATCGTCTTTTTGCAACGCCTTCTCCTCCTCGCTATCCTTTTTTCCCTTTGGCAATAACCAAACTCTTTACCCACCCCTCTATCTATCCCAAAACTATTTTCCTCTTCCTACCCCTCCAGCCGCGCGGCAATCGCAATCTCCACTGACACCACCAACCATAGCGAGGCGAGCTGCGCCGCTGTGCCGTGTCTCAAGCCTCCAGCATACGGCCGGTGACTCCTTTTCCTGGTCCTCTAAGCTGGGCACTGAGCAGCTCAACAGTAAAACACCGAACCCTAAAAAAAAAAAACCGTAACAGCTTTTCAGCATCATTTATATACGGAGGTTATGCGCATGCCGGTTCCTAGACTTCATGTTCTGATTGCATGAGAGCAAGTCTTAAGATAACCAATCACAGCATGAAAATAAAGTCCAATCAGAGTAGGCCTAGAGGTTTTTCTCTCATCCAATCAGAACATGTAGTCCAGGATCCGTAACTTCAGTATATAAAGCGTGCTGAGGAAGTGGTGCGTCATTTTTGGGTCTTCTGTGTCGGTGTGCTCAGCTGCTAGGTACCTGGGTTAGAGAACTAGAAGGGTCCATTAGTTTTTACCCGCTGGAGCCTGGAGCCTGGAGCCTGGGGCGCTGCCTCCCTGTTGGTTGTGTTGGTGACGGAGCGGTAGGAGGGAGGCTAGCAGCGGGAGCTTCTCCTGCCGGGCTGGAAGACGAGGAGAAGGAAGAGACACCGCTGCATGCTGGAGGCTGGAGCCAGAGCCTGCGCCTCCGTGGCTTACCTCGCTGCAGCTGTTGGTGACATCAGAGACCACAGCTCGGCTACAGTGGTAGCAATGTGGTTGCAGTGAGCCAAGATTGCATCACTGCTCTGCAGCCTGGCGACAGAGCAAGACACCATCTTAAAAAAAAAAAATTGAACACAGTGTTTTGCATCTGTTTCAGAAAAACAAATGATACCATTATTTAATATGCTGCAGTAACTAGAAGCCTACTTATAAAGTTGGTGGCAAATAAGTCATTGGTATATGTTAACTTCCTATAATCACTTACATGTTCCTAAGAGTCACTTTGTGTATTTATATAAGAAGGTCAGCATGTAAATGATTATAGAGAAACTTTTTGTTGAAAAGTAAGAAAGCTTGTCTCCCTTTTCCTAGTGATGAAGGAACCACCACCACAACAAAATAAAGCATACACTTTGTTTATAACCCTGAATCATGATTTATGGCCAGATTATCCTAGCATCCAACTGCCTACCTTGGCATTTATCAGTTGAAATGAGTCCAGAGAAAGAATTTATAACAATAAGAATAACTGTTAGAATGCCAGTCCTATCAAGAAATGTTAGAAATATATAAGCAAAACTCAAAAGTAAATATCACTGTTTGTCTAACCATATTCCATGCATAGCTTCTACTAGTGTTCCCCAGAATTGTCTGTTTTATCATTTCTCTTGACTTTTGATACTTTTATTCATATATCCTCCATCCTCTCTTAGTCCTTACTGTTTGTACTTCGGCATCATATCAACCCTATCTTGCCACTTAAAAGACAAAGTAATACTACTTTTTCAGTTTTTTTTCATTTAATGTAAGAAGTTATCATTTCCCCAATAGTGAAATGATGCAAAATGATTATTTCATGTATTGTCCAAATGGGTTCAGGTTTGTGACAGTCTCAAACGCATCAGGGAGTAGGGACACCCTTCAGTTAAAGCACCAAGTTGTATTTTAATCTGTATTTTATTTTTAAAAAAGATTTTTTCTCAATATCACATAAACATTAAGCTTTTTATTTTACCTCTCTATTTACTTATTTACACGATTTAAGATTGAACATTTTTCGTTATCAAAAATATTTTCATAATATGTGTAAAATTGTTGAAATCTTAATTTTTCCAAAATGACAGCTGACTCCTCTTAAAGGTAATGGGAATCTTAGAATGTTATTTGCAAGTCAGTCTACAGCATTATTTTCATACATAAAATGTTGTGTACTAATTTTTGAAATATTTGTAAATTAAATAGGTCATTTTTCTTTCAGGAGAAAGGAGACTTTGAGAGATTTTTGTGCAGGAGAAGAGTAGTTTTAAAAATAGGTAGTTTGCAATAGGGCAGACTAGTTTTAAAATTCTAAAATGAGAACAAGTCAATAAGAGTCTCTTGATTAAATCTAGTGATCTTATTTATTTATTAATTGACATGTAATAATTGTACATATTCATGGGGTACAATTTGATACCTGGATACCTATCCATGTTGTACAATGATCCATTCAGAGTGAATCTATTATCTTACATATTTGTCATTTCTTTGTGGTGAGAACATTCGAAGACAACTCTTCAAGCTATTTTGTAATATACGATATTTCACTGTTAACCATACTTGCTCTACATGCAACAGAACACCAGAATTTATTGCTCTTATCTAGTTGTAATTTTATACCATCAATCAAAGTTTCCTCATCCTTCTTTTTGTCCTCCTGTCTTTAGTCTCTGGTAACATTTTTCTACTCTCTGCTTCTATGCTATTAACTTTTTAAAATGTTTGTATTTTCTTTTTTTTTTAGACTCCACTTATGAGTGAGATCATGCTGTACTTGTCTTTCTGTGTCTGGCTTATTTCACTTACCACGATGTCCTCTAGATTCATCCATATTGTCATAAATGGCAAGATTTTACTTTTTATGGCTAAAGAGTACTTCATTGTATACAGATAGTGCATTTTCTTTTTGCATTCATCTGTTGCCAGACACTTAGGCTTATTCTGTATCTTGGCTATCATACATAGTGCGCAATAAAAATGACTAGGTGCATCGCAATTAGCTTTAAAAAGATGGAACGGCATTGTAAGGACAGACCATGAATCTAAGCCCTTAGGCTGAATACTTAGGTTGAATAAAATTGTTGGAAGAAGTGGCTATTTGATGTATGTAATGAAAGGGATTCTTACATGGCAGGTATTATTAGGAGAAAAAAAAAAGAGAGAAAGTTGAAGGAGAGGGGAAAACTGCCACAGCAGGTTAAGCAACTTGCTTTGAAATAATTGGGATTAGTAAGTGTGCAGAGATAGAACTGGTGATGAAAGAGTGAGACTGGAATTAGAAAGTAATTTGTAATACTAATGTTGCAGGTTGGGTCCTGGTTATGAGACTAAGCAGATGCTCATTCCTTGGAGCTATAACTGTGACCAGTGCCACATTAACAGATTTGGAAAATATGAGATTAACTATGAAGGTACAGAAAATAAAGGTATTAAAATTCTTTCTATATTTTAGATCTAATTGTTAATAATATGGTATATACACATCCATACTATATTATATATATATATATATATATATAAAACATATGTATGCGAAAAGAGATGGTAAATAGAAAACATTAGCTGGGCATGGTGGCTTACACCTATAATCCCAGCATTTTGGGAGGTGGAGGCAGGAGGATACTTGAGCCCAGGGATCTGAGACTAGCCTGGGTAATATGGCAAGACCATGTCTCTACAAAAAGTAAAGAAAAGTAGCTGGGCCTGGTGGCACACACCTGTCATCAAAGCTACTCTGGAGGCTGAAGTGTGAGGATCACTTGAATTCAAGAGGTCAAGGCTGTAGTGAGCTGTGTTCCAGCCACTGCACTCCAGCCTGGGTGAGAGCACAAGACCCTGTCTAAAAAAAAGCAAAAGAAAAAAGAAACATTATTGAGGAGAAGAGATAAATAGAGTCTTAGAAATTTGAATTGATACATGAGTAAAGAATGACCCAATTATTTTATATCGGGAATGGGAAAATAAATTTTATTCAAGTCCACAAAATAGTTTTTAAAGCATAGACAATATAATACAGGGGTTGGGGGCGTGGTTACAACAATGTTAGAAACACTGAAAGAGCAAAAGGGGCCTGCTACTCCAGATGATGAGCAAATGAAGGAAGCCACTTCCATCCTTAACTGTGAAAAATGAGTAGGGGAAGGTGGTGCATTCTGGGTCCCATGATTCCAGACTGACCATTGGCCCTATTTGAGTGCAGCTGCTGTTAGGCAGAAACTCTGGACTCCAAACTCTCAGTAAAACTTCTGAAGACACTGCTGTTGCTATTGCAGCTGTCAGCACCATTGATTCAGCTGAGAAGAAGTCCAGAATATCACACTGACACCCACGCTGTTGGTTGTGTTTTTTTGAACCAGATTGAAATTAATATCTATTGTATGGTTCAATTTCTATGAAGTTCAATGTCAAGCAAATGTAATTTATAAAGATAAAAGTAAGAACAGTGGTTGCCTATAGTAATGATTGGAGGTTCACAATAGAGACTCCTGGATTCTAGTAATACTCAATTCATATTCATGTAGGTTGTGATGACATTAGTATTTTACATTCTAAAAATGTTTAATGCTATATGCTCAAGATCTGTGTCTTTCACATGTGCATATCATATTTCATATTTCAATTAATAAATCAGTAAAAAAAGTTCCACTTCAGGATACAATACTGTAGAACAATCCAAAATATTAATTTATTCTTAAAGTTTTTAAAATATTAGAATAAATACAGAGCATTTTGTTAAAACAATATGGTAAACCTAAATGTAAAAAAAAATTAAATTGAGTTAGGAATTTCAAAAAGACATTTCATGTGCCTTTTCAACTTTCAATTTCGTATGAAAGTTGAAAAAACTTGAAATCAGTAAGTGTGCATGTGTATGTAAAACAAAATTACTGCATATAAAAACTTTTTTGAGGCATCTAGAAAATATTTAGCAGTGTGCCATAGTTTAGAGGCATTTTAAAATGCTTTTTAGTGGTACATAAAAAATTAGTTAATGACAGAGTCTATGAAAAACAAGTAGAGCAGCTTGAAATAATTCACATATTTTTCATGTTAAACTTTTAGGAGAAGTCCAGTGATGTCACGATAGCTCTACAATGTTGATTTATTTTGTCGCTTTCATATGCTTATTTTATATATAAAATAGCTGAAAACAGCTATGAATTCTAAAGCATGGTAACAGGGGTAAAAGGTCACACACATTTCTTTTAGATGCTGCAAATATTGCTTCTGTTCACACGTTATCGTCCAAAAATTAGTTACATTGCCTCATCAAAGTGCAAAGAGGCTGGTAAATGTACTTTAATTTGCTAAATGCCTTGCAAGATATAGGGATGTATATTGAGGAGACAAAGAATGGAAGTGAGAATTACTTGTTATTTTGACTTCCAACTATCGGAGAACATTCCCAAAGAAATATTATACTAAATTTCTGCCTGAATAATTATTTCAGCATCTCTTTCATGGTCTTTGCTTAAGGGCAGTGCTTCCAGCTGAGGTTGCATGCAGTCTTATATTCCATAGACTAAATGTCTAGGGTAATTCAGACTTATAACCTAAGTTTATGTTACAACTTTTCTAACTTATGTTCCTTTGATGGAGTTTATCCTCATTGCCCCACCCCCCAAATGGTTTACTAATAAAGTATAGTCTAAAACAGGAACATTATTCTTTTTATATTCTTTAATCTCCATTGAAATAAACACAATTTGTAGAATTATTAACTAATAGAAATTAATTGAAAAGAAGCATCTTTCTTTTATATGAACAATGACACAGTTCAAATTTATCTTGAAAACAGTTTTAAGCACAAGTAATTACCCTGAATTTGTAAATAACCCATTTATAAGTAGGTCAATAAGAAAACATTTCAACAAATTTCAAATGTGATATCATTTCTAGATCTTATGAAATAATGGAACATGTTTTGGAAGATAAGAGAAGTTTACTTAGCCAATAATAACAGGTCTCAATCAATTATTTTTTAACAGCTAGTTTATCCCTGGATATACCTTACTATATCCTGTTTTTAGATATGGCATTTGAAAACCTCCAAGAATATAGAGATAATTTTAATTGAGCTATTATGGTTAGTATTTATTTTTAAAGTTCTGAATTTTTTTAAAAAATTCAATATTCTATGGTATATTAACAAGATTGATTGGAATAATGCATTTTTTTAATGTAGTGGGTTGGTGATATGTTTTTCTGCTGAGAAAGAAGGCTGTTCATAATCTTAAATTATATTAGGTTTTAGAAACAACGAAAATTGTGGGATTCCCTTAATGGCTTTCTTACACTTGAGTTCTAAAATGTTTATCAATCTCAAATATATTTTACATTATGTTGAAAAATGACTATTAATAGTTTCTGCTAAAAAGAATTATCAACTTTTTATGCATCACCATTTCAGAGTTGGGCTTATAAAAATATCAGTATCTGTCCTACATATATACCAATGTTTTTCAATTTTTAGTCAATTAAATATGTTTCATTGATTTTCTGCTGTGTGCCTAAAATTGTGCATGATGATATTATAGAAGGTACTGTGAGAAGGCTTAAAGCAGTATATTTAACCACTGCCTACCAGAGTAGTACATAGAGAAGCAAGCCTAATCTATAAGCAACAATGAGAGCATGCTACAGATAACTTTTAATATTGTAAATATATATGATACAGATGATAAAATCTTTATGAAATAATCTATAGGAGAGGTGAAATGGGTCTCTGCCAGGAGAATGCAAAGGCAGTAAAAAATTAAAAACCAAAATATTGAGAATTATTTTGAGGAAAGTGTTAGTAGAATTTAATAATACATTTAATAGAAACATAAGATTAAAAATGCAAAGATGAATTCAAAGTTGCTTACATTCAAAAATAACTCATTAAATGTACAGTATTTTAAGCACACTTTTGATCTATGAAGAGTATAAATATGAATAAGACATAGTTCTTTAGGCTAGACATAGAGAATATTTTTTTGTATAGAAATAAAATCTAGAGTATGTAATATTAGGGGAAAGAAAATGCCTCATAGATGTCAATAAACCTTGTTCCCTCTATTTTTTTTTTTACTGGTTTCATTTCCTGTAATAATTGTGGTAAGAGTAATGCTGAAACAATTAAACCTCCAACTCTTAAAACAATAAAAGTTATTGCTTGCTTAAAGAATAGGAATGCTATCTGTGATTTCCTGCAGGGTCATTCAAAGATTTATTATTTTCCTATCCGTGGTTTTGCCATCCTCAATACATAGCTCTTGGGGGTTTTCTGTGGATTGTTTTAATGTTAGCCAACCAGAGAGAATAAAAAGAGTATTAAAAATTATTAATTGTGGGTCTATGTGACCCTGTAAGAAGGCTACATCACTACTATATACTTAGAACCTAAATTTCTATGCCAAAATATAGGCGAATATAGCAAATATTGTCCAAATTTACAAGGAAAGAGAAAATGAATTCTGTGTTCATCTTACAGTTTCTAATAAAATCCCCAACATTGAACTTAAATGACTCTCCAGTTGTTCATTAGGAGCATATGCTGTTGGTTGACTGCCAGCATACATTATCTCACCTTTTCTTTCTAAGATAGAACATATTCAATACATCCAAGGCTTCCAAGGCTTCAGTACTTCTCTAAGTTTACTGTCTCGTCTTCAGATTCAGGTATGATGTGATTACTCTAAGTATAGCCTGATTCTTTGCCAAAAATAAGAACAAAAATACGCATATGACCCAATTCAGTACAAAGGCAAATCAGGGCAAATTACCTTAAGAGTTTTTAAAATAAATGTTTCTCTTGGTGTCTCTTTCTTGGTCTTCTGGGTAGGGTTGTATCTGAATATGATGACCCTAAATGTCTGCAGACATTTTTGCAGCAATGTTAAGGGTAAAAGTGACACAGCCAATAGCAAAGAAGTGCCAGAAAATACGTAAGCAAACTGTGACCTCTTTTTACCTCTTGATTGACTTTTATGTTAAATAATGAATTTACCTTATGCTTGAAAGAATTTGAAATAGCATTTGGCAGTGAAGAATTTACTCCTCCCATATTTTCATTCAAGAGAAATTTCCATGAGGAGGGTTGTTGGTGGGTTACCTCCAACTCACCCACTTCAGAGCTACTACAGTGGTAATGCATGTTGAAGAAAAGAGTCAAACTCTGTGAAATATTTGAAGAGATTTATTCTGAGGCAAATATGAGTGACCTCGGCCTGTCACACAGCCCAGGAGATCCTAAGAACATCTGCCAAGGTTGTTGGACTACAGCTTGGATTTATACATGTGAGGGAGACATAAGACATCAATAAGTACACCTAAGATACACATTGGTAAAATTGGGAAAGGTGAGACAACTCAAAGCAGGTGGGGGTGGGGTGGGTGAAGGCTTCCAGGTTAAAGGTGAATTCAAAGATTTTCTGATTGGCATTTGACAACTGGCTAAAATAATTTATCTAAAGACTGGAATCAATAGACAGGAGTGTATGGGTTAAGATAAGGTGTTTTAGAGACCGAGGTTCTTATGCAGATGAAGCTTGCAGGTAGCAGGCTTCACTGAGAATAGATTGTAAATGATTTTTATCAGACATAAAAAGGAAAAAGGACTTGGAATCAGGAAAAATCAGGAAAAAGACTTGGAAAGAGAAGGGGATTCTCTACAAAATGGAGATTTTCCCCACAGAAACAGCCTTGTAGGGCCATTTCAAAATATGTCAAAGAAATGTATTTTTGTGGTGAAATACTTTGATTTCTTTCAAGGCCTGCTATCTGTCATGTTGATATCTTATTGCTACGAAGAGTCTGTTTTGTCATTCTTAAGTCTCTACTTTAATGTTAACACTGTTCAGCTATGCATGAATTCCGAAAGGATGAAAGTAAATAACGAGGCACGTTCAACCACCCATTTCCGTCATGGCCTCCATTACTGTTTCAGGTTTAGTTTAAAATGCCCTTGGCCAAGATAAAGAGCCCATTTAGTTGGTTAACGGACATTGAATTTTATTTTTGGCTTACATGCAGGTGCCATGCTCTCCTTAGGTTGCTGCTCCCTGCCAATGCTGAGCAAGGAAGATATTATAGGGCTTTTCATTCTTGTCCCACATGGACTCATCTAAAGGTCAAAGTTCACTTTGGTGCTCTTTCAGTGTGGCTGACAATTTCTCAGATCTGCACTCTTCTCTGAGGCTCCTCCTTTCCAATTATCTTTCATGCTCTCTCTTCTTTTGAGGTGCCGGCTTGCATCATGATCTGGAGGCTCTTGCAGCCTCTTGCTCTATCTTCTCTTTATTCTTCAAAGGCGTTTTCTCTGGTTACTCTCTTATACGTGTAATTCCATCTTGGTGTCTGATTCTTGGGAAACCCAAACTGGCTTATAATTTTTCTTACTTTCAGTAAAACCTTCTTTGCTGATGCATCATTCATTAATTCATTAAATGTATTGTGTTTTGTATGGGAAAACAATGATGCCAAAGTGTCTATAGCTATATAGTCTGATATATGCTATAATAAGAATTTGGAAAAAGTATTATTGGTTCACAAAGGCAGAAATTTAGGAGGTTAGATACATTTAAAGTAAAATTTGATTAAAAAGTGTGAACTTAAATAGATTAAGATAACATGGGGTGTTTGTAAAATATATTAGTAAAATACAATGACATACCCAAAGTCCTGTTAAATCAAATTAAATATGGCCTGAGAAAAACGCCATACTTCTATATTTCAGTCCTTGTGAATGAACTGCAACCTAACTCAATAGGTACACAAGACTAAAACCTAACTTAGGAATATGCGCCTGTAACAATCGCTGAGTCTTGGCCAATTCCAGCAGCCATACTTCAACTAGTCGCATACAGCTGAGTGTTCAAATAAGGCAAGTGCCAAGCCATAACCAATCCAGCTGTTTCTGTACCTCACTTCTGATTTCTATGCGTCACTTTACTTTGTATTGTCTATAAATTCATTCTGATCATGAGACACCCCTGGAGTCTCTCTGAATCTGCTGTGATTGTGGGGGCTTTCCAATTTATGAATCATTCATTACTCGATTAAACTGTAAATTTATTTTGGCTGAAGGTTTTTTTTTTTTTTTTTTTTTTTTAGCAGTCCTCACCATAATGATCCATACACGTAAGTGTCTAATATAATCTTTCTAGCTTTCTTTTTTGGTTGTGTTTAGTCATACTGTTGCTGATTCAGCTTTGTATAAAATATCAGAGCAAAATGACTATCAATAATACAGAGATCTGCAAGAATTCCCACACAGGTGAAATATGCATGGTGGAAAGAGGCAACTCTTAAGGCAAAGAGCCAAGCATGTACCAAACACCAATGCCCTTGCATACCAAAGCTAAAGATTCTACAATTTGCCAAAGATAAGAATGTACCTTTCACAACAGCAAGGACCTCATATATTGTCTTATTATATATCCCTAAAATCTAGCACAGTGTTGAATAAGAGGAAGTAGAAATAATTTTGAGAAGGAATTAAACATGTATTTGTAGAAGTCAAGTCTTACCCATTGAAAAAGTATCTCCCCCATATTTGTAATTCATTAAATTGTTTGGAAGGGAAAAGAAACTAAAGGGAATACTCCATAGGGAAAGTTGTTTCAGAAATTATGCAAATTTATTCTAATAACTAAGAAATAGTGAAAATGTATTAGAAATGTTAGGTAGAGGCACATTTCAGATTTAGACTAAGGTGCAAATGGCTTTCTACTTAATGATAGAGAAAAGCATAAATAAAAGTACATTGTATACATGAAATGGTTTTGTTTGAATTGGGTATAGAATATCAAATGAGAAATATATAGTAAGGAATTGAATATATGGAAATACAGATATAGACGGCCAGAGCACCTACTTGTAGCTCTTGATAGCAGAATTATCAGTCAACTGAAAAGATATTTTAAGACCTCCAAGAATAAGTAGATAATTTCTATTCTGTATTTTGTTAATGAAAGAAAACCAGGGTAATAACTGCTTGAATTTTCATCACTAGCATGTTTCCTACATACATAAACATAGTGAGTAGTGAGTATATTCACATATAAAGTAACAAAGAATTATAGTAAACCCCAACATCCAATCGGGAAAAATGTTGTAACTCTATATATTCATTAAATTGCTCACAAACTGACATCTTTTAGCATATAATATGGTTTCCTTTAGCTTGTTAAAGAGCATGGACTCATGACTAAAACATAAGAACACCCAATGAAGCTCAACTAAATCAATTCAACTATGAAAAATAAACTGACTAGTGATCATCTCTTTACTATTATTGAAAGAATAACTTACAAGTAAAAACATTCAATTTTTGAAAACAGCTTTATATTTATTGAATTTATGCATATAACGTTAGTTGCATTTCAAAATAAAATGGCTGCCTTAAGTGATGCAAAATTACATATTTATACATTCTCTGAATTAAGCAGGATTAATTGAAAAGTGGATATGAAGGCATGACTGCAAGCTACAAATTGATCCTATTTTTAGTAACTTGCTCTAGCTGAGATGTTATATGTTCAGATTTGTTGACACGAAGCTTTATTGAGAAGCATTACTTATTCCCAATAACTCAAGGAGGAGCCTGTTTTGGGAGGAAAAACCACATCAAGTATGTTTTGTTGAATCAAGAGGATTTTATTTTTAGAAAACTACTAATGATTTTTTCTGAAAATGTGACTATTTTGAAATCTAAGAAAAATCAAATATTTGATACTTAACGTAATTTGCAACTTGACATAAAACTACTCAGTTTAGTTGGTCATAATATACTCATTCCTAACTTATTCCACTTTACAAAAAAAGTAAAAGAAAAGCATAAATAAATAAATAAGGAAAGAGAAACAAACAAACAAAAAACATTGGAAACTGACGAGGTAACAATTTATAGAATCAAGGATTAATTTCCACCAATTATGGCATGAATAAAACTAATCAACTAAAATATATTTTAAAAATCAAGAAGATAGTAGGAAAACAGCTCCCTGAGGACCCCTGGAACAGTAATTAGGCAGGCACTCTTTGCCTGTTGGACATTACCATTTTCTTTAATGTTTGTATGAAACGATGCCAATTTATCTTTAAGCAATTTATCTTTAAGTTGCTAAAGTGATGCAAATGGCTGTCATGTAACAATCACCAAGAGAGGACCCATTCTAGTTCACAAACTGCCCTGATGCTTTTTATAAAAAACAATCCACTTCAGGATAATGTGTTGTTCCTGGTTTCTATGTCTCTTTAACTTCTTTAAATCAGAAGCATTCCATAGTCCTTCTTCAACCTTCATAGCATCCTAAACATTTTTTGAAGGTAATATTCCAATGGATTCTATTTTTGGAATGTCTCCCAATTTCGATTTGTCTGGTGTTTTCTCATAATGAGGTGTCAAGACATGCATTATTGGCAATAAAATCACCAACATGATGCTATGCTCTTCTTATCATATTTCTTCAGGTTATATATGAAATTAATTTTTCCCATCAGTGGTGATTTTAATTTTGATCATTTGAAAGGTAATGTCTTCCAGATTTCTCTATTGCAGAGGTACTCCTCATTTTCTTTATATTAATATAACATGACATAAAATGATATTTTTTACATATAGACTATCTATTGTATACATGTATATACACATGTAATTAATCTAAAATTAAGTGTTTTGCGGAGAGATACTTTGAGAGTGTGAAAATATCCCATTTCTTCTCCAACATTTACCCACTAGGTTTAGCATCCATTGATGCCTCAACACTCAATCAAATACAATGTGAAAATTTTCAAATGATAATTTTTTAACATACAATATCAACCCTTTTCCTTTTATTGGTTGGCACTCTGTGGGAAAATAATAGTGTTTCCTTCTTTTATTCATTCATTAATTCGTGGATTTATCTCACGTGGACCCATGGATTCCTATTTCTTTCAGTGGCCCATGATCTGTTCCTTTACTTATTTTATTGATTCAGTTTTGCTAATTTTGCTAGTAGGAACTATTCAAGTTTCTCAGCTCTTTTAACATGTCTTTCTTAGCATTTGAGCACTCCCTTATTTTCCTTGTTTTTTTTTTAATCTCAGATTATGAATAGTCATTGCAAATCTATCAAAATATACTGGATTTCTGTATATTATTATTATATCCTGTGATCTAGATAAACACACAATTTTACTAACTTTTTTGCAAATATCTTTTTTATTTTCTGCACAGAATATAATAATATCTGTGAAGAAAGACATCTTTCTTTCTAAATTGTATGTATTCTTACCTCTCTCATTGCATTGCTAAGACGTGTAGTATAAGCTTCAAAAGAATTTATCAGAGCAAGCATGCTTGTCTTTTTCTAGGTATCGGGGCAAAAATATTCAGTCACCTTAATGTTATTGGAAAGTTAAGGTCCATAGTATAAACCTTAGACCACCTACCTAACAGGACAAAATAAGCAAAAACATATGACTAATAATCTATTAGTTGAAATAAAATAAAATTCAAAATTAAACACTTAATCCAAGGTAAAGCATCAAAAGTGGAAAATAGTAATAAAGAACAGATTAAATTTTATGGAAAATAAATTTTATGATAGTAGATTTAAGGCCAAAATATAGATAACAATATTAAATGTAAGTAGTCTAAAACTACTATTTAAAGTAAGAATTTTAAGACTAAATTTAAAAAGTAATGTTAAATCAATATAAAGACAAAGGTTGGTCAGAAAAAATAGGTTGAAGATAGCTGTACTTCACCATGATACAGTAAGAGGAACTAAACTAAATTCTTTACAAAACAAACAAACAAAAAACAAAAAAACACACACACAAATAAAAACTAACTGCAGACAAAATATAATCAACAGTGATTTTTTAACCATTGACAAGAAGCTGAGGATGCTGATCCCTGATAAAAGAAAAAATAAAATCTTATTCCAAGCTTTCTCTCAGTTTCCAGAAGACATAGTGAAAGGATAATCCAAAGAAAGGATAACTCTCCCTGTATATTGAGAAATTGAAGATTGGGGCTTAGAAAGGAAAATTTAGCTAGAATTGCAGAGCTAAATAGAAGAGAGAGAACATTTGCACAGAGATGGTGATATGGTATGGCTTTGTCCCCACCCACATCTCATCTTGAATTCCCATGCATTGTGGGAGGGACCAGGTGGGAGATAATTGAATCATGGTGGCAGGCCATCCCATCCTCATGATAGTGAATAAGTCCCACAAGATCTTACGGTTAAATAAGAGGGAGTTTTTCTGAACAAGCTCTCTCTTTGCCTGCCGCCATCCATGTAAGATGTGACTTGCTCTTCCTGGCCATCTGCCATGATTGTGAGGTTTCCCCAGCCATGTGGAACCATAAGTCCATTAAACCTCTTTCTTTTGTAAATTTCCCAGGCTGGGGTATGTCTTTATCAGTAGGATAAAAATGGATGAATACAGGAATATAGGAAGTGTCTGCTTTTTCCTGGCTTTTATCTTTGCCTGTAACATTCCACCCCAGAGGCTCACATGGCTTCTCCTTTCTCTTCAAGTCTTGCTAATCATTCCTTGTTGATTCCTTAAAATCAACACATATAAATGTGTATCCCTTTCTTAAACAAGAGATCCCTTTCATCCTTTACCTTTCTGTATTTGTTAGTAGAATTAACCATCTGCTAGTATACTATAAAATTTACTTATGTATTATATATATTATCTATTCTAGTGGTATGATTTGGCTCCATTCCCACACAAAAGCTCATCTTGAATTATAATCAGATTTATAATCCCCATGTGTTGGGGGAGGGACCTCCAGGAGGTGATTAGATCATGGGGTGGTTCTCCCATGTTGTTCTCGTGATAGTGAGTGAGTTCTCATGAGATTTGGTGGTTTCATAGAAAGCTTTTACCCCCTTCACTCTGCACTTTTCCTTCCTGCCACAATGTGCAGAAGGACATGGTTTGCTTCCCCTTCTGGCATGATTGTAAGTTTTCTGAGGCCTCCCCAGACCTGCAGAATTGCGAGTCAATTAAGCCTCTTTCCTTTATATATTAACCAGCATCTAGCAGCTCTTTATAGCGGTGTGAGAACGGACCAATACAACAAGTGAACAGGTATTTTTGCTTATTGTCCATTGTCAAAACCACTTATTTATTTTTACATTGACTATTGTCTATCTTCTATGGTTTGTTACCTCCAACAATAAGGTAATCAAGGGTCAAAATTTTTTGTTTATTCAGTAAAATGCTCTCAGTGAATTGGGCATTGGGTGGCACAGAGTAAGTATTTAATGTATCTATTAATTTTGTATATAAATGAATAAATTTTCTAAATTTTGCTAATAATGTTAATAGAAGACCCAAAAAGTATAATCAGTAAATTAGTTGTATTTTGAAGAAAAAAAAGTTAATCTATGTAACAAATTTATGTAAAAATTCTCAGGATATACACTTGAGTAATAATCATTGTAACATTTACCTATTTAAAAAGAATGAAATTTAACAGTGAAGGCACCTGAGTCTGGAATTTGTTTCCCCTAAGAAGGTATTAAATTAAAATTCAGTATCTTTAATAAATCTAAATATATGAAGAAATTTTATTTATTCTAGAGTAATTGTAAAGATTATTTTGCTAACCATACAATTTATTCAACCATTATCAAATTTATTGGCATAAAGTTTTTATAATTTAAGTTATTATCATTTCGATATTTGTAGTATCTTTACAACACCTACCATCTTCCCAACCTTGCCCACTTTATTTCCTGAAAGTGGTTGCTGACAGATTTCTGTCTTTGTATCCTTCTCAGACTATCTAGAATTTAATTCATTTTATTCCTTTTATCAAAGAATCAGCTTTAAATTTCATCTTTTCCTTTTGTATTTCTGTTATGTCTTTATAAAATTTTAGTTTTTCTCTATATTTTACTTTCTACTTCTTGTTTAATTTGGTTTTATTTTCACTTTTTCAGGTAGACATTTGTGTCATTAATTTTAGACATTTCTCCTTTTTCTAATACAAACATTAAAAACTTCGTGTTTCTCCAAAGGAATCCTGAAGTTGTAGTGTTTTTATTTTTATCCAGACCAAAATACTTTCTAATTTATCTTTTGATTTACTATTTGCTACAAGGCATCATTAGAAGTTTATTATATCTAAATATTTAGGGATTTCATTGTAGTTTTGGTTTTTTATTTTAAATTTAATTCTATTGGGTCAGAGAACATACTCTCCATGATCTAATCCTGTTAAATTTGTTGAAAATTTATTATTTGTTGCCTAACATGTGATGAATGTCAGTGCACTTGGAAAATAAAATAAGTTTTTGCTGGTGATGAGTATAATATTCTATGCATCCTAGAACTTGTTAGGTTATAATGTCATTAAATTTGTAGATATTTTCTTTAAAATTTTTTATTTACTTGTTTAATAATATCAGAAAATAGTTTTCAAATCTTTAAATATATTGTGGATTTGTATATTTTTCTTTTCAATTCTGTAAGTTTTTGGCTTGAGTATTTTAAATGCAGAATTGTTTGTTAATGTGTGAAAAAACATTTTGCATTATCAGGTTCTCTTGATGAATTGGACCAATTATATTGATCTTTATCCTCCTAAAAATATTTCTTGATTTGTGGCCCATTTTGTCTGATATTAATAGAAGTCTTCAGTTTTTATATACTTAGTAGTTATACCATAGAAATACTGCCATCCTCTTATCTTAAAAGACTCCAGAAATTTGAACTTTCATGTAAAATATTTTCAATATTAATTTATAATATTTTATAACATTACATAGTAATTTTGAAAAAATATTTGTTATTTATATAAAAAGCCTACGGAGATTTGGACTGATATTGCAATTAATCTAGAAATCAATTTAATAGAACTACCTTCTTAACACTATAAAGCATTCAAATTATTGAACTTGGTTTATCTCTCCATTTATTTAGGTCTGCCTTAATGTCTCTCAGCACTGTATTGCAGTTTTCTAAGTATCGAACAGAATGGTTCATAGTGGATATTTTTGCATTCTTTCTTATAGTAGGAGGAACCATTTGGTATTTCACTATATTAACTATTTTTATATATGTTTATTACTTTTGAAATAATTTGTTTCTCTTGCCTACTTTTCTGTAAGTCTTTATTATGAATATGTGTAAAATGTCATCAAATGCTTTTCTACTTTTAATAAAATAATCCTATAAAAATTTAATATCCTTGATGAACATTGATGCAAAAATCCTCAATAAAATACTGGCAAACCGAATCCAGCAGCACATCAAAAAGCTTATCCACCATGATCAAGTGGGCTTCATCCCTGGGATGCAAGGCTTGTTCAATATACGCAAATCAATAAATGTAATCCAGCATATAAACAGAGCCAAAGACAAAAACCACATGATTATCTCAATAGATGCAGAAAAGGCCTTTGACAAAATTCAACAACACTCCATGCTAAAAACTCTCAAAAAATTAGGTATTGATGAGACGTATTTCAAAATAATAGGAGCTATCTATGACAAATCTACAGCCAATATCATACTGAATGGGCAAAAACTGGAAGCATTCCCTTTGAAAACTGGCACAAGACAGGGATGCCCTCTCTCACCACTCCTATTCAACATAGTGTTGGAAGTTCTGGCCAGGGCAATTAGGCAGGAGAAGGAAATAAAGGGTATTCAATTAGGAAAAGAGGAAGTCAAATTGTCCCTGTTTGCAGATGACATGATTGTATATCTAGAAAACCCCATTGTCTCAGCCCAAAATCTCCTTAAGCTGATAAGCAACTTCAGCAAAGTCTCAGGATACAAAATCAACGTACAAAAATCACAAGCATTCTTATACACCAACAACAAACAAACAGAGAGCCAAATCATGAGTGAACTCCCATTCACAATTGCCTCAAAGAGAATAAAATACCTAGGAATCCAACTAACAAGGGATGTGAAGGACCTCTACAAGGAGAACTACAAACCACTGCTCAAGGAAATAAAAGAGGATACAAACAAATGGAAGAACATTCCATGCTCATGGGTAGGAAGAATCAATATCGTGAAAATGGCCATACTGCCCAAGGTAATTTACAGATTCAATGCCATCCCCATCAAGCTACCAATGACTTTCTTCACAGAATTGGAAAAAACTACTTTAAAGTTCATATGAAACCAAAAAAGAGCCCGCATCGCCGAGTCAATCCTAAGCCAAAAGAACAAAGCTGGAGGCATCACGCTACCTGACTTCAAACTATACTACAAGTCTACAGTTACCAAAACAGCATGGTACTGGTACCAAAACAGACATATAGATCAATGGAACAGAACAGAGCCCTCAGAAATAACGCCGCATATCTACAACTATCTGATCTTTGACAAACCTGAGAAAAACAAGCATTGGGGGAAAGGATTCCCTATTTAATAAATGGTGCTGGGAAAATTGGCGAGCCATATGTAGAAAGCTGAAACTGGATCCCTTCCTTACATCTTATACAAAAATCAATTCAAGATGGATTAAAGACTTAAACGTTAGACCTAAAACCATAAAAACCCTAGAAGAAAACCTAGGCAATACCATTCAGGACATAGGCATGGGCAAGGACTTCCTGTCTAAAACACCAAAAGCAATGGCAACAAAAGACAAAATTGACAAATGGGATCTAATTAAACTAAAGAGCTTCTGTACAGCAAAAGAAACTACCATCAGAGTGAACAGGCAACCTACAAAATGGGAGAAAATTTTTGCAACCTACTCATCTGACAAAGGGCTAATATCCAGAATCAACAAAGAACTCAAACAAATTGACAAGAAAAAAACAAACAACCCCATCAAAAAGTGGGCAAAGGACATGAACAGACACTTCTCAAAAGAAGACATTTATGCAGCCAAAAAACACATGAAAAAATGCTTATCATCACTAGCCATCAGAGAAATGCAAATCAAAACCACAATGAGATACCATCTCACACCAGTTAGAATGGCGATCATTAAAAAGTCAGGAAACAACAAGTGCTGGAGAGGATGTGGAGAAATAGGAACACTTTTACACTGTTGGTGGGACTGTAAACTAGTTCAACCATTGTGGAAGTCAGTGTGGCGATTCCTCAGGGATCTAGAACTAGAAATACCATTTGACCCAGCCATCCCATTACTGGCTATATGCCCAAAGGACTATAAATCATGCTGCTATGAAGACACATGCACACGTATGTTTATTGCGGCACTATTCACAATAGCAAAGACTTGGAACCAACCCAAATGTCCAACAATGATAGACTGGATTAAGAAAATGTGGCACATATACACCATGGAATACTATGCAGCCATAAAACATGATGAGTTCATGTCCTTTGTAGGGACATGGATGAAATTGGAAATCATCATTCTCAGTAAACTATCGCAAGAACAAACAACCAAACACCACATATTCTCACTCATAGGTGGGAACTGAACAATGAGATCACATGGACACAGTAAGGGGAACATCACACTCTGGGGACTGTTGTGGGGTGGGGGGAGGGGGGAGGGATAGCATTGGGAGATATACCTAATGGTAGATGACGAGTTAGTGGGTGCAGCGCACCAGCATGGTACATGTATACATATGTAACTAACCTGCACATTGTGCACATGTACCCTAAAACTTAAAGTATAATAATAAAAGAAAAAAAAATTTTTTTTAATCAAAATGTAGGTCTGTAGTTTTCTGTTAATCTCTACCAATTTTTTTCCTTTAAGGGTAATCTGTACCTCATATAATGTATTGTTAGGGTTGCTTCCTCTTTTATTTCTGGAAGACTTTGCATAGAGTTGTTACTATTTATTCTTTAAACATTGTGAGAATACAAGAGTGAAACCTTCCTGACCTGGAATTATTTTGTGTGTGAGTTTCAAATTATAGATTTAATGTATTTAATAGATGCAGGATTATTCATGGTGTCTCTTTATTTTTAAGTGAATTTTGTAACCTCTTTTCTCTCAAGTAATGTGTCCGTTTACCAAACTTTTAAAATGTATTTGCATAAAGTTTAAACATTGTGTGCTTACTATCATTTTATAACCTATAGTATAATTAGTGACAGCCTTTCATTACTGGCTTTAGTATTTAGCATTTTTTCTCTTTTTTGTTAAGTATAGCTAGAATTTTTTCATTTTTTAATAAATTAGCTTTTTATTTTATTGATATTCCATTTTGGTGTTCTTTCAATTTTTATTGATTTTTGTTCTTATATGTATTTTATTATTTCTTTGTACCTTAGTACATTTCGACTGCAATAGAAAAATACCTTTTTGTTGTGGCTTATAAACAACATAATTTTATAATTTATAATAACATAAACTTATAACTTATAAATTTACTTCTCATAGTTCCGGAGGCTGAGAGGTCTGAAATCAAGGCTCTCAAATATTTGATGTCTGGTGAGGGCCCATTTCCTGGTTCATAGATGGTTCCTTCTCTCTGCATCTTCACATAATGGAAAGAGCAAGGTAGCTCTCTGGGGTCTCTTATGTAAGAAAACTACTCATTTACTATCCTTAATGTAGTACTAATTTAGTACCCTTATAAAAGAGCCCCAGATCTCTACTTTCATGATCTAAGCACCTCCCAAAAGACCCCATCTCCTAATACCATAAGTTTGGGAGTTAGGATTTCTACATAGGAAATTCGAGGAGACACAAACATTCAGACAACAGCATTCTGTTTTGTTTGGGTTTAATTTGCTTTAGGAACTGATTAGATTCTTTTTTCTTTTCTAACATAAACACATGGCACTATTACATTTATCTAATTCTTTATTTCTAAAAAATTTTTAATTATTATGGATACATAATAGTTGCACATATGTATGGGGTACATATGCATACAAGCATACGACATACAATTATCAAATCAGGATTCTGATATTCATCACCTTAACATGTATAGTTTCTTTGTGTTAATATTGTTTAGTTATCTTAATAAATTGACCCCTTTATAATCAGTGAGTATATTTTCTATCACTAGTAATATATTTCATTCTGAAATATATTTAGTTTGACATTAATATAGTAACTCTAGTTTTCTATAAATTTTTGTTTGTACTACACACACAGATATCTATGTATTTATATTTGCAGTAGAATTTTAGTAGACAGAATTAGATTTCTGATTTTTCATTGATGTGTATGAATGATTTACATGTAATGTAATGTGATTATGAATAAGCTTAGGTTTAAATATAACTTCTTGCTATGTTTTCTATTTATCTTATATGCTCCTTGTTCAATTATTTATCCTTTTTTTAAATTTTGTAGATTAGTTAAATATGTACTTCATTATTTTGTGTTATTTCTACTATTGGTTTACTAATGTACTTCTTTTTTAGGTTCTGCTTTAAGGTTTAAAATATAAATACTTCTGCTTTAAGGTTTAAAATATAAATACTTCTACTTTAAGTTTTAAAATATAAATACTTAACTCATCACAGCCTACTTTCTTTTTTTTTTTTTTTTTTTTGAGACGGAGTCTCGCTCTGTTGCCCAGGCTGGAGTGCAGTGGCGGGATCTCGGCTCACTGCAAGCTCCGCCTCCCGGGTTCACGCCATTCTCCTGCCTCAGCCTCCCAAGTAGCTGGGACTACAGGCGCCCGCCACTACGCCCGGCTAATTTTTTGTATTTTTAGTAGAGACGGGGTTTCACCATTTTAGCCGGGATGGTCTCGATCTCCTGACCTCGTGATCCGCCCGCCTCGGCCTCCCAAAGTGCTGGGATTACAGGCGTGAGCCACCGCGCCCGGCCCACAGCCTACTTTCAAATAACAGTATATCACTTGATATGCAGTATAATACATTGCCAGTTTTTTTCTGCAGACACACATATACATCTCATAAAATTTTACTTCTGCCTTAGGAATCTTTCTTATAAATGACAATGGAGGATGGCTGACAATGAAATTCTTTAGATTTTGTTCAGTGCTGAGACAACGTTGAGATGAGCAAATTTTACCTCTGGTGAAACACTTAATGAGGCACTCTCTCGGGTCACACAAGGCACAAGTCTTGCACTCTCAATCTCAAATATATAACTCTGAAAGTGAGTAGCTCTTTAGGTTTTTGGACCTAGTTGTGTCATTTTCTTTACCCTAGTTCCAAACCTATTTTTAATTTTCTAAAAATAAATGAGCCCTATTTTGCTTTAGTGCTTAAAATTTTCTACTTGTTATAAAAATGTAGATAAAGCTGTTTTTTATTATTTAATTATTTATGATTGCTCCATTGTCTCCAAGCTTTCATAGTTTCTGAAGAAAATTGCCCGTATTTGTGTGTTTGTGTGTGTATTTCTTTTGATGTGGATTATTTTTTCATCTCTGATGCCTTTTAAGATTTTTCTCTTTCTCACTGATTTTCAGAAATTAGACAATAGTTTACCTTGCCATTTTGTCTTTATTTGTGATTCTAATAACATTTTGGCAATCGTTTCTTCGAATTTTTGGTTTTGTTCTTCCCTACCACATACTCACACACATACATCCACTCAGTGTTCTTCTGGGACTCCATCTCTTCTTGTATTATGCTGCTTGATATTGTCAAACACAGTGTGGTTGTTTTTTCAAATGTGTCTATGTTTTCTGTTTTGGATAGTTTATATTGTTATGTTATCAAAATCACTGGTATTTTTTCTACAATGGTTAAAGTGCTGTTAAATTTATTCATACATTTTTAATCTAATATAGTTATTTTTTCTGTTTTAGGAGTCTGCTTGTTTTTATTTCTTCCATTTTTATCTTCTCGTAATATACATATTTTCCCATCTTATTTGAAAAAATAAAGCATATTTTTAACACCTGAATTAACATGTTTCAACGCTAATTATTATGTTCATCAAAACCAGATATTGTGAATTCTATATTGTTATGTGATGGATTTTGTTGAATTCCTTTTGTATATTTGTATTTTGTTCTCAAACACAGTTAAATTATTTGGAATTAGTTTGATGCTTTTAGAGATTGCTATAAAATTTTCTTAGAGAAGATGTAGAGTTGCTTTAGGTTTAGGAATGAGTGAGTTCCATCACAAAAGCAGGATTCTTCCAAAGATTCTACCTAATAGCTCATACATTACCCTGTCTTCTACTTTGGTTTGTGGCAACAATAATATTTGCAGAGCTTTCTGAGCTTTGAGAATTGTTCTTCAAACCCTTTGTGTTGGCATTTTACCCCAGGCTTCAGTTATTTTCTCTCATGTATTCACAGTTTAGTATTCAATGAAGGACTCAATAATTTCCTAGGAAGGTCTGCAGACACACGGTCATCTGTATTCATTAGCATGGGCTGCTATAACAAAATGCCATAGACTGAGCAGCTCATAAACCACAGAGATGTATTTCTCAGTCTAACCTCACATGGTGGAAGAGGGAGGGGTCTCTCTGGCACCTTTCATAAGGGCTCCACTCCCATGATCCAGTCACCTACAAAATTGCCTATTTTTTAATATTATCACCTTGGTGGTGAGAATTTTAATATACAAATTTGGGGAGGTCAATTAGACCAGAGCATAATTCTTGGCAGATAAAAGAAGCCATAAGAAAGCTGGTGTGATCAGACCAGAATGAGCCAGAGGGAAGTTTTAAGATACAATAAAATATTAGGCTAGACTATTAAAGTACTTTGTCATTAGAAATTATATCTTTCAGATGAAATCTACCCAATCCTTGCTTGTACATCTTGCTAAAGTTTTAACTTTTCCATTGATTTCATTATATTTGTCATGTCTTTCCTATCAATTTAATTTTCAATTATCTTCACTTCTTATACATACTGCTATATATTATTTAATCATTCTGCCTTAAATTATTTTGTGTACGGTTATAATACTTCAGCCTAGTTTACTAGGAACTCATTACAGTTGTTCCTCTGTATTTGTGGGGTACTGGTTCTAGGAACCCTCAGACACAAAAATCTACAGATGCTCAAGACCCTTCCATAAAATGATGTATAATAGTATTTTATACACCTACATCCACACTGTCACATACTTTAAATCATCTCTAGATTTCTTATGATACCAAGTACAATGTAAATGTTATGTAGTTAGTTATAGTGTGTTCTTTAGGGGATAATGACAAGGCAGAATTCCATATGTGTTCACTTTTTCATAAATGTTTTTCCAAATATTTTTGATCCATGGGTGGTTGAATCCACACATGCAGAACCTATGGATATGGAGGGTCCACTGTACTTTTTTCTATCCTCCTAACTACATATTGGTTTCTATTTTTGTCTTTATTAAATCTTAAATTGTAGTCATACTACAAATTCGATCTTTTCTATTGTTTCATTTTTTTCTATTTCTTGAACAGTATTCTGTTTCTGTTTCAATGCATTAGTATCCACTTATTTATGTTTACCAAAATATTACACAGTCAAATAATTCAGGAAGACTTTGAAAATTTAAAGTCAACAGATTTGTATTAGCCTCAATTATATCATCTGTAATAAATCAGATTATCCTGTCATTAGGATTAAATATTAAAATCTATTTAAGACATCTTAAAGAATATTTGAGATATTATGTATACTTAATATGGATATTTGTTTTCTTCCCTTCATTTTCTGATTTATTTTAGCCTTTTCATTTGTATTGTTTTATGTACCTTACAGTTACATAAACTCCTTAGTATCTGGAAACTTGTCTTCTTATTTTAATGTGCCATTCATCTCCTTAGCACAATTTCTTACACATATATGTTCTACAAATGTTTATTAAATGAATTAGTGTCAACTACATGCATGCTTTATTCATTAAGCTGTCAAAGGATTGATCTGCTTTACAGCTTTGTCAAACTATAGAACTTTAATTCTTTTGCCATATTTTAAAAATAATACATGTTTAGGTAATAATAAAATCAATATTCATACTCATAAAATAACAGATTGTAAAAGCATTGTAGGCTAACCACATACATTTTGGAAAAGAAACTGAAATTAATTCTTAAATTCTTTCAAATTCTTCATCTTATTTACTCTTTTTGTTAAGTAAATGTTTATCTTGTATTTTAGTTTTAAGCTCTTAGAATCTTCAACAATATAGTTTTTTGTACATAAAATATTTAAATCAACTTAATCTATGTACATGTTATAAACTAAGTTCAAGTAAAATTACATAAAATGCAACAATGCATTTTATTTTTCTATTCATATTTTTCTAATAAATCTTGTAAGTTTAAGTAATTATTTTAGTTAATGCTATGAAATTCTACCTAGGCAGGTAAGGTGTCAATTTCCCAATTTGTATGCAAACTGAACAATTTTCTCTGGGCTCTTCATCATTTCATCTTTCCACTTAACTTTCTCTATTTTAACCCAATAATATTTATTGTATTTTCCCCATTTAAACTAATGAATAAAAATTTCCCTCAGTGTAAACTCTATGTTGATGTTTCAAATAGAATATTTTATTCCCTGTGTGTTTTGAGTAGTAGCACCTTTAATGTTTTATCTATTTATATTTGTACAAGGCATATTACACATCTGAAATGAACACAGTACTAATTAGCATAAAGTCAATGTTAGCCTTAGACTTTACAGGTAAGTCTACAGAATACAGAAAGAAAAAATATAATGTCATATGTACTTCTTAAACAGTTCTATCAGTGGAAAAACTGATGATGCATTCATGTTTTCCTCAATATTTAGTGAGGAGAGCAAACACACAACTGACACATTCATAATACGTTAGAGATAGCTAAAGTGAGAATAACCACATAACGTAAAACATAGTTAAATTCACTTTGACTATTAAGAGATGTATAAAAATGAACAATAAAGAGAAAGGATTCAGTGATATGAAAGACAGAATGAAAATGACTATCATATATTAAACTGGAGTCTAATATGTTCATTAGTGAGATTTACTGACATCCCTAATGAAAGACATCAAATTCTCAGATTCAGGAGAAATAAGACATTACACTCAAGATACATAAGATGAATTCATTCCTCGGCACACCTAAGTTTTCATCATAACCTGTACCTTCAATCATCTTCATTCTTCCTGACCTGATCTATTTTTCTCATCGTATTTACCACCTTCAAACATATGGTACACATCCTAGTTACTTTGGGTATCTTATATTACAATATAATCTCAAAACAGATTTTGTTGATTTTATTTACAAGATGTAACCAAAGGGCCTAGATTATCTTTATAGCACAGTATATGTTCAAAATTTATTACCAAATAAATATAAAGTACATTTATGAAAGGTGAAGGAGAATATAAAACAGAGGGAAGATCTTCAGAACTACCACAACAAAATGACACATAACTTAAATGTCAAAATACCAACACTGACTTCTTATCAACAGCAATAAAAAGTAAGAAAAAATTTGGAAAATATCCTCAATGAGTTTAGACACACTTCTATACATTAGAGGTTTATAAAACACAAAAACTCCTTTTATAAATGAGTCAAAATAATGACATTTTAGACAAAGAATAACAGAAAATTTATCATCCAAAAGCACCTTCCAAAGAAACCTCAAAAGACAAATTTCAAACAAAGGAAAATGATCACAGATAAAAGATTTGGGATAAAATAAATAATAATGAGAAAAATAGAATATATATGGGAGGTATAAAAAAGAAAATAAAATTTACTTCAATACAAAATTGAAATGTGTAAAGATGTTTTGGTGGGGGTCTCCATTGCTCTTCAGCTTTGATTATTTATTTAAAAAACTCTCAGAACTCAGAGAAGCAATTATACTCATGTTTACAGTTTATTAAAACAAAAGGATGCAGAGTCGTATCAACAAAGGAAAAAGATTCTCAGGGCAAAGTCCAGGAGACTCCAGGCACAAACTTACAAGTGTCCATCACAGCAGAATCACATGCAGATACACTTCAGTCTCCCAGTAAAGCTGCATACAACCACATGTGAATTCTTGGCAATTAGAGCAGCTTATTTATTCTTTGATGTCCCAGGTTTTTATTGGTGGTTAATCACATAGGCATGCAATGCCCAAGTGGCAAAACTTGGCAAATTCAGCTTCCTTTCCATGATCCCTCTAGAACAAAACCAGGCATTCAGCATAAATCATATCTTAGAATAAACGTATCTGGTTAAATTGATACCACATGGTTCAAATAAATACAGCATGGCTCAGGGCCTCAGGCATATAAAGTCAGTCATTCACCATAAACCCAAGGCCTCAGATATACAAAAACACTCTTCACGGTAAGACTATTTCCAGAACTCAGAGGCTAGCTAGTCCTAAAAACAAACCTTACCTCTGAATGTGCAGGGTTGAAAAAACCCTGGGCTGCTGAGTTAACACATTCTTGCCTAATCCATATTTATTGTCCCTGGTCTAATCTCTCCTGTAGCAAAACAATCATATTTTTCTGAGCATCTACATTGAATATGGCATTTATATGACAGTAACAACAGTAATATTAACATGAATATGCCTAGCATTTTATGGACACAGTGTAGGGTAAAGATTGATTTTTAAAAATTACTAATGCATCCTACAAGCCCATTGCATACACTTTAATATTTTGTACAAACAAAATTACTCATTCCTCCTCTCAATCTGCTTTTATTTTTACTTTTTGATAAATCTGTGCAGAACTATTTAGCATTGAAATTAGATAATGGTTAGCTGAATTCTGTTTTCTCAGGCCATTTATTATTCACCCAGATTACATTCTGAAGAGGCTTTAACTCAATATCTTAATACATTTGATTATCAATATAAGCATTATATAACTTCTCTACATAAGATAGTTGAATCTTACCAACAATGCTAGTGTAATGTCATATTGCAGTATGATCATGTTACAATTCAGTTTTATTACAGAAAAAGTTATTACGAATGATAGAGCTATTTGTTACAGCTACTCAACATAATTGGTTCTTGTCTTTATACCGTATAGTATTATAAATAAGTGTTATTACTACTCACCATGATTTGATTATTTCTGGGTTTCTAATGGGTTGTGGACTTAGCCAGTCACCCTGTCTTAGTTCACAGGCCCTAATTGACAATGGTCTCTACTATATGCTGTCTTACACCAGGATACACTCCCTTCCTATAGACAAGACACAAGAATAAGAATAGTTTATATCTCTGCTACCTGTACTACAGGATGTCTTATCCTTATCTATTCTTGGGGCAATGGCAATAACAATGAATTAATATAAATTATGAGTGACCTCAGAGATGGGGTCCCTAAGATTATATAAATGTGTCCTTCTGCATCTAAGAAGAACCATTACCCTATGGTTATTTAGGCCTCCATCTGTGTTAAAGTGATAAAGTGATGCTATTGAGTCATAATACAAACTCATTACCAGTGTTGGGTCCTAGCATTATCCATCATTAATTGTTGAGTCTACCTTACCAAGTTCACTAAAACTTCATTACTTTTTCCAGGTTGAATCCCATCCCTTCCTCTCTCATAGGTGAGAATTC